>NC_000015.10:30549601-30852631 GCF_000001405.40 Homo sapiens | reverse complement strand
TCACACATAACAATATTAACCTTAAATGTAAATGGGCTAAATGCTCCAATTAAAAGACACAGACTGGCAAATTGGATAAAGAGCCAAGACCTATCAGTGTGCTGTATTCAGGAAACCCATCTCACGTGCAGAGACACACATAGGCTCAAAATAAAGGGATGGAGGAAGATCTACCAAGCAAATGGAAAACAAAAAAAGGCAGGGGTTGCAATCCTAGTCTCAGATAAAACAGACTTTAAGCCAACAAAGATCAAAAGAGACAAAGAAGGCCATTACATAATGGTAAAGGGATCAATTCAACAAGAAGAGCTAACTATCCTAAATATATATGCACCCAATACAGGAGCACCCAGATTCATAAAGCAAGTCCTCAGAGACCTACAAAGAGACTTAGACTCCCACACAATAATAATGGGAGACTTTAACACCCCACTGTCAACATTAGACAGATCAATGAGACAGAAAGTTAACAAGGATATCCAGGAATTGAACTCAGCTCTGCACCAAGCAGACCTAATAGACATCTACAGAACTCTCCACCCCAAATCAACAGAATATACATTCTTTTCAGCACCACACCACACCTATTCCAAAATTGACCACATAGTTGGAAGTAAAGCACTCCTCAGCAAATGTAAAAGAACAGAAATTATAGCAAACTGTCTCTCAGACCACAGTGCAATCAAACTAGAACACAGGATTAAGAAACTCAATCAAAACTGCTCAACTATATGCAAACTGAACAACCTGCTCCTGAATGACTACTGGGTACATAACGAAATGAAGGCAGAAATAAAGATGTTCTTTGAAACCAATGAGAACAAAGACACAAAAACCAGAATCTCTGGGACACATTCAAAGCAGTGTGTAGAGGGAAATTGATGGCACTAAATGCCCACAAGAGAAAGCAGGAAAGATCTAAAATTGACACCCTAACATCACAATTAAAAGAACTAGAGAAGCAAGAGCAAACACATTCAAAAGCTAGCAGAAGGCAAGAAATAACTAACATCAGAGCAGAACTGAAGGAAATAGAGACACAAAAAACCCTTCAAAAAATCAATGAATCCAGGAGCTGGTTTTTTGAAAAGATCAACAAAATTGATAGACTGCTAGCAAGACTAATAAAGAAGAAAAGAGAGAAGAATCAAATAGACGCAATAAAAAATGATAAAGGGGATATCACCAACAATCCCACAGAAATACAAACTACCATCAGAGAATACTATAAACACCTCTATGCAAATAAACTAGAAAATCTAGAAGAAATGGATAAATTCCTTGACACATACACCCTCCCAAGACTAAACCAGGAAGAAGTTGAACCTCTGAATAGACCAATAACAGGCTCTGAAATTGAGGCAATAATTAATAGCTTACCAACCAAAAAAAGTCCAGGACCAGATGGATTCACAGCCTAATTCTACCAGAGGTACAAAGAGGAGCTGGTACCATTCCTTCTGAAACTATTCCAATCACCAGAAAAAGAGGGAATCCTCCCTAACTCATTTTATGAGGCCAGCATCATCCTGATACCAGAGCCTGGCAGAGACACAACAAAAAAAGAGAATTTTAGACCAATATCCCTGATGAACATTGATGCAAAAATCCTCAATAAAATACTGGCAACCCGAATCCAGCAGCACATCAAAAAGCTTATCCACCATGATCAAGTGGGCTTCATCCCTGGCATGCAAGGCTGGTTCAACATACACAAATCAATAAATGTAATCCAGCATATAAACAGAATCAACGACAAAAACAATATGATTATCTCAATAGATGCAGAAAAGGCCTTTGACAAAATTTAACAACACTTCATGCTAAAAACTCTCAATAAATTAGGTATTGATGGGACGTATCTAAAAATAATAAGAGCTATCTATGACAAACCCACAGCCAATATCATACTGAATGGGCAAAAACTGGAAGCATTCCCTTTGAAAACTGGCACAAGACAGGGATGCCCTCTCTCACCATGCCTATTCAACATAGTGTTGGAAGTTCTGGCCAGGGAAATCAGGCAGGAGAAGGAAATAAAGGGCATTCAATTAGGAAAAGAGGAAGTCAAATTGTTCCTGTTTGCAGATGACATGATTGTATATCCAGAAAACCCCATCATCTCAGGCCAGAATCTCTTAAGCTGACAGGCAACTTCAGCAAAGTCTCAGGATACAAAATCAATGTGCAAAAATCACAAGCATTCTTATACACCAATAACAGACAAACACAGAGCCAAATCATGAGTGAACTCCCATTCAGAATTGCTTCAAAGAGAATAAAATACCTAGGAATCCAACTTACAAGGGATGTGAAGGACCTCTTCAAGGAGAACTACAAACCACTGCTCAAGGAAATAAAAGAGGATACAAACAATTGGAAGAACATTCCATGCTCATGGGTAGGAAGAATCAATATCGTGAAAATGGCCATACTGCCCAAGGTAATTTACAGATTCAATGCCATCCCCATCAAGCTACCAATGACTTTCTTCACAGAATTGGAAAAAAACTACTTTAAAATTCATATGGAATCAAAAAAGAGCCCTCATTGCCAAGTCAATCCTAAGCCAAAAGAACAAAGCTGGAGGCATCACGCTACCTGACTTCAAACTATACTACAAGGCTACAGTAACCAAAACAGCATGGTACTGGTACCAAAACAGAGATATAGACCAATGGAACAGAACAGAGCCCTCAGAAATAATGCCACATATCTACTACTATCTGATATTTCACAAACCTGATGAAAACAAGAAATGGGGAAAGGATTCCCTATTTAAGAAATGGTGCTGGGAAAACTGGCTAGCCATATGTAGAAAGCTGAAACTGGATCCCTTCCTTACACCTTATACAAAAATTAATTCAAGATGGACTGAAGACTTAAATGTTAGACCTAACACCATAAAAACCCTAGAAGAAAATCTAGGCAATACCATTCAGGACATAGGCATGGGCAAGGACTTCATGTCTAAAACACCAAAAGCAATGGCAACAAAAGACAAAATTGACAAATGGGATCTAATTAAACTAAACAGCTTCTGCACAGCAAAAGAAACTACCATCAGAGTGAACAGGTAACCTACAGAATGGGAGAAAATTTTTGCAATCTACTCATCTGACAAAGGTCTAATATCCAGAATCTACAATGAACTCCAACAAATTTATAAGAAAAAAAAAACCCCATCAAAAAGTGGGCAAAGGATATGAACAGACACTTCTCAAAAGAAGACATTTATGCAGCCAAAAGACACATGAAAAAATGCTCATCATCACTGGCCATCAGAGAAATGCAAATCAAAACCACAATGAGACACCATCTCACACCAGTTAGAATGGCGATCATTAAAAGGTCAGGAAACAACAGGTGCTGGAGAGGATGTGGAGAAATAGGAACACTTTTACACTGTGGGTGGGACTGTAAACTAGTTCAACCATTGTGGAAGACAGTGTGGCGATTCCTCAGGGATCTAGAACTAGAAATACCATTTGATCCAGCCATCCCATTACTGGGTATATACTCAAAGGATTATAAAACATGCTGCTATAAAGACACATGCAGCACTATTCACAACAGCAAAGACTTGGAACCAACCCAAATGTCCAACAATGATAGACTGGATTAAGAAAATGTGGCACATACACACCATGGAATACTATGCAGCCATAAAAAATGATGAGTTCATGTCCTTTGTAGGGACGTGGATGAAGCTGGAAACCATCATTCTCAGCAAACTATTGCAAGGACCAAAAAACAACCACTGCATGTTCTCACTCACAGGTGGGAATTGAACAATGAGAACACATGGACACAGGAAGGGGAACATCACACACCCGGGCCTGTTGTGGGGTGGGGGAGGGGTGAGGGATAGCATTAGGAGATATGCCTAACATTAAATGATGAATTAATGGGTGTAGCACACCAACATGGCACACGTATACACATATGTAACAAACCTGCACATTGTGCACATGTACCCTAAAACTTAAAGTATAATAAAAAAATAAAAATACAAAAATTAAAAAATATATATATATTCTTGAGCTTTGATCTCTGTGATAAGTTACTTATAAGTAGTTTAATCCTTTCGGGTCTTGCTTTTAAGCTTTGTTGGTGGGATGATAGCAACAATTCGTCTGTCGCTAATTTTTCACCAATACTGGGTAACATCATTCTTAGTACTTTAATCGTTGCCCTGTAAATTGTGAGGTTTTGGGAGCAGGCTCCAACTCCCTGCTGTGTGAGCTCTGGGGACTATTCCTTCTCATCCCTTTGGGCGGTCTGTTCCTCAACCTCACAGCTGTGAATGCCATATTAGGCTCTGCAGGTCTCCGCAGTCCTCTCTGTGCAGCTCTCTCCGCTCTGGTACTCTGTATACAGACTCTGTATGTCTTGGCCTCCCTGGATTTCCAGTTCTGTCTCCTCTCTACTAAGGGGGTGTGCCAGGATCTGCCTGGCATTCTCCTTCCTGTGTCACAGTCTGGAAACTTTCTACAGGAAATCCATTGGGAAATTTTTAGAACTTGCCTTTTTCTTTTTAATTTTTCATTTAAAAATTTTTTAATTTTTGTGGGTACATAGTAGAGTATATGAAATATTTTGATTCAGGCATACAATGTGTAGTAATCATATCAGGGTAAATGGGTTATCCATCACCTCAAGCATTTATCCTTTCCTGTGTTACAAACAATCCAATTATAATTTAGTTACTTTAAAATGTACAATAAGTTATTGTTGCCTATACTCACCTGTTGTGGTATCATACTTGATATTATTCCTTCTATCTAACTATATTTTTGTACCATTACACATCATCCCTTAGAACTGTCTTTGTTTCCCATGACTCACGGAACACTGTATTTTGTTGCCTGATATTCAATGGCTTTGGGACCATTTCATTTCATTATTTCATTTCATTTCTTTCGTTTCTTTCATTTCATTTATTTCATTTCAGACAGGATCTCACTCTGTCACCCAGGCTGGAGTGCAGTGGCACAATCTCAGCTCACATTTCATTTCTTCATTTTGTTTCATTTCTTTCATTTCATTTCTTCATTTCATTTCATTTCATTTATTTCATTTCATTTCATATGACAGGATCTCACTCTGTCACCCAGGCTGCAGTGCAGTGGCACAATCTCAGCTCACATTTCATTTCATTTTATTTCATTTCATTATTTCATTTCATTTCATTTCATTTCATTTCATTTCATATGACAGGATCTCACTCTGTCACCCAGGCTGGAGTGCAGTGGCACAATCTCAGCTCACATTTTATTTCATCATTTCATTCATTTCATTTCATTTCATTTCATTTCTTTCGACAGGATCTCACTCTGTCACCCAGCCTGGAGTGCAGTGGCACAATCTCAGTTCAGATTTCATCATTTCATTTCATTTCATGTCATTTATTTCATTTCATATGACAGGATCTCACTCAGGATCTCACTGTGTCACCCAGGCTGGAGTGCAGTGGCACAATCTCAGCTCACATTTCATCATTTCATTTCTTCATTTCATTTCATTTCATTTATTTTATTTCATATGACAGGATCTCTCTCTGTCATCCAGGCTGGAGTGCAGTGGCACAATCTCAGCTCACATTTCATTTCATCATTTCATTCATTTCATTTCATTTCACTTATTTCATCATTTCATTTCATTTTTCATTTCAATTCATTTCTTTCGACAGGATCTCACTCTGTCACCCAGCCTGGAGTGCAGTGGGACAATCTCAGCTCACATTTCATTTCATCATTTCATTTCTTCATTTCATTTCATTTCATTTCATATGACAGGATCTCTCTCTGTCATCCAGGCTGGAGTGCAGTGGCACAATCTCAGCTCACATTTCATCATTTCATTCATTTCATTTCATTTCATTTCACTTATTTCATCATTTCATTTCATTTTTCATTTCATTTCATTTCTTTCGACAGGATCTCACTCTGTCACCCAGCCTGGAGTGCAGTGGGACAATCTCAGTTCACATTTCATTTCTTCATTTCATTCATTTCATTTCTTTCGACAGGATCTCACTCTGTCACCCAGCCTGGAGTGCAGTGGCACAATCTCAGTTCACATTTCATTTCTTCATTTCATTTATTTCATTTCATTATTTCATTTCATTTCATATGACAGGATCTCACTCAGGATCTCACTCTGTCACTCAGGCTGGAGTGCAGTGGCACAATCTCAGCTCACATTTTATTTCATTTCATCATTTCATTTATTTCATTTCATTTCATTATTTCATATGACAGGATCTCTGTCACCCAGGCTGGAGTGCAGTGGCACAATCTCAGCTCATATTTCATTTCATCATTTCATTTCATTTCATATGACAGGATCTCACTCTGTCACCCAGGCTGGAGTGCAGTGGCACAATCTCAGCTCATATTTCATTTCATCATTTCATTTCTTCATTTCATGTCATTTCATTTATTTCATTTCATTTCATTTCATATTTCATTTCATTTCACAGACAGGATCTCACTCTGTCACCTAGGCTGGAGTGCAGTGGCACAATCTCAGCTCACATTTTATTTCATCATTTCATTCATTTCATTTCGTTTTACTTATTTCATTTCTTTCGACAGGATCTCACTCTGTCACCTAGGCTGGAGTGCAGTGGCACAATCTCAGCTCACATTTTATTTCATCATTTCATTCATTTCATTTCATTTCATTTCATTTCACTTATTTCATTTCTTTCGACAGGATCTCACTCTGTCACCCAGCCTGGAGTGCAGTGGCACAATCTCAGTTCAGATTTCATTTCACCATTTCATTTCATTTCATTTATTTCATTTCATTTCATATGACAAGATCTCACTCAGGATCTCACTCTGTCACCCAGGCTGGAGTGCAGTGGCACAATCTCAAGCTCACATTTCATCATTTCATGTCATTTCATTTATTTCATTTCATATGACAGGATCTCACTGTGTCACCCAGGCTGCAGTGCAGTGGCACAATCTCAGCTCACATTTCATTTCATCATTTCATTTCTTCATTTATTTCATTTCATTTCATATGACAGGATCTCTCTCTGTCACCCAGGCTGGAGTGCAGTGGCACAATCTCAGCTCACATTTCATCATTTCATTCATTTCATTTCACTTATTTCACCATTTCATTTCATTTTTCATTTCATTTCATTTCTTTTGACAGGATCTCACTCTGTCACCCAGCCTGGAGTGCAGTGGGACAATCTCAGTTCACATTTCATTTCATCATTTCATTTCTTCATTTCATTTCATTTCTTTCAACAGGATCTCACTCTGTCACCCAGCCTGGAGTGCAGTGGCACAATCTCAGTTCACATTTCATTTCTTCATTTCATTTCATCATTTCATATGACAGGATCTCACTCAGGATCTCACTCTGTCACCCAGGCTGGAGTGCAGTGGCACAATCTCAGCTCACATTTTATTTCATTTCATCATTTCATTTATTTCATTTATTTCATTTCATTTCATTTCATTTCATTTCATTATTTCGTATGACAGGATCTCTCTCTGTCACCCAGGCTGGAGTGCAGTGGCACAATCTCAGCTCATATTTCATTTCATCATTTCTTCATTTCATTTCATTTCATATGACAGGATCTCACTCTGTCACCCAGGCTGGAGTGCAGTGGCACAATCTCAGCTCACATTTCATTTCATCATTTCATTTCATTATTTCATTTCACTTCATTTCATTTCATTTCATTTTTTATGACAGGATCTCACTCTGTCACCCAGGCTGGAGTGCAGTGGCACAATCTCAGCTCACTGCAACCTCCACCTCCCAAGTAGCTGGGACTTCAGGTGTGCACCACCACATCTGGCTAATTGTTTTTCTATTTTTCATAGAGATAGGGTTTCGTCATGTTGCCCAGGCTGGTTTTGAACTCCTGAGTTCAAGCAATCTGCCCACCTCAGCTTCTCAAAGTGCTGGGATAACAGGCGTGAGCCACCATGCCGGACCTGTTTAATGTATTTTATATGGTGTTTTAGTTATTCCTAGGATAGGAAGGCCCCTGTTACTCCAATCTGGCTGGTAGTTCTCATTCATTTTTTAAAACTTGTGAGTTTGGTTCATTTGTTTAAAAAATGGTGTCGATTGTGTGTTCTTTCTTCCTCACCCCTGCTATTTCCTCTGTATTTGCAGTTTTAGTATCACGCACGTTACACAAAATGCCAAACGTGATTCAGTGGATGATTTAAGGGAGAAGGACAAAAAAACACTTACTTAGTACTTGTCATCAAAAACTCAGAATTGACTTTTTTTTCTTCTCAACAGAGGAGTCATATGGGTAAGGCTTCATATTGGAACATAAAACTATTGCTGCCAAATGAGTCATTAACATTATTTAGTTTGAGCAGATTATTGCAAATGTTGCCTTGAAAAACGAAGTGCCAATAAATTGTAGCAGCATTAAAACAAACAAAGACAAATAGAATGTTGAAATAATTTTTTCACATCACACCTTCTGTTGCCATTCCCCAACTTCCTTTCTGCCTCACCCCAAGAGTAAACTCCTTCTGAAGACAGGGCAAGGCAGTGCTTTCCTCCCGAGTTCATAGCTACTTTCTAAATAAAACACATGCTGAATGGGTTCAAGCAATGTTGGGGTAGACACCGACTCTGTCCCTTCAATGCCTAGTCTGCCACCTGCACCATACCCAGTGGCATACAGCTAATAAAAGAAAAAGCAACAGTAACATCAGTTTTTAATCTCAATATCCCCTAAATTTAGTAATTCATAAACAATCCATGTTTTAGACATTTTTACCACATAGAAATAAAATTTAAAGTTAAAAATCACAGGAATGTTTATGCCTTTATACATGCTCTATCAAAGTTCTAGAAATGAAATAAAAACACGACTATTAGAAATTCCAAATTCAGAAAACATACTGTGAAAATAAAGTCTTCTCCCTGGAAGCTCTTCGATTTTTGTCTGGAATACCAACTACAATTAACACCAAGAAAAGCAAAAAACAATTTAATTATCTACTATATGCAAATCTCTGACAATAACAGCCACAAAACATACCCGTAAAAGAACACAAATACATTTTAATATTTCAGCAGGGCAGCGTATAAACCACATGGGAAAAAACGCTTTTTTTTTCCATCTAAGTGGGAATGTTTTAGGACACAAAACATCTATGATTAATTTTTTAAAAAACATGATTAATTTAAAAAGACACACACACACAATCAGACTGCCATTTTCCAAATGAAGGCAAACATGCCTCCTGATAAAAACTTAAATGCTGTTCCATGCTGTTTTAGACATCTTTCAAACGTGCTGCTACGCTGACATAATAGTAAGGAAGCCACAAGGCCCAACGCAGGAAGTGAAACCCAAACTCAGGTGGATAAATGAGCCCCACCCCCAAAGCCAGCTTCTGGCGGGGAGGGTGTGAGGCTCTCTGGTGCACACGGTGCAGGGTAATGCAGCATGCCTCCAAGGACTTCCTATAGAAAGTGGGGCTCCAAAGGGTTGCCCCTCAGTGACTGTGAATAAGAAGAACACCACAGAAAGCTGCCCTTCCCAGCCTCAGCACTGACAGGGAGACAGAGGCTTGCTCCTGAGAATTCATAACTACAACAGGAGTTGGCAAATTATGGCCCATGGGCTGAATCAGGCCCATCATTTGTTTCTGTAAATGAAGTTTTATGGGAACACAGCCACACCCACTCATTTATAATATGTCCAGGGCTACTTTTGCAGTTGCAACAGAGACTATATGGCCCAAAGCTGAAAATACCATTGTGTCCTTTACAGAAAGTGTTTACCAACCCCCACCCTAGAAAAAGGACAAAATGAAGATATTTTGAAACAATCAGAATTAACCAATGAAAGAATTTCACTAAAGTAAATTGAAAAAGATATGATAAAGGAGAAGGAAATGATTTTATAAGATCTGAGACATAGCAAACGATGGTAAGAAACGATAGTAAGCAAAGATGTGCAATATTTGGCTAACTCCAGAAAAAAACCACAGTCCATATAAAACAACCAAAACAACAACAATAATGTCTATGGCAGAGGGGAATAGGTTAGAACCCAAACACTGGGTAACAAGGGGTCACTGATTGGGAGGAGGGGAAAATACTAATTAACTTTAGGTTTTTAAGTACCTATGTTAAAATAACCAGAGAAACAACGAAAAGAAACAAAATTCTCCTGAGAATTGACAAAGAGGGGCTATATTTCAAACCTTTTTATGAGGCTAGACCACTTCGACACCTGTGCTAGCAATCTGCCCCTGACACGGTTCACAGTGATCCCTGCTTCCAAATATGCATGCTCCTGTACACAGGCACACTCCATTTGACTGTGCCTCGCTTTACTGTACCTCGCAGATACTGTTTTTTACAAACCGAAGGTCTGCGGCAACCCTGCACTGACCAACTCTAACGGCGCCACTTTTCCACCAGCATGTGCTGACTTACTGTCTCTATGTCACATTTTGATAATTCTTGCAATATTTTAAACTTTTTCATTATTTTATCTGTTATGATGATCTGTGATCAGTAATGTTTGATGTTACTGTTGTACTTGTTTTGAGGCACCACAAACCACACCCATAGAAGATGGTGAACTTAAATGATAAATGTGGTGTATGTTCTGATTGTTCCGCCAACCAGCTGTTCTCCCATCTCTCTCCCTCTCCTCAGACCTCCCTATTGTGTACCTGAGACATAACTTATTGAAATTAGGCCACTTAATAACCCTGCAGTAGCCTCTAAGAGTTCAAGTGAAAGGAAGAGTTGCATATTTCTCACTTTAAGTCAAAAGCTAGAAATGATTAAGATTAGTGACGAAGGCACACTGAAAGCCAAGACAGGCTGAAAGCTAGGCCTCTTGCACCAGTTACCCAAGAAAAAGTTCTTGAAGCACAATTAAGTGCAACTCTAGTAAACACACAAATGATAAGAATGCAAAACAGTCTTATGGCTGATATACAGAATGTTTGACTGGCATAGACAGAAGATCAAAACTGATACAACATTCCCTTAAGCCAAAGCCTAATCCAGAGCAAGGCTCTAACTCTCTTCAATTCCACGAAGGCTAAGAGAGGTGAGACAGCTGCAGAAGGAAAGTCTGAAGGTAGCAAAGATTGGTTCCTGAGGTGTAAATAAAGACGCCGTCTTCATAACATAAAAGTGTGAGGGAAAGTAGCAAGTGCTGATGTAGAAGCTGCAGCAAGTTACCCAGAAGATCTAGCCAAGATCAGTGATGAAGGTGGCTACGCTAAACAACAGGCTTTCAACGTAGATGGAACAACCGTCTATTGGAAGAAGATGCCAGCTAGGACTTTCATAGCTAGAGAGAAGTCAATGTTTGCCTTCAAAGCTTCAAATATTTTGTTAGGGGCTAATGCAGCTGATGACTATATTAGTTGAATTCGTTGAAGTCAATGCTCATTGACCATTCTGAAAATCTTAGGGCCCTTAAGAATTATGCTAACTCCACTCTGACTGTGCTCCAGAAATAGAACAAAACCTGGAAGTCAGCACATTTGTTTACAGCATGGTTCACTGAATATTTTAAGCCCACTATTGAGGCCTACTGCTCAGAAAAAAAGATTTCTTACAAAATATTACTGCTCATTGACAATGTACCTGGTCACCCAAAAGCTCTGATGAACATGTACAAAGAAATTAAAGTTGTTTTCATGCCTGCTAACACATCATCTTTTCTGCAGCCACATGGATCAAGGAGTAATTTCAACTTCAAATCTTGTTATTTAAGAAATACACTTCAGTCTCTACTAAAAAATACAAAAAATTAGCCAGGCATGGTGGCGGACACCTGTAGTCCCAGCTACTTGGGAGGCTGAGGCAGGAGAATGGCGTGAACCCAGGAGGTGGAGCTTGCAGTGAGCAGAGATCACGCCACTGCACTCCAGCCTGGGCTACAGAGCAAGACTGTCTCAAAAAAAGAAAAAAAAAAAAACAAAGAAATACATTTCATAAGGCTACAGCTGCCATAGATAGTGATTCTTCTAATGGATGTGGACAAGCTAAATTGAAAACCTTCTGGAAAGCCAGCACCATTATAAATGCCATTAAGAACATTTGTGATTCATGGGAGGAGGTGAAAATATCAACATTAACAGGGATGTGGAAGTGGATTCCAACCCTCATGGATGACCTTGAGAGGTTCAAGACGAGAGGAAGAAGTGACCTCAGATGTGGTGGAAACAGCAAAAGAACTAGAATTAGAAGTGGAGCCTGAAGATGTGACTTAATAGACTATAGTATACACATACTTTTATATCCACTGGGAAACCAAGAAATTTGTGTGACTTACTTGTGAAGACACTTGCTTTATTGTGTTGGTTTAGAACCAAGCCTGCATACCTCCAAGTATGCCTACAGCTCCCTCTCCCTGAGTGTGGGCTGGACTTAATGACCTGCTTCTGATGAGCAGAATAGGGCAAGAACGATGGAGTGTGGTCACTTCTGTGATTCAGTTACACAGGACCGGGGCTCTGTTTCCTCCACTCTCTCTTGCTGGTGCTCCCTCCTGCGCCTCCCTTGCTCTCGCTGACAGTCAGTTGCCACGCTGTGAGACGCTCTATGGACACGTGGCAAAGGGCTGAGTGAGGGGAGGCTCTGCCAACAGCTCATAAGGGACTGAGGCCTCAGCCCAAAGGTCCACAAGGGACTGAATCCTTGCTCGGACAGCCTCAAGACAACTGCAGCCTGCTGAGATTCTGAGCTGGAGGATGGAGCTATGCTGCATCCAGAGTCCTGACCCAGAGAAACTATGAAATGATACATGTGTGTGAGACAGAACATTACACGAGACTATCTCACTCATGAATAGGATCTCCCAAAAATCTAAACAAAACAATCACAAACACAAGCCAGATACATATCCTGACCAAACTGGATTTATCCAAACAATGCAAGTTTGTTTAATATGAGAAAACCAATTAATCCAACTGACTATACCAATCCATTAGAAAACATTGGCCAGGTGTGGTGGCTCATGCCTGTAATCCCAGCACTTTGGGAGGCCGAGGCGGGCGGATCACAAGGTCAGGAGTTCAAGACCAGCCTGACCAATATGGTGAAACCCCATCTCTACTAAAAATACAAAAAAAAAAAAAAAAAAATTAGCCGGGCATGGTGGCAGTCGCCTGTTGTCCCAGCTACTCGGGAGGCTGAGGTAGAAGAATCTCTTGAACCCGGGAAGCAGAGGTTGCAGTGAGCCGAGACTGTGCCACTGCACTCCCGCCTGGGCGACAGAGTGAGACTCTGTCTCAAAAAAAAAAAAAAAAAAAAAAAAAACAGAAAACATCTATGAAAGAACATTTCAAAAATACATAGAAAGAGTGTTGAACACTCCACTGATGAACAGAAACAGAAGGAAACATGCCTAATCTAATCAAGGGCTTCTACTCAAACCCCACTGGAAGCCTGGAAACGCTCCTTCTGTGCCTGCTCCAGTCTGGATCAAGGCAGGAGCCTCTGCCCACTCCTACCCAGAATCACATCACAACCCCAGCCCGCACCATGAGCTCCCATTCTCCCACACAAATGGGAAAAATAAAAGAGAGGTATGCTAGACAGAAAGGAACAGAATTCATTTAGAGACTATGGCACTCTATAAAGAAGATATAAGAAATCTTCAGATACACTAGAATGAAGAGACTCAAGTAGGTCACCAAACATAAAGTCAGTATATAAACATCCAATATTTCTATATATCAGTGGCAATCTTTTTTTTTTTCTTTTTTTTTTCTTTGTGACAGAGTATTGCTCTGTCGCCCAGGCTGGAGTGCGGTGGTGTGATCTCGGCTCACTGCAACCTCCGCCTCCCAAGTTTGAGTGATTCTCCTGCCTCAGCCTCCCGAGTAGCTGGGATTACAGGCACGTATCACCACGCCTGGCTTATTTTTAGTAGAGACGGGGTTCCCCATGTTGGCCAGGCTGGTCTCAAACTCGTGACATCAGGTGATCCACCCATCTTGGGCTCCCAAAGTGCTGGGATTACAGGTGTGAGCCACTGCACCGGGCCAGCAGCAATAAATTTTTTAAAAGTATTTACAATAGCAAGGAAGAAACACATCTAACGAGTGATACACAAACAAAAATTGTAATACTTTCGTATACATGATGTATTTTCAAAATTAAAAAAAAAAAATTGGCCAGGCATGGTGGCTCACACCTATAATCCCAGCACTTTGGGAGGCCAAGGTGGGCGGATCACCTGAGGTCAGGATTTCGAGACCAGCCTGGTCAACATGGTGAAACCCTGTCTCTACTAAAAATACAAAAAAGTTAGCCAGGTGTGGTGGCGGGCGCCTATAATCCCAGCTACTCGGGAGGCTGAAGCAGGAGAATGACTTGAACCCAGGAGGTGGAGGTTGCAGTGAGCTGAGATTGCGCCATTGCACTCCAGCCTGGGCAACAAGAGCAAAACTCCATCTTAAATTTTTTAAAAAAAAATTTAAAGATTATGCAAAAATATCTTAGAAGTCTAACTGCTTCCTGCATACCACAGTACTATTAATCCTGAGAAACGTTTTAGTGCAGATCCTTGCCTGTGCTAAGAACCACACAGCACCGTTAGCCACAACTGCCTCAGGCTCAGTGACCCTGTGACACAGAAAAAGCACCCTTACCTTCCCATCAGCTGTCACAGCAGAGGGTCTGTTCCCCTCCGATTAACTGCATGGGTCTGAGAGTTGTGAGGGCTTCACAGGGAGAGGGAATTTTGACTTTTGCACCTTCAATGCCCCCGAGCTGGCCCCTATGATCATGTCCCCAACCATAAATTGTTCCACTGCCACCAGCAGACAGATTCCAATCATCTGGTCGCCTACAACACACATCAAGTGAGCATTTGCCATGGGAAAGAACAATGCACACAGCCTCTCGCGTTCAAGATCGACATTACTGCTTGTTTCTAATATAATAACCTGTTCATTCACTGCACAACTTGTTCATCTTGCTCTCTTTTAAAAATGTCTTGGCTCTCAGGCAGAACATCCCATGTTTTCGCTGTCTGCCATTAATTCACGAATTTTCTTAGCCACTTAAACAAAATTATTATGATGTTACAAATCAAACACTCATCTCAAACAAAATAAATAAATACTAAGGAAAGACAGAAGGAATCCCTGCCTGAAAATATGAGGGAAGAGCAACATTGCAATGTTATGGTTCCTGGGCAAAACCAATAATGACTGCATCAAGTCTAACATATTAAAAATGTCTAGACAGTCTCATTCTATCTGTAGTTCACTAAAAATAAACTTTAACTGAAATTCACAGTGTCAGTTCACTCATTTTCACCTATGTGTTATTTTCTTTCTTTTTCTCTATGGTGCGATCTCGGCTCACTGCAAGCTCCGCCTCCCGGGTTCAAGCAATTCTCCTGCCTCAGCCTCCTGAGTGGCTGGGATTACAAGCGCCCGCCACTACGCCAAGCTAATTTTTGTATTTTTAGTAGAGACGGGGTTTCACCATGTTGGTCAGGCTGGTCTCAAACCCCTGACCTCGTGATCCACCCGCCTCGGCCTCCCAAAGTGCTGGGATTACAGGCGTGAGCCACCGCGCCTGGCCCTACCTATGTGTTATTTTCTTTGATATTCCTTGGCAAGGAAAATTTTTCTGTGTCTCATAATATTGGCATCTTGTTACACTATAGCTAAACAATGTTTTTGCATCCCAAAAGTGATTCCAAAATATCATGCAATACCTCATCAAGAAACAGACGGGGCAATGGTGTTCTTTTGTCAAGGGCCACAGCAATGCGGGAGGCCATGCAGTACCTCCGGAACCAGGCCCACTTGTGCGTCTCGGCACAGCAAGGCAGAGTGTCCAGCTCCAGGTCACAAGCAAGAGCTACCAGTACCTGCAGGCACCAAAAATGACAAACTCAGGGACACTCAGAAATGCAGTGAACAGGCCGAGGTTTCTGTGGCTCCTTCCGCAGGACCTCCTATTCCAGGATGACGGCCATGGGCACAGCAAGGATACGGCCACCATCAGTGATGTGGCGATCTCTGACAGTTCCTAGCCACGTGCCACACAACTGCTGCAACACTTGTTGCCTGCATCAAGTGACAAGAACACCTGTGCATCTCAAGGCATGCTAACGGTTACAGGCTTATGGTTTAAGGGTTTAGATTACACGATCATTTCTTGAGATTTTTTCATATTTGACTTCAGCAACCTACAGCTGCCCTCAGAGGCCTAAAACACACAAACAGACTGCACATGACAACTCTCAGTGGCTCTTTCAGTCAAATAGCTCTATTGTCACTTTAAAAAAGAAGTGAAACATTACCTTAAAGAATGGGCTGTGGAGCAGCTGTTTGCCACCCCTCACAATAGGATCTTCATATTCAAACTGCCTTTGCAAAGCTTCTGGAAGACCTTTCACCAAAGCAGCAAGAGCACTACCTGTAAAACTCTAAGAAACAACAGAACAGTATTCTATCGTGGGAATCCAGAGTACAGGAGAGGCTGACCATTTGTCTCTAAGGTCAAATGTTTTATTATGTTGGTACCATTTCTTCTAAAAAAAAAAAAAAAGCTTATCAAAATTCTCAAGTAGGAAAAAAGCTAAAAGAACATAAACACTAAAATAAAAAAGAGGAGTTTAAAGACTCATCTCAGAATGTTTGGTCTTGATTTCAGTACATCCGCTTCCAGAGAAATAGCCCCTCTCTGGCCCACAAACGCTGCCTGTCTCCTCCCATGTGTAGGATCAAAAGGGACTACTTTAGTCAGCAAAATAAAGGGGAGGCCAATCAGTTAGCCTCATTGTCCAAGTCCAATCAACACAATCCTATGTTCATGGCAGTCGAGACAGATTTTCACAAAATCAAAGTCCAACTTGAACTCAGTATGCACTGCAACATACAAAAAGTCTGGATGTGACAAAGCCTTCCTTATTCTTTTTCTTTTGAGACGGAGTCTCGCTCTGTCACCAGGCTGGAGTGTAGTGGTGCCATCTCGGCTCACTCCGAACTCCACCTCCCAGGTTCAAGCAATTCTCCTGCCTCAATTTCCCGAGTACCTGGGACTACAGGCGCCTGCCACCACGCCCATCTAATTTTTTGTATTTTTAGTAGAGTTGGGGTTTCACTGTGTTAGTGAGGATGGTCTTGATCTCCTAACCTCGTGATCCGCCCGCCTCGGCCTCCCAAAGTGCTGGGATTACAGGCGTGAGCCACCACACCCGGTCCGAGGCCTCCTTTTTCTTATGTGAAATTCCCCAACTCTTCTCAATGATTTAGAGGTTTAGACTACGAAAGCAACATTTTATTCCCCAAAGGTCACAAATCTAGAAATTGTACTAGAATGCTCCATACCAAAGCTCTTGCTTCCCCATCATTTTCTCCAAGCAGCCTATTTATGTTAATTGATTGCCCAAATTCAGTTGTAAGCAGCTTCCTCAATTTCTGAAGGGCCCACATTCTGTGACTGGTGGCTGAAATGAGCAGAAAGAAGTATCAGAAGTCTGATGGTTTCTTCCAAGTAGGAAGACAGATGTAACTGTAATGGTGGCATTTACCTAGGCCACTCAGCTGTGCACAAGCTGCCAGCAAGGCCACAAGGCAAGGGACGACACTTCTGTTAGAGGCAAGGTTGAGTCGGAAGTCTAACAGACACGTCACCAAGTCCGTGGATGGACAAGAGAGGACGCAGCAGTCAGAGAGGAGTTCTTTAGGGCCTGTGAATGAGCACTGTAAACACCCCTGTGTTTCACAAGCTAGGGACCAACCCATAAGAAGCCAACAAACAAGGGTGGCTCCACCCAGCCCCACCCACCAGAAGGCAACAGCTGGTGTGCCCACGCATGCCACTGCGAGTCGGTGAGCCTTGCTCTTCACACTCACACTTCCACTGTAAACCAAAAGCCTAAGAATGACACCAGCAACAACTCCTTCCACACCAGGTGAGGAGGAGTGTGAGCCTGATAGTTGGACGGCTGGGACAGTTCTCTGTGTTCTGTTCCACGCCTCAACGGGGCCTGTGGGAGCATTCACCGCAACACAGCAGAAGGCAGGCCGTCAGGCACTACATGGAAATGTGCACATGTCCATGTTACTCCAGAAACAATCCACAGCCAGTCATCTAACTTTGATTGCCATAAGCCCCTCCCTTACCAGCAGCTGGCATGATGGGATAGATGGTGAAGCACCAGCCCCAGCCGTTCACAGGCCCGTCGCTGATGAACTTCCATTTTAACTCATCCCCCGGGATACGTAGCTAGCTGGACCAGTCGGACCACCCTCGGTCTGGGGGAGGAAAGTGAATCTCGGGGTTAGCTTCACTCCATCATCCAATCAACACAAACTTCCTTAGACACAAAGCAGAATGATTTCCATCATGCATGAAGAGCAAGTTCCTCCAATCCAAGCTCTCCCAAGCTGAAGTGCACAGTGACACATCACTCTTGGGATTCACATTTTAATACATACCATTCTTCAGCAAACACGCATTCAGCCCCTGTACCAGGTACCTAGGAAACTGGGGCAGGCGGGCAGACACTGCCCTGGCAGAAGCCATCGCCCAGTGGGGAAATGACCCCACCAGCCAGGATACAGTGAGTGGGCCTCCAGGTCTCCAGCACACACCAGGCCAGGGGCCATGGGGATGTTTCCCGGGAATGCTCTGATACAACCAGGTGGCCAGGCAGCAGAAGGAAGAACCCTAGCTCTCCCATCAAAAGGCCCATGTGTGTGGTTCAGCACAGCCCAGAGGAGGCCGCCCTCGAGGGAGCAGAGGGCCTGGCTGCTGTGGACAGGAGCGGTGGTGTACTACAGCATCTCAGAAGGCCAAGAGAACCCCTCCAGATTTCTGCTTCAGAATGACCATCTGGCAGCAGCCCAGGGATGGCCCATAAGCACTTTCTGCTGGATGCAGAAATACGGTCACATCCAACAACACTACTGAAAACTACACTGGCAAACATCTGTCAAAGCACCAGAAAAACCCACGCCCACTGGGACCACACCACTTCATGCAAAGCTTTACTTAACTAAGTAACGCTGTGTGAATAAAGTTTTCCTGGGACACAGCCACGCCCATTCACTGGCATCCTGTCTGCATGTTATGACAGAGGCTGCATTACCTGGCCCTTTACAGGAAACACTCGAGATGAAGGATAAAGAGGTCTTAAAAGGTGCATACACACACCCCTGCACTGCCAATTCTAAAATACTTGGTAAAAGAGCATTTCACAAGCCCCCAAAGACGTCCTGATGTGTCCCCGCTGGCCTCATGGAGCCCAGCAGCAGAGACAAGCCGGACACGTGGCTGCCTCCACCTACACACAGAAATCACTCCACACATGGCCATGCCCTCACTGCAGCCAGTAAGAAACAAACCCCTTGAAGAAGCTCTGTATTATGCCAACCATGACCTCGCACGAGCCCTGGCACCCCACACGTCACCAGCACCTTCTGCAACTGTCTGGTGAGGCAGGGCCCATCCGACAGGGATGTGGTACATACATCACAGATAACTACTGTATTTAAAAGTATGGGAAAGAGGCAAGCAAACCTACTGTGTTTCACAGCTACATAGCATACTGTCCCTTCCTCAAGACTTCGATGAGAATATGGTAGCAGCATTCTGTCCTATAAATGTGAAGGGTTGTGTCTATGGAGACACAGGTGGGCAGATCATGCCCTGCTCAACCTCCTGTTCTTACCTGACCGCATGGAGACAATCCTGGCTCAACCTCCTGTCCTTACCTGACCACACGGAGACGATCCTGTTGACGCCATCCATGATTGTGAGAGGGTCGTGGTGCCACTCTGAGGAGCACTGCCGGTCAAATTCCACCCTGAGTCCTTCTGCACCTGGAGGACAGGCGAGCACAAAACATAGCAACCACTCCAGATCAGCACCCAAAGTAGAAACAGTGCACCAAGGAGTTAACAGTGAGATTAAAACCACATTTAACAGCTAATGAATAGCAGAAAGTCAGAAAGAACTGGCCTCAAAGGCAAGCATCTCAAGACTGACCACCCTTTCCCCAGCTCATCCCCACTGAAGATTATGTCTGTGGACTGGAAGGCCAGAAAACACTTCCACTTGGCCAATTTGTTTTGTGCAGTCACTCCCGGGCAGACTTTCCTACTGCAACTCCACTCCCCTGATCAAGCTTTACAGCGAACATCACACTGACCAGGGGCTGTGGGAATGCCCAGTGTGCAGCCAAGTCAGATGGCAGCTGTGGGTCACCTGGGGAGTGAGCGGCATTGGAGGTGAGGAGCACCTCAACTTCTGGCGTGTCCAGAGAACTGGAGAACCGCTTGGTGTGGAGAACCCGCACATCTGGTGTGAGAGGTGTGCGAGCAGAGGCACAAGAGTTTTCCTTCAGGCTGGAAGATCTAGCAGAGGATGGCACTGAGAGGCCGGGAAAGAGGCAGGGGAGGAAGGAGGGAAGAAGGAGGGACGTGGGGCAGGGGCTCAGGTCCTCTCTTACGGTTACAGGGTTGACAGGCTTGGACTGGTTTTAAGATACTATCTCTGCATGCTCTGTTGGGAGCTGATTCTGGGGGGGCCGCAGGAGGTGGGGAGTGGAAGCAGGAACACAGGGAGGCAGCTAGTATGTGGTTGCTAGGATGATAAACTGGGTGAGACCCCGCGGTGCTCTAGCCCAGAATGTCTAGAGTGAGGGAAAAATGGTTGAATTTGGAATATATTTTAAAAGCAGAGAAAACAGGATTTGCTGGTGGACTGGATATAAAGCGAGAGAGAAACAGAAGAGAAAAAGGGTCACAAGATTTTCATCTAGGCAAATGCTGACTAGAAATACCTTTTGTTCTTTAAATTTCTATCATGAAGTAATAGCTTAAAGTTTAAAAATGCTTTTCTGAGCCAGATGTAGTGGTACACGCCTGTAATCCCAGCACTTTGGGAGGCCTAGGCAGGAGCTCGCTTGAGCTCAGGAGTTCAAGACAGGCCCGGACAACATGGTGAAATCCTTTCTCTATATAAAATTTTAAAAATTAGCTGGGCACGGCCTATAGTCCCAGTTACTCAGGAGGCTAAGGAAGGGGAATCGCTTGAGCCCAGAGGTTGGGGCTGTACTGAGCCAAGATCGTGCCACTGTACTCCAACCTAGGTGACAAAGTGACAAAGCTTTTCTGAATCTCACCTCATTCTAAAAGTTCAAGAAAAATGATTTCACATAAAAATGAGCAAGATACAAGTATAAGACCAAATACAATAAAAAGTTATTGTTAGAAAAAGGGAATAGGCTGGGCACGGTGGCTCACACCTGTAATTCTCAACACTTTGGGAGGCCCAGCTGGGAGGATCGCTTGAGCCCAGGAGTTTGAGACAAGACTGGGCAACATAGAGAGACTCGTCTCCACAAAAAATAAAAATAAGTTAGCCAAGCGTGGTGGCACAAGCCTGTAGTCCCAGCTTCTCAGAAGGCTGATGGGGAAGGATGGCTTGAGCCTGGGAGGTCGAGGCTGCAGTGAGTCAGAATCATGCCACTGCACTGCAGCCTGGGTGACAGAGCAAGACTGTGTCTCCAAAACAAAGTGAGAATAAGGAACAAAATAACATCCCTATAGGCAATAAAAGCAGGCCAGAAAGATATGCCCCCAAAACATGTCAACCCTATAATCTATCATCTCAAAAGAAATTGAGTGAAATTAGAAAAATGATACAAGACGTGAAAGAACCACATAAATCAGACTTAGGAAAATGAAGAAACTAAATAAAGCTGAAGACAGAATTACAATGAAAACAAAACTACATTCCAATGGAGACTAAAACAGAGTGTAAAATCAAATAAACACAGTAGATGCTACCTTAAGACAAATAGGAAAAAAAGAGGAAGTTTTTAAAAAATAAACAGAGGTAAAAAGTACTTGAAAGAGAAAGTAACCAACACTAACTCTAAAAGGCATGAGGTATGCAACGCATGGAGAGTTACCAAGCGTCCCTAGAAAAGACTGCTAAGCAATGCTACAGAACAAACACTGCAGACTGCAATTCAAGAGAACATCCTGCAAAACAGACTTGGGATGACAGACTAAAAGAGCACCCCTTACCCGAGAACATCACAGAGAACAGGCACACGAACGCACATTCTAGTGAAATCACCGAAAAAACACACGCAGCTTCTAACCGAGAACATCACCGAGAACGGCCACATGAACATACATTCTAGTGAAAGCAACAAAACAACACATGCAGCTCCTAACTGAGAGCATCACCAAGAACGGCCACACGAACGTATATTCTAGTAAAACTACCGAAAAAACACACGTGGCTCCTAACCAAGAACACCACCGAGAACGGCCACACGAATGCACATTCTAGTAAAACTACCGAAAAAACACACGTGGCTTCCAACCCAGAACATTACCGAGAACGGCCACACGAACATACATTCTAGTGAAATTACTGAAAAAACACACTCGGCTTCTAACTGAGAACATCACCGAGAATGGTCACACCAATGTATATTCTAGTAAAATTACCGAAAAAACACACCTGACTTCTAACCGAGAACATCACCGAGAACGGCTACACAATCGTATATTCTAGTAAAATTACCAAAAAAACACACGCGGCTTCTAACCGAGAACATCACTGAGAATGGCCACACCAATGTATATTCTAGTAAAATTACAAAAAAAACACACATGGCTTCTAACCAAGAACATCACCGAGAATGGCCACACCGACGTATATTCTAGTAAAATTACAAAAAAAAAAAAACACACACGGCTTCTAACCGAGAACATCACCGAGAACGGCCACACCAACGTATATTCTAGTAAAATTACTCAAAAAACACACATTACTTCTAACCGAGAACATCACTGAGAATGGCCACACCAACGTATATTCTAGCAAAATTACTGAAAAAACACACGTGACTTCTAAGGGGGAAAGATGCTAACATTATCACACTTTCACAGAGGAAAAAGACATGATCCAAGGCTTTAATACCCAGAAAAACTACCTTTCAAATTCAAAGGACAAAAACTCTCATGGACAAGTCTGATCTCAGGGGCTAATGAGGAATTCACTAGAGTGCACTTCAGACCCCATGAGGACCAGTCAGTAAAACTAAGACTCGAAGACTGAAAGAAAGTATAGTATGTAACAGCTATTGTGCTCTTGTAGATGCAGTATAATTATTTTAATAAATTTGAAAAAATTAGGGCATATTCTAAGATTTTTAAGAATTTCAGTAATTATACTGATGTTGGCAGTATTGAAATTATATCCTAAGTCTGTCATGTATGCAATGTGGTTATGTTAAAGCAAATGAAAAATCATGAGATATTTTATCAAACACTCTTGGAACCAGGATTTGATATGGAAGAAAGGAGAGGCAGATGTAACAGAAGCACAGACCTTGTACTTTTGAATTTGAGTAGAAGGAATCAGCATATTAGCCAGGTGAGGTGGCATGTGCCTGTACTCCTAGCTACTCAGGAGGCTGAGGCAGGAGGATCACTTGAGCCCAGGAATTCGAGGCCACAGTGAGCTATAATTGCACTACTGCACTCCAGCCTGGGTGACAGAGCAAGATCCTGTCTCTAAACGAGTAAATACATAAATAAAATATAAAACAAAAGGAAAAAAATTTTAAGTATCAGTATGAACTCAAAAGAATCCAGGGTAGACCCCAGGTGAAGAGTGGCAACCTACAAAAAACTGAGGACACCTTCTGTAGACTGCCTGGATGCTACCGAAGAACACCGGAATCACTTTGGGAGCCACACTGAAGAGGCTGCCACTGTCTAGAAACGGATAATCTTAGCTTCAACAAAGATAATCACAATACAGTAAAACAATCACATATGTTTCAATCCATGAGCTCATAGTAATATTAAAAATAAACAGGTCACCTTCAAGAAATGATAGAAAACCAATTCATTCTCTGGTAAACAGAAGGAAGACTCAAGCTTTTATCTTGTCTTTCTCAGTGCTGTTTGCCTGGGCAACCAACTGTAGGATGAGGGGAAATGTCTCTTTACAAGAAAGTATTCCAGCTAATAAATAAGCAAGAAATGATTCCACTAGAATAGCACCATTTGTAGCCCCTCATGGGCCAACGGCCTCGGGTGCTAATAAGCCTCAGGGACTGCTGATGTCACAAAGGAAAGACAGGCAGGCAGGAGGTGCCTGCTGAGGCTGAGTCACAACCACTAAGGAGCTGGCAAAAGGGGCGGAACTTATGGGCCTCCGAATCGGGCAGCACCTTGCAGAAGGACGGGCCTGAGGAACACACTGAACAGCAGCACACGTGTCCAGTCAGCAGATCCAGGCTGCAGTGAAGCCTGCCAGATCAAAGGCCGGGGCCTCAACAATTTTCTTCTTAATAATTTTTCTTGAGTTGTTAAAAAGAAAAGGAAAAGAAAAAGAAAAGAAAGATACACACATGGGTAAAAGAAGCTGCCCAGAAATGCAAGTCAGTGATGGCTCAACATCAGGAGAGCATCACTCAGAGGGACGTCAGGGGACACGCTGAGGGCTTCCAGAATCTGCCACAGGTTATGTCTAGACCTGGGTCATGATGACTAGGGCATCTGTCTGATTATCATGAAGCTAAACATTTACTTTGTGTGACTTTCTGTGTCATGATTTATTGTGCAAAAGAAGTTTGTTGGAAAAGGGGAGAAAAATGATTCTAAAGCAAGTCTGTAACTTTTTTTTATAAAATGGAGACGGTTGTTTCTACTGAAGCAATTACAGAATCACATCATTCTGAAGGTGGGAAAGGCTGCAGCTCCCCCCTGGGGCCAGCCCCCGTACCTGGTATCTTCACTGTGCCACTGGTGGAGGTGTCGTCGGTGTAAGGGTGGCTACTCTCCACCACCACAGGCTGAGAAGAGAGGCGGCCGCTCTGCAAGTCTTGTGGCCACATCCTCCAACTCGGTGACACAGAGCTCCAACAGCATATCTGCCACCTGGGGAGGAAGCAATGACATGAATGAGGGGGCCAACAGCCCCACACCTGGTCACCTGCATGCCACCTCTGCCCGTCCTGCTCAGGAGCTCCACAAGGACAGCGTGGCAGAGTGGAGGGCTTGGAGTTTGAGAAACTGAGTTCAAATCAGGGCTTGGCTTCCTTGCACATAAAACAGAGACAGCACAGAGCTTGTAAGATGCTGTGAAGCTTAGAGATGATCTATATTAAAAAGTCGTTGGGGCCAGACGCTGTGGCTCACGCCTGTAATCCCAGCACTGTGGGAGGCCGAGGCAGGCGGATCACCTGAGGTCAGGAGTTCAAGATCAGCCTGACCAGCATGGAGAAACCCCATCTCTACTAAAAATACAAAATTAGCCGGGCATGGTGGCGCATGCCTGTAATCCCAGCTACTTAGGAGACTGAGGCAGGAGAATCGCTTGAACCTGGGAGGCAGAGATTGTGGTGAGCCTGAGATTGCACTATTGCACCCCAGCCTGGGTGACCCAAGCGAAACTGCGTCTCAAAAAAAAAAAAAAAAAAAAGTCATTGGGTGGAGCACAGTGGCTCACACCTGTAATACAAGCACTTTGGGAGGCTGAGGCAGGCAGATCACTTAAGGTCAGGAGTTCAAGACCAGCCTGGCCAATATGGGGAAACCCTGTCTCTACTAAAAATACAAATGATTAGCTGGGCTTGGTGGCCTGCACCTGTAGTCCCAGCTACTCAGGAGGCTGAGGCAGGAGAACTGCTTGAACTCAGGAGGTGAAGGTTGCAGTGAGCTGAGATCGTGCCACTGCGCTCCAGCCTGAGCGACAGAGAGATATTCTGTCTCAAAAAGAAAAGAAAAAAAAGTAGTTGGAAGGCTCCCAACACACACAACACTTAATATGTGCCAGGTGATAAAATGAAACACCGTGGTGACAATAGCTTCATTTTACACCAAGACAAAATTACTTCCTAGTGAGTAAAGTTGGCCTCGGAAACAAAAACATCAAGGGAAGGAGCACCCAGTACGTGAAAATGACCACAATCTTAGAAGGCAAGGGAGCCCAGTGGGAGGGGCGGGAATCAGGAACCATCAAGCTGCCCAGGCCAGACAGAGACAGGGAGAGTCTGTGACAGGAGGGACCACCAACCCCAACACAGCTGCCCCTCTTGACCCAGTACACTAGTGGTCAGACCCATACCACATTCTCAACAATCCACAGTGTTCTTATTTTATTTTAAAAATTATTGGTGATTCACATCTTTTACAATTCAAGTTAAGAGTGATTATAAGCTGTTATTTTTAAAAATAAATGAGAGAATACATCATAATAGCAATAATCTATTAACTCCAAAATTTTCAATCCAGAAAAAATAAAATTCTTCTAATGCCCATTCTATACTTTTTAGAAATAGATTATTCTTTTTTCAATTTTTCCTCACATTTAGGTAAGAAATAGCTTTGCTTAGTAAATATATTATATATTAATAACTAATATCATTGTCATATAGGCATGATTTTAAATCTAAATTTGTCTCTCTTTTTGAGTCGCAAATATCAGGTCAGGGCAAGACACAGAAATAGCCATCTTGCCAATCTGGCAAGGGCAGTATGAAAACGGCCATATCCTTATTCCTGTCTCTCCTGGAACCTGGTTGAGTTACTGAAAGCAGATGTTGGCATCATCAAGCGCCCATATGCAGAGTCGACCAGGGGCTCTGGCCTTCAGAAGGTTGCTCTGCCAAGCGCATCATCTGCAGAAGGGTCATGACGGAGCTGGGGCTCAGAGCACTCAGGGTTCCAACCCATCTCTTCCACCTACCAGAAAAGTGAGTGTCCTCAAGCCAGTAATAACCTCTCAGCCTCAGTGTCCTCATCCATATATAAAGGTAACCCCTCCTATCTGTACTGAGAATGCAGGGATGTGCATGGCAAATGCTCAGCATTATTATAAATCGAAGTTCTGATTCATACCCTTCCCTCTCACAAATGCAATAAACTTATGAAAAATAATAATAGTGCTTAAGGCAATTCACCTCGATTTCATCTCTCAGAATTACACCAAGTAACTCGTCTCAAAAAAGTAGAAAAAAGGAAGCCTACAGCTTTTTAGTTCTTCATGAATAGCAGATGAAGAAATAACAAGCCCCTAAAATATCCACCAAATAAATCTTTGCTGTGCTTTCAAGACTGCTCAACTCTACTTAAGTACTTTATCGTTTTGGTGATCATGTAAGTTACTAAAATTTCTGACTATCAGAGCTTTAACGTTTCAGAATTGCAGATAAAGGACTATGAACTTGCATTTAATGATTTTTTTTAAAAAATCTAATTCTACTTATAAACTTTAGAAGTTCTTTTAAAGACAATATTCTTCTAACTAAAGCCAAAAATCCTAACAGGCACAGAAACTGCCTAAACTGAGTGACAGAGTAAGACTTTCCTCCACACCAAGTAGCCACCCAGAGAAATGGATGAAGTGTCTGCAGCCAGGAAGGACATCTCATGCCCAGCCACTTTGTCTTTAACTTTGTAGTCTGAGGGCACTGTGCCTGTGAGGATATATAGGTCTTCCCCACTGCCACACTGTGGGGTCAAAGCCTGGTCCATTAGGCTGTTGAGATTCACGTACCACCATTCCTGGAAGGACTGAGTCATCGGGCTGAATTTGTGAGAATAAACGCGGCCACCTGGAGATCACTGCCAAGGGAGAAAGGGTACAGCTGTCCTCTTTGGTAATCAGAATCAAGGTAATCTGTATTCAAGGCTTGCTTACATCCCAGGCTGTTCTCAGAGGTGATGGCCTCTGCCTCATTAATCACCTCCTCAAGGTTGCTGTTGGGGTCATCGATCTGCGGCTCCACCTGCCATTTGGTAATTTCACAATACAAAGCGAAAAAAGAATGCCTCTTTACCTCTTCAGTTTTGGTCATGGTTTCTGCAAAGATGCTTGCAGCTCCCGGGTCATCCGTCACTGTGATAAATGGCCCAGCGGAGGCTGAGAGGGCCGATGGAGTCACTGCAGAGGGGGTCACCACGTCCTCAGAGGAAACAATCTAGTCGAACAGTGCACAGTAGGGGAAGTTTAAGTGGAAAAACTCAAAAACATAACACGTTTCCTACTCAAGTCCCAAATGCTTTATTTAAAACTACTTGGGCTGTTTGGAATGTTCCAGATTTTACAGAGGTAACATGGTGCCTACCCGACATAGCCACTACCACCCCCAGTCGGGCCTAGGACAATTGTGCAAAGTCGAGTACATTCATATTTTCAAGAAAAACTATTAATATTCACAGCAGGTCACATGAACCAGACTAAAATGAGTTCACGTATCTTCAAGTTGGTTCTTTCCCCCAAAGTAAGTTACTAAAGTTCAGAACTTTAAGGTTTCAGAATTGCAGATAAAGGACTGTGAACTTATATATATATATATATATTTTTTTTTTTTTTTTTTTTTTGACAGAGTCTTGCTCTGTCACCCAGGCTGAAGCGCAGTGGCGCGATCTCGGCTCACTGCCAGCTCTGCTTTCCCGGGTTCATGCTATTCTCCTGCCTCAGCCTCCCGAGTAGCTGGGACCACAGACGCCCACCACCAGCCTGGCTAATTTTTTGTATTTTTAGTAGAGACGGGGTTTCACCATGTTAGCCAGGATGGTCTGGATCTCCTGACCTCGTGATCCGCCCGCCTCGGCCTCCCAAAGTGCTGGGATTAAAGGCGTGAGCCACCGCGCTCGGCCATGATTTTTTTAAAAAAGAAATCTAATTGCACGTAAGCACTTTAAAAGCTCCTTCACCGAGAATATTCTTCTAAGTAAATCCAAAAATCAAAGCGGGAGGCACAGAAACAGCCTAAACTAAATGACAGGATGAGACTTTCCTAGGCACAAAGTAGCCACCTTTTCCTTTCTGATGTAACACTGCTTTACGATTCGCTTTTACCTCTCTCTTTTCTTGCCACGGATTTGGACTCAGTCTGTCTTCGATATCAACAGCCAGCATGCATTCTTCTCCATTCATGGGACTAGCCATCGCAAATGCGTCCGAAGCAGCCGCAGAGGGGCACTCCACCGGGGCGATCATGGCGGCCGGCATCAGGGCCCCCACTACGGCATCTCTGTCAGGACACAAAGCCAGGCCTGTGGTGAGCTGCCCCTTCTCCACTGCACCACAGGAAGTGGTGAGGCAGGACTAGCACGCACTGAGGCGTTTCCTCATTTTTACTGAATACATGTAGAAGAGTTTTGGAAAACTACCAAACATTATTACCATGTATCCTTTGGCTAATAGCTAAAATGTTTACTCTGGATCCTATTTATTTGAAAAACCAGAGTAATGACAGGTGAAAAACTGCCAAACATAAAAACCAGACCAGAATGAGACTCTGGCTCTCCCTGAGAAAGAAATCCTCTTGGGCTGCTGTGAGAGCCTGAGGGCTGGATAATTGACCAGCAGGCAATTTTGTGTTTACTGAAAGCCACATACTGAGCAGCAAGGACTCAATAGCCTCTACTGAATGTTTTTGTTCTGAAACTAATTTTCCTATGTAAGGACACCTGTCAGGTCCACATGTGTGATACATTAGCAGATGGGCAACTTATCTAGGCTGTGGGAAAGCAGCAGAAAAATACTGCAAAATGCTGCATTGGCAAAACAGCCTTCTCAAAGTGAGTGAAGGGGACGCTAAGTCGTCTTAGACATCACTATAAATTAGTATCACCTAATTCTTTTCTTCCCCCAAATATTAATGGTTAGAGTCTACTGGTCAAAAAGAATAGTGAAAATGTTCAAGTTAGTTTTCTAATTCATATTTCAATGCCTATTAAAACATGCACAAAGATATCAATCACCATCAAAGAACACGTGACTTACAACACACAGCATTTAAAGACAACAATACAACATTCTTGGAGACATCTGATCAATGAAAAAAAAATCACAAAAACCTGAAGCTCACATAATTGCAGAATTTCAAAAATTAGCACAGAAACCTACCTGGCATACATGATTTGCAATGCTGTAAGAATATGCGATAAGGCCTGCTGTTTGGCCAGGTTTCCATCCAATGACAAGAGAATCTTGGCAAGAGAAGGGTGATATGGCTTAGAATTACTTGCACCACTTATTTTATTACTGGCAGCAGAAGAATTGACATCTGAAGGCACGCCTATAACAGGAAAATAAAATTTGCATTTTGTTTTTAAGATCACAGTTTGCTCTATTTCTATAATATCTGACCTTATAGGTTAGTTCCAAAACACACTGCAATCTGCATTTTGCTATTTCACAGGGCACATATTAGGCTCATTAACAGGCCTTCAGAATAAGAAAACCACTTATCCATACTTCGATAAAGAAGCTATTTTCAGCAAAGTTTAACTGTAACTGCAAAAAGATGTAGGTGCTTTTATAAAATGCACTTACAACCGTTTATGTTATATACATATAAGCTATGAAAATGCTGCAATAACTACCTGTATTTTCTTACCCTGGTAAGGCAAGATGAAAAAAGAATACAAAACAACAAAGAGAGAAGATGTTCACCAATAAAGTCCCATCAGGCTCACTTCCCTGCGAACTCCCAGGTCTCAGTAGAGGGAGGGAGCCAGGTGGAGCTGGGACATGTGTCTATGTCAACTCATCCAAACTGATACACAGATTTAATGCAATTCCTACCAGAATTCCAGCAAGAGTTTTTGTCAAGAGACAAGATTATTCTAAAATGTATATGGAAAGGCAAAGGAGCAAGAATAGAAATAGAAAAATAAGAAGGAGGAACGAGTCTACCCAATTTCAAAAGTTGTTGTAATACCATAATCAAAACTGTGTGGTACTGGCATAAGAATCAAAGGAATAAACAGAGAACGCAGAAATAGAACCACACAAATATGCCTCACTGACTGTTGACAAATGGGCAAAAGCAACTCAGTGGAGGCAGGACAGCCTTTCAGCACGTGGTGGTGGAGCAACTGGACGTCTGTGGGCAAAAAACCCAAACTTCAGCCTAAGTCTACACCTTATGCAAAATTAAATCCAAATGGATCATGACTTAAGTAGAAAATACAAAACTATAAATCTTTTAGAAAAGAATAGGAGACAGTCTTTAGGATCTAGCACTAGGCAAAAGTATAGACTTGACACCAAAAGTATGATCTATAAAAGAAAAAACTGATGAATTAGACTTCATCAAAATTAAGCATTTTTTTAATGAAAGGAAATGAAAAGACAAGCTACAGACCAGGAGAAAACATTTGCATAACACATGTCTGCCAAAGGACTAGAAACATCTAGAATATATAATGAACTCTCTAAACTCAACAGAAAAAAAAAGCCAATTAGAAAAGGGCATGAAGACATATTTTACCAAAGAGGAGATATGGACAGTAAATAAGCACATGAAAAGATGGTTAACATAATTAGCCATAAGGAAAATATTAAAACCACAATGAGATACAATGACCTATCTATCAGTATGGCTACATTTTAAAAAGATAGTGAGGATATGGGAAAAACTGGATCATCCTCCACTGCTAATGAGAATATAAAATGGCACAGCGATTCTGGAAAACAGTTGAGCAGTTTCTTGTCAAACTAAACATAATTACCACGTGACCAGCAATCACACTCTTGGGCATTTATGTCAAGGAAATAAGAATTTATTTTCACAAAAAGTGAATTTTCACATTCACCTGTGTATGAATGACATGGCAGTTTTATTTGTAACAGCCAAAACCTAGAAATAATCCAGATGTCCTTCGATGATTGAGTATTCGATGGAATACTGAACATACTACGTAATATGTAACAACTTGGATGAATTGCCAGAGGATTAGGCTGAGTGGAAAAAGCCAAACTCAAAAGTTATACCATAATGTGACATGAAAAGAGCTATATGTTAAGAAGATACTGAGTAATTTGAACCAGAAAGGAGAAGAGGAGAGTCAAGCCTTATCTTCATCTACCCCAGAAAAGACAGCACAGGAAGGCGAAGCTACTCGCCCCAGTTCTTACAGCCAGTAACTAACACAGCCAGAAAGTCACATTCCAGTTTTTCATAAAAGCAGATGCTGCTGGAGCCTAAATGTCCCCTCCTGAGAGATAAGGGGAAAAAACAAAATATTTGTATGACAAGATGAGGTTCACTTTAAAAAAAAATTGTATTTATTTCTACATGCTAGCAAGGAGCAATGTGAATATTCCCATACAGTAGAAGAAATGATATTTTTAGAGACCATTTAATAATCTGAAATTCTTAGAGATAATCTAACAGAAGATATACAAGACCTATACAACACTGGGACTAGAAAACATTGCTGAGAGAAACTAAACACCTAACAAATAAAGAGAAACACTATGTTCATGGGTTAGAAGACTGAATACTGTGAATCCATCCTTTCACATTGACTTACAGAGTTAATGCAATCCATATCAAATTCCCAAGCAAGCGGTTTTATAAAAACTGACAAGCTCATTTTAAGTCATATGGAAATGCAAAGGGCCTGCAACAGCCAAAATATATTTGAAAAAGAACAAAGCTAAAAAACTGTTGCAACCTGAGTTCAAGCCTTTTATAAAGCTGTAGTAATCAAGACAATGTGGCATTGCCAACAAAATACACGAATAAATCAATGAAACATACTGGGAGTCCAGAAATAGATCCGTACATCTACAGACAACTGATTTCTGACAAAGGCAAAAGGCAATTCATTAGGAAAAGCATAGTTTTTCAACAAATACAACTGAAACAACTGGACAATCATGCCCAAAAAAGCCTTTCAATCTGAACCTCCCACCATATATAAAATTTAATCAACTGGTCATAGATACACATATCTAAAACTATAAAACTTCTATAACAGAACATAGAAGGAGAATCTTTATAATCTTGAGGCAAAGGTTTTGTAGACACAACATCAAAAGTACACTCTACAAAAGAATAAAATGAATAAACTAGGCTTCATCAAAATTAAAAACTTCTAATCTTTAAGATTCACCTGTGAAGAGAATAAAATGACAAGCCACATTGCCAGAAAATATTAGCAAATTCTATATTAGGCAAAGGACTTGTAACCCAGAATATATAAGGAATTCTCAAACTCAGTAAGAAAACAATCAACCTATTTAAATATAGGAAAAGACTTGAACAGACATTCACCAAAAAAGGTATCTGATTTGTAAATAAGCAAGATGCTTGAGATCATTAGTTATTAGGGAAATGCAGATTAAAACCACAACGAGATACCACTATACATCTGTCAATATAACTAAAATTAAAGACTGAACGTATCAAGGGTTGACAAAAATGTGGAGGATCTGGACCTCTGGAACATCCACTTTGCAAAACAGTATGTAGTGATCTTAAGAAGCTAGACATACACCTACCATATGATCCAACCACTCCTCTCTTAGAAGTTTACCCAAGAGAATTTCAAGTGGATGTCCATACACAAACTTGTACGGAAATGTCCATTAGCAATTTCACTTGTATAGTCAAAAACTGGAAACAGCCCAAACATTCATCAACAGAAAAATGGATAAACAAATTGCATTTGTTTATCTTAAGATACTATTCAACAATTTAAAAGAATAAACTATTGATACATGCAACATAAGTGAATCCCAAAATTATTATGCTGAGTGGAAAAAGTAAGATTTTTAAAAAGAGTATATGCTGTATGAGTCCATTTATAGTAAGCTGTAAAACATGCAAACTGGCCTGCCACAGTGGCTCCTGCCTATGATCCCAGCACTTTGGGAGGCCGAGGTGGGAGGATCACTTGAGCTCAGGAGTTCCAGACCAACCTGAGCAACATGGCAAAACCATGTCTCCACCAAACAAACAAAAATTAGCCAGGCATGGTGACATGTGCCTGTAGTCCCAGCTATTTGGGAGGCTAAGGTGGGAGGATCACTTGAGCCCAGGAGGTGGAAGCTGCAGTGAGCCGAGATCATGCCACTGCACTCCAGCCTGGGCGACAGAGTGAGACCCGGTCTACAAAAAAAAAGAAAACAAACAAATAAACAAAACACCCAACAAAACAACAACAACAACAAAAAAGAAAACATGCAAACTGATCTCTAGTGACAGAAATTAAATTGGTGCATACGGCAGGAAGGAGGGAGTTAAAAGCAAAAGGGAGGGGTACAGAGGGCCAGAGAGGAACGCTGGGGTAGTGTATGAGTTCATTATCTTTGATTGTGCTGATGCTTTCATGGATCATACATATTCCAAAGTCGATCAAAATGCATACTTTAAATAGGTGCAGTTTATTATATGTCAATTATAACTGAATAAAGCTGTTAAAAAATACAAAAGAGCCCAGTACAGTGCCTGTATCTCTCAGGCAGTTATTAGGAGTCCTGTTCACACACAAGTACAGCGCTGTGAGTTTACCTGATCATAAACACAAGAATCAGCAACATACTTTCTTCTAAAACTTTCATTCCAGCATGTATAAATCGCATGAGAGCACACCATAATTCTTCTGTGTCTTTAGATTCATAATGTAGTTAACACGGCACTACAACCTCTAATGTGTTGGCACAATTAAATAAATATAAGGTTGCTGTAACCTACTGGAAAATCTCAGAGAAGATGCAAATCTGTGTTACCTAAATAGGAAGCACCTAAAGGGTCCCTTGCAGTCTGGAAGAGGACGGGCTCGTGGACAGAGGGCGTGGCCACATCCATAGTTGTCCACGCCACACTGTGGGACGACCCGCAAGCCACACACATGATCTTCTGGCCTTCTAAGCCTTGCACGAGCATGGGCTTCCTGTTAACCGTGGTCGTGCCATTGCCCTGCTGGCCGTGGTCATTGTCACCCCAAGCATACACCTGTTTATGAGGGGAAAAATGCTTATAATTTTTCAACATTTCAGGACATTTTCTTTAATGTAATTTTTACTTCAAAATGCTTAACGTGTATGCCATGGTAGTTGAAAGAATTGAGTTCTGAAAAGTAAAAACAAACCATTTCACAATCTTACAAAATGGCATCAGTGTACTACAATTCTGAAGAAAATCTAACCATGAAAATGCTTGCCAATAACCATAAAAAGAGTATTTTCTTAATATTAATCCAATTAATTCTGTTTTGTTGCAAGACACACAGAAGGTCTTCTCTTCAAAAAAGTGCAATAATTTTTTCCCTTTTACTTTGCAAAGAAAAATGACCAAAAATAATATGCTCATTTTTCAAGTAAGTTGCTCCTTGGCCTTATAGAATTATAAAGTATAATTCATTTTGACTAAAAAAACAGTAATGGTAATTTTGTTTTCATAAATAAAATTTTAAATTGAATATCCACAGGCCGGTCATAGCGTATGCTTCTCCAAGCAGAAGAGAGTGTAACACTTGTCAGGCACCAGCTCTGTCTCTAAAATGAGGCATGGATCCCTCCTGCCAGTTAGCAATTCTCTAAAGCAAAGTCTTGCTAATACCTTGCAGTAGGAGCATCTTCAAGAATAACAATCTTTTGGCCGGGCACGGTGGCTCACTCCTGTAATCCCAGCACTTTGGGAGGCCGAGGCGGGTGGATCACGAGGTCAGGAGATCGAGACCACGGTGAAACCCTGTCTCTACTAAAAATACAAAAAATTAGCTGGTAGCGATGGCAGGCACCTGTAGTCCCAGCTACTCGGGAGGCTGAAGCAGGAGAATGGCGTGAACCCAGGAGGCGGAGCTTGCAGTGAGCCGAGATCGCGCCACTGCACTCCAGCCTGGGCGACAAAGCGAGACTCTGTCTCAAAAAAAAAATAATAATAAAAAGAATAACAATCTTTCCACACACTTTTCACGTGGACTTCAGAGTGGGAACGCCTCTTTTCTGAGGACCCCGCCCCCAACCCCTGCTGCTGAGTAGGCAGATGCACCAGCGGGCAAAAGGGACGGGTCCCGCCCCCATGGTTCTTCAAGCAGTAAGACTCGGCTGATTTCATCAACAGCTGCGATTTCAACAGGACGAGGGCCGTGTCGTGACCCCCAAGTCCCCCAAGTCAGGATGGCACGCCACCCCCAGGCCACCTGCAGCCTTACCTGCCCTGAGTCCATGACCGCCAGGCAATGCTGGGCCCCGACAGCCACATGCACGATCTTCTTCCCTCTCAGCCCTTCCACCACCTGCGGCTTCCGAACGTGCACGTCAGAGCGGTGGCCCAACCTGAAGTAATCCCCCTTTCCCCTGAGAGGAGGCCCGTGGTGGAGTGTTACAATACGGTTATGGTCTTACCATGCGATACAAGAAGACACTCATTGTCTCACATCTTTCACAGCCAGCTCAATGACATCACACACAGCACCCAAGGTCTTCGAACTTGTATTCAAAATCATACACCATTAATTCAAATTAACTTATTAAGTCAGCTGGGAAAAACCTTAATACCTTAATACATGTTCTACAATATTTAAGTTACTGTTGTAGGTTTTCATATAGACTGAAAATAAGACACACTACTGCAAACACCTATCCAAAGTCCTATCTAGTATACATCTTTCTTAAAGTGCCAATGTTGGCCAGTCGCGGTGGTTCACGCCTGTAATCCCAGCACTTTGGGAGGCTGAGGTGGGTGGATCACGAGGTCAGGAGATTGAGACCATCCTGGCTAACACGGTGAAACCCCATCTCTACTAAAAATACAAAAAAATTAGCCGGGCATGGTGGCAGACACCTGTAGTCCCAGCTACTCGGGAGGCTGAGGCAGGAGAATGGTGTGAACCCCGGAGGCGGAGCTTGCAATGAGCTGAGATTGTGCCACTGCATTCCAGCCTGGGCGATAGAGCGAGACTCCATCTCAAATAAATAAATAAATAAATAGTGCCAATGTTATGACCAGAGGCAGCAAGGCCTGACACAGCATCCAAGGCCAGTCTGGGCACCTGCTCTTTTGCACATTAATATAATAAGCTTTAACAAGAAATACATGTTAACTTTCTCAGGATCAAAGGATTCAGAAGGCTATTTTGCTCTCATTTTATCCTTAGGCTTCAGCAGAAGAAACACTTCCTATAAATCTCGCCCAAACAGGAAAGGTAAGTGGCCTAAAATTTTTCTAGTATTTTCAAAATGACCCAGTTACAATAGGAAATTTCTTCTTGTACTATTGTCACTAATCCCGACTCAATATCCTTTAAAGGACAAAGATGCATGCATAAGTAAAAATATGACAGGTCACAATCACGCCGGGGTGGTCCTGGGGCGAGGCCCAAGTTCCCTGCACGCACCGGCACAAGCACGCACACTGTGATGGGGAGGACGTTTACGTACCATGTCCACACCACTCCAGACTTGGTGAGCGCCAGTAGGAACTGAGCTCCACACTCAATCTGGCACACCCCCTGTCCATTTAGTCTCTCAATGTTCTGGGGAATGTTGCAGCCTTCACTTCCGCCCCGGCCCAATTTTCCAAAGTCACCATCACCCCAGGAAAATACCAAACCTAGGTTTAAAAATAGGGAAGGGAAGGGAAGGGAGAGAAGAAAGGAAAGATAAAGAAAGCCCAACCTCCTTCCAAAATGTCATGAGAATCTTGAGCACATATGGTCCTTGGCATGACCACATGACCTGCAGAGCCCCTGTTATAGAACTCATTTTTATATTTTCCTTAGTATAACAGTTAATGTAATATGTCATTTTTGTTAATAGTGTCTTTTTGTCATTTTACTTTTTAAAAGATTGTATTGAAATATACATACAGGAAAGTGCATCTATCATAAGTGTGCAAATTGATGAATTCTAAAATCTTTATTGTACCTGTTTAGCACCTAGATTGACACTGAACATAACTAACAACCAGAAATCTCCGTGTACTCCCTTCCTGTAACTACCCCTGCGCCCGACCAAATCACTCTCTTCTAACAGCATAACTTTGTGTGACTAGCTTTTTTAATGTAAAAGAATGAAATCTACAGCATGTATTCATTTGCATCTGGCTTCTGCCACCCAACATTATATTTGTGGGATTCATTTGTACAGTTGCATATTAGTTTGCAGATCCCTCACTCTCGTTTCTATATGGTATTATATTGCATAAACGTACCACACTTTATCTAACTACTGTTAAATATTTGTGCATCTTCTACTTGGGGGCGATTTCAAATAGTGCTGCTATGAACATTCTTGTAAATGTCTTTTGGTGAACATATGCAACACATATATGCGTTGTTGTTGGTTCCCAGGAGGGGCATTCCTGGGTCATAAACAATGCATGTGTTCAGGTTTAGTATGGTATAATGCCAAACAGGTTTCCAAAGTGTTTGTGCCACTTTACATACCCGCCATTATTGAAAAAGAGTTCTGTTTGCTCCACATTTTCACCAATACTTGATATTTTGTTTTTTTTTCTTTTAAACCGTACTAGTGGGTGTGCAGTGATATTGCAATGTGGTTTTAATTTGCATCTTCCTTGTGACAAATTAACCTTGATTACTGTAAGCCACTTGGAAATGTGATTTAAATTCATATAAAGATATAGTAGCAAAACACATAGTAAGTTACTTTCATATCCAGAAAGTTTAGATAGAATGATTTCTATGTAAGCTTTTACTGTGTAGTCTGAGTCCATGAATATTGATTACAAAAAACACATCTGTAGGTGAGTTACAATACCTCACTTATAATTCAAAATTCATGTTGTGTTAGCTCAATATTTTTCAAATAATTTTTGCATGCAATTTTCACCTTCTTTCTGAGTAGTTTCAGGTATTTTGTATGGTTCCAGCAGTCAGTTAGGTTGCCATTGTTTGGAAGCACACATCCACGTATCTGCACCATGATGATATGACACGCCCATACCCCCCATTTCACATTTTGTCAGAAGTGCATAGTTATCACTAACTTTGCCAGTAGAAATGTACTCCCAATTTCCCACAGACTTATCTTGAATAATCTCTCCACTGAAGCATAACAGGTTTTGAATTCTGTTAGAATAGTTGTTTTTACTATCTTTTAATTTTATACAAATTTCAAAGTTACGTAATACTTTTATTTAAAAAGTGAAACAAAGCTTTTCCTCTCCCTTACCCACATGTTAGCCCAGCAGAGGGGGAAAGCATTGGCCCCAGGCCAAAATCATAAACGCTTTCAATTAACTAATAATAATTGCTGGCATGTTGCCATTAAATATCCTTGTCTCATTATCCCTGGTTGCTTCATCAGACCCATAGGTCACTGAAGCCCACTTTTGAGACAAAGACTATTTCTCCCCCAAAAGTCAAGGGAAATATAAAAAGTGAAATTAGTGATTAAGCATAGAAGTCAATTAATACAATCATTTTGTCTTAATTATTTAAAGTCCAGTTTTTTTCCTCCAGCAAACCTGAAAATACACTATCCTCCAGCTATCAGAATTATATTGAGATCTACTCACATTTATGATGATGTTCAGAGATTCATCATTGGGAAGGAAAATGCACACGCTGCGGCGGTCTTGCATGACTCTGTTGTGGAAATTCAATTTGTTCATTGTGTTTTGGGCTCTCTGGGTGGTCAGGGCTGGGCTCTGGGTCCTTGGCAATTCCTCAGGTTCCCAGCACTCCAAAGCCAAGCTCACCTCCTCATCACACGCCCTGCAGGAGAAGCATCAGGGTGTCCGACTACGTGGGTTTCATAGCTGTGGAAAAGCCAAAGGGGAGACTCCTGAAGAAAGGCGGTGAAGACTGTGAAGAGCGGGTCAGGAAGATGAGCACAGCACTGCTACTCCTGTGGGCACAGGGACAGCATGTCTCCAGCCAGCGCCACCTTGTTTAATACATGGGAACTCACTGAAATTCATTCTGTATTTTGCCCACAAAGTTTTAAAGCTTTCATCCACAGTCAGGAATTAAACTTATACCAATGAGAGCCTCACACATTCAAGGATGTACTAAGCACTACAGGCCTCACAGAAACAGAGATCCCATCTTGGAGTTTTCAGTCCCACATGGGAGATAAAGGGTTTTGAACATGAAATGACAAAAACAACAGCAAGAAGAAAATTCTCGTCCTTTTTCATTACTATCAAACTCAAATAAATGTCTTGGCTCTTACATTACATTCATTCTTCAACCATTGTGGTCTGGCTTCCACTTCCTTCACTTCACCAACATGGCTCTGCCAAAGGAAGCCTGTGATCTCTAGGCCATCACTTTAATTGATCTCTCTACAACATTTATCCTGGTCGTTAAGCCCTCCTTACAACATTCTTCTCTCTTTGTTTTTATGGCTCTGTCTCTCCTGCTTCTTTAACCTGATAATGCATACTTGATTTTTCCATTTATTATTTCATCAACCAATTAATACACAGATAAAACAAGACTGTGTATATCAAACCATGTTTGTATAGAAAAAATGGATTTTGGATGCCTCTCATATGTAATTAGTTCTATTAAACATATTAATTGTATTGTTTAATTTATCAGGTTTTTGACACAGAGAATTTTGTTTGCAAGTAATAAAAATTTTATCTCCAATTTTCAATAATTACACCCATTATTTCTGTTTTATGTCTCATTGCATTGGTGAGATCTTGCAGAATAATTTTAGAACAGTAGTGGGTATTTTCTACTTTTAATGGGTGTGTCTAGTATTTCATATATTGTTGCTTATAGAACACTATTCAACCAAGACATGTCAAGACTAGTTGTCTCTCAAACCATTAGTATTTATATTATTCCTTTCCAGCTACATTTGTGGGATGTAAAAGACCATTTCCAGGAATATGGAACTGTTTTACTAGGTGGAGGGTATATATAACCATACAATAGTCACAGAAACTACATTAATACTCACATAAATCAAAGCATAAATGACATAGAATCTTGGCAGATTTGCTTAAGGTTAAATGTATAACTCTTATCAGCAGGAGGTGAAAGAATATATTCTTAGATACTTGGCACATTTAGAAAATATAATCTAATATTCTTTTTAAAGAACAGGCCGGGCACGGTGGCTCACGCCTGTAATCCCAGCACTTTGGGAGGCCAAGGCGGGCGGATCACGAGGTCAGGAGATCCAGACCATCCTGGATAACACAGTGAAACCCCGTCTCTACCAAAAATACAAAAAATTATCTGGGCATGGTGGCGGGCGCCTGTAGTCCCAGCTACTCGGGAGGCTGAGGCAGGAGAATGGCGTGAACCCAGGAGGTGGAGCTTGCAGTGAGCCGAGATCACGCCACTGCACTCCGGCCTGGGCAAAAGAGCGAGACTCCGTCTCAAACAAACAAACAAACAAATAAATAAATAAATAAAACCTCATCTACAAGGGAATTACTTGAAATTAAAACAAATGGTAATCATATATATGGTACTTCATTATTAGGAAGGTGGCTAAAAGCCCATTTAGACATATTCTGCTTTTCTTAAAGAATAATAATAGTTTCATGTTAGGTTATAGCCAGCACAGCACCTCGTGGGGTCATCAGAGGCCTGTGCTATCATTCTCACTAGGATGGATGGTTAACCCATGTGTTCTAGGACCACAAACTATGCCCCAATCTACTCATCCATCTAGAAAAAAAGGCATGCTTTTAGTTCAACAATTCCAAAGCATCAGTTGGAGGACCAGTGTTGGCTGCATCAGAATCACCTGGGTGTTTGTAATAAATACAGAATCCTGAGCAGGTATTCTGGCATTTCTATTCTTACAGAATCTCCAGGGTCAGGGCCAGGTATTTCTGATGTGTAGCAACAGATGGAAACCACCACTTCAGTTAGCAGAAGGAAGGCACTGAGCAGAGGGTTGAATATAATACATTGGAAAAATATCTTAAAGATAAAGAATTGGGAAAAAGTAATATATGTGAATATCACATCATCATTATAATAGGAAAAAACAAGGTCCTCAACATTGTCAAAGGTATAAATTCCTAAAACAGGTCCAATTCGTGTTCTCAAAACATTTTCCTGAAAAATGTTACTAGGTGGTATAGGGATAAATAGGTTTGCAAAGTACTGTACCCTCTATATATCTTGTCTCAGAAATTCAGAAAGTGTTAAAGACTCTGAGAAGTCCTGAAGGCAACTTCTTATATTTAATGCAGTGTATCTCAAACTCACTTGAGCACACAATACTTTTTTCCCCCGAGGCATATCTATTAAGGTCCTATAGAACAATATTCTTAGGCATACCATTTAGAGATACAATTCTAAAATGATTTTATCAAATATTATATTTCATGGCAAAGTTTTTCCCTGTATATTGATATATTCCAACACTTAGTCTTCCTTTTTGCAATATAAATCTTTTCAAGAGGAAATTATAAGCATTGATTAAATGCATCTTAAATTCAAAACCTTAAATAATATTCATCCCAGTATAATTCTTCTTATTGAAATCTATACTTCAAATTGAGTTAGTCCTATAATTTTTCACTTCTAATTAAACCAATTAAAGCAGGGTATGTCTACTGACCTACTTTCCAGAATTTAAAAAATAAACTAGGAAAAAATATCTTCTGAGCTGTGGGATGTTTCCAGAGCTTCATTAAAATAACTTGAAATTTTCATTTGGGTACAATTTTTGTTTATTTTATGGTTCAAATATGCAGCACAAAAGATGACTGGAAGAGGATTATTGAATCAAATTTAATAAAAGCAGAGTCTATATGAGGCAGTGCTGCTTCATTGCTGCTTTTTCTGCTTTGAGGATGGCAAACTAGAAAAGCCCTTAGATTAAGTTTTTACTTTACCTAAGACAGCATTAAAGCTGATTAAAAGGTTCCACTGAAATGGCAAAATGGCCATATCTCTAATAAGCGCCAGTTTAAAACTTAATCTTAAATTGGGCAGTCCTGGGGAAAAGAATTAGATTAAATTTATACCAATTTGAATTCTAGAAGTCAGTCTCATAGCAGCCATTGGCTACTTATACTGTGTGCTAAACTAAATCTCAACTCAGTCCCAGGAGGACACATTTCCTACTACAGGGCAACCCTTTTCCACCCAGTGATCTTAGGATTGATTATCTATGAAGGGTAGACCATGTGGTAGTAACATATTTTCCAGGGAACAAAATAAATCAGAATTAATAGTGATCAAACCCCACCCAGCCTCTTTATTAATACCCAACTTACAAAAACATATTTTAAGCTGTACAATTCCTCCACTGGAAATTTAAGCGCACATTATTATGAGTTCCTTATTTCCTGATAAGTCCCAATGGTTACAAAATTACTCAGTTTCTTTGAAGAATCAGGAAGCCACCACCCATGGGCATTCAATGCTGATTGTCATTTTTAACAAATTGTGGGAAATAAGCTTTAAAACTGGGTCACTACCCCTAAAAGTATGCAGTTTAGTTATAATATATCAATACTGATTTGTTAGTTGTGACAAATATACCATAATCATGTAAGATGTTAGCAACAGGGGAAACTGGGTGCCTGTGTGGTACACAGAAACTCTCTATACCACCTTTGCAACTATTTTCTAAATCTAAAACTATGCTAAAATTTTTTTAAATTTAAAAATTAAAAGTAGGTCACCAGAAATTTCCTACCCACGTAATATAGTCTATTTTGAATGTAGGCAAAAGAGGATTCTCAATTCTAGGACTGTCTCTCTAAAAAAGTAAAAAGCTGGCAATTTGATAAGATTACTGCAAGAGAAGCATGACTAAGTAGGCATATATCAACAGTCAATATGGTACCTTTATTACCTAAGAAAAACAAGGCAAAAATTTATCTTGGAAAACTGGATTGCAGAGAACCCTATCTTCTAATTTAATCATCACACACTTATATAGCTCATGTTACACACACAGTACGGTAATATTTATTTGCTGAAAAGCAGAATACGAAAGCATTAGATACTCCCCCTCCACCTATGAGTTCACCATCTAGTTAAGTACACGTCACTGCCAAGAAGCTTAAAATGAATAGTATTGTCCCCGATTTCTAAGAGCACACATACGCTGACGGGCAACTCTCATGCCAACCTCAAAGGAAGGTAGAATGGATAACAGCGTTAAGTATACAAATACTGTGCTGTGAACACTGTAGCTAAGACCATTCTGGAATAAACACTGTATCATCTTTAATGTATAGTATCCTATCCCAAAAGTGATATCAAAATGTCTTTAGTAAAATGAGTTCTGTTCTTCTTCATTCTTTCATTCAGCACCTACTGTCTGCCAAGTGCTGCTGTATATGCTGAGCACACTAACAGCACTAACAAAAATACCCTGCTCTAATAGAAACAGACAATAAGCATATGACGTAGATGGTGTTATGTACTATGAAGAGAAATAAGCCCAGAGTAGATGAGAGTTGATGGAGTTGTGTCTTAATTTGCCTTATTTTACATATATTTAATGTATTAATAAAATCGTGCTGACATCCTATGTGGAAAGGTTTACTGAAAATTTGAGAGACAGAGAGAGAATGGCTGATCTGTAGAACATGGGTACTGTCTAAAAGAACCTTCACTGATTCTTTCAAACTTTTCCAGAGATAAACTTAGACTCATTTTGAAAGTTGCTTTATTACCAAAAAATTGCCACTCCATGAAAAGTTCAGCACTTGATGCCAATAGGTGTGACAACAAAAAAGCAACTTCGGCATCACATATATGGTCAGGAAAACCATCAGAAACTAAGAGATTTTTTTTTTTTTTTTTTGGTGACAGAGTCTTGCTCTGTCACCCAGGCTGGAGTACAGTGTTGCAATCTGGGCTCACTGCAACCTCCGCCTCCCCGGTTCAAGTGATTATCCTGCCTCAGCCTACCGAGTAGATGGGATTACAGGCGTGCACCACCACACCCCAAAATGAGGTTTCACCATGTTGGCCAGGCTGGTCTCAAACTCCTGACCTCAGGTGATCCACCTACCTCTGTTGCAGGAAGTCAGGGACCCCGAACGGAGGGACCGGCTGAAGCCATGGCAGAAGAACATAAATTGTGAAGATTTCATGGAGATTTATTAGTTCCCCAAATTAATACTTTTATAATTTCTTACGCCTGTCTTTACTGCAGTCTCTGAACATAAATTGTGAAGATTTCATGGACACTTATCACTTCCTCAATCAATACCCTTGTGATTTCCTATGCCTGTCTTTACTTTAATCTCTTAATCCCGTCATCTTCGTAAGCTGAGGAGGATGTATGTCACCTCAGGACCCTGTGATGATTGTGTTAACTGCACAAATTGTTTGTAGAGCATGTGTGTTTGAACAATATGAAATCTGGGCACCTTGAAAAAACAACAGGATAACAGCAATGTTCAGGGAACAAGAGAGATAACCTTAAACTCTGACTACCAGTGAGCCAGGCAGAACAGAGCCATATTTCTCTTCTTTCAAAAGCAAATGGGAGACATATCATTGAGTTCTTTTTCTCAGCAAGGAACATCCCTGAGAAAGAGAATGCGTCCCTGAGGGGAGGCCTCTGAAATGGCCACTTTGGGGACGGCTGTCTTTTACAGTCACAGCAGAGGGAAGAAATAAGCCCCGGTCTCCCATAGCGCTCCCAGTCTTATTAGGATGAGGAAATTCCTGCCTAATAAATTTTGGTCAGACCAGTTGTCTGCTCTCAAACCCTGTTTCCTGATAAGATGTTATCAATGACAACGCGTGTCTGAAACTTCATTAGCAATTTTAATTTCGCCCCAGTCCTGTGGTCCTGTGATCTCGCCCTGCCTCCACTTGCCTTGTGATATTTTATTACCTTGTGAAGCATGTGATCTCTGTGACCCACACCCTATTCGTACACTCCCTCCCCTTTTGAAAATTGCTAATAAAAACTTGCCGGTTTTACGGATCAGGGGGCATCACGGAACCTGCCCACATGTGATGTCTCCTCCGGACACCCAGCTTTAAAATTTCTCTTTTGTACTCTTTCCCTTTATTTCTCAGACTGGCCGACACTTGGGGAAAATAGAAAAGAACCCATGTGAAATATCGGGGGTGAATTTTGCCCGATACACCTCAGCCTCCCAAAGTGCTAGGATTACAGGCGTGAGCCTTCGCGCCCGGCCAATAACTCTTTTTTTTTTTAAACATTGAAACAACATAAATATGGAAATGAACTACTCACATATGTTATTATATTGCCCATATCCTTCTGCAGCTTGCCTTTTTTACCCAAAGTTTTCTTCATGAGATTTACCCATGTTAATTCTTTTTAATCTAGTATGTTCATGTTTAATTGCTGTATAATATTCCACCACATGGATATGAGTTTAATTATCCAATCTCTTGTTGGTTAACTTACATTCTGCATCATCTTGTATTACTGCAAACACTACTGTGATAAACAGTTATTCCAAATTTCTTTGTACACATGTATTTTTTTGCTCAGGTATGTGCATCTTCAACTTCATTAGAGATTATAAAATTGCGCTCCACTTTACCTAGCTGAGTTTCCACTGGCCCATATCTCTGCCAGCAATTCTGTCAGACTTATATTTTTGCCACTCTGAAGATGACAGAATAGTCATTTTAACTTTCAATTTATCCATGAGTTTCTGGTTCAAGTATCTTTTCCCACGTTTACTGACCATTCCAATTTCTTCCTCTGTAAAGTAACTCTTCACATCCTATGCCCATTTTGTCTTAAGTTTTCCTTTTCATTATTAGGCTATTTTTCATATACTGGATACTAATCATTACAAAAAGTTTCCCTACAACAAGATCACAAAGACAGTTAGGTAAATTTTCTTTGAAATTTTTTCCAGTTTTCCTTTTCATATTTTAGTCTTACAATGTCAGAAAAAAAGACCTAACACTCAAATGTCAAAAAAAACCTAACTGAATAAAAAAGTGGTACATCCACACTACAAAGTACTAATTTAAAAAAAGATGAAGAACATTTCTATAAACAGATATGAAGTCATCTCTGAGAGAAGTTTAAAAAGGTGCAAAATGGGCCGGTGCAGTGGCTCACACCTGTAATTCCCAGCACTTTGAAAACATTCTGAGAGGCTGAGGCAGGTGGATCGCCTGAACCCAAGAGCTCGATATCAGCCTGGGCAGCATGGCAAAACTCAGTCACTACCAAAAATACAAAAAAAATAGCTGGGTGTGGTGGCACACACCTGTGGTTCCAGCTACCCTGGAGGCTGAGGTGGGAAGACAGCTTGAGTCTAGGAGGCAGAGGTTTCAGTGAGCCAAGATCACCCCACTGTACTCCAGCCTCAGTGACAGAGTGAGACCCCACCCCAGGTCAAAAAACAAATAAAGTGCACAATGGTATATGCTATCTTTTATCTAAGGGAGGGAGAAAATATTCCTGTCTCAGTCTCCTGAGTGGCTGGGACTGCAGGCTGAGCCACCATGCCCGGCTAATTTTGTATTTTGTATTTTTTTTTTTTTTTTTTTTTGGTGGAGATGGGGCTTCTCCATGTTCATGGGGCTGGTCTCAAACTCCCGACCTCAGGTTATCTGCCTGCCTCGGCCTCTCATGGTGCTGGGATGGGAACAGGAATTAAAAGAAATTAAAAAATGTGTAAACAAAAACTCAGTTGTATGTAAAAAAACCCAATTCCCCCTGAGAAAGAGAGGAGCTGGAGTCCTTCAATAAAAACTACTACCTCCTGTTTTTCTATGGCAGTGAGCCTTATCTCTCCTCCCTTCCCGGGCATTATAAAAACCCTAATTCCCTAACTGTACAACTGCAAGGTCACTAAACTAACTCAAGTTACAAAATATATTTTTCCTAAAAAAGGAAAAAATAATATAATGCATGATTCAACTGAACAATTATCTTTGTTTCTCACTTCTATCATATGCTTCATCCTGCACAGATCTACCCCCACCCCATAAAATGCTTAAAATGTAAGTCTTGTTCAGAACTCAGTGCTTTAAATGTTAATCCGACTGGGCCAATGCACGTAAATAATTAATTAATAACCTCCTAAACCCCATCAGTCTCTCTAATTCCTTAAAAATCCTGCTACAGGATTGTAAGCATGAGCCACCGGGGTGCTGGGATTGCAGGTGTGAGCCACCGCACCCAGCCCAATTTATTAATCAGAAAAGAATAGATTGGCCTGGTGTGGTGGCTCACGCTTGTGATCCCAAGAATTTGGACAGCCGAGCGTGTTGGATCCCTTGAGCCTAGGAGTTCCAGACCAGCCTGGGCAACATGGTGAAACCGGGTCACTTTTTTTGTTTGTTTTTTGTTTTTGTTTTTGTTTTTTGAGGCGGAGTTCTGCTCTTGTTGCCCAGGCTGGAGTGCAGTGGTGTGGACTCAGCTCGCCGGGCCTCTGCCTCCCGGGTTTGGGTGGTTCTCCTGCCACAGCCTCCCTAGTGGCTGGGATTGCAGGCGTGAGCCATCATGCTCGGCTCTTTTTTTATTTTTTTGGTGGAGATGGGGTTTCTCCATGTTGGTCAGGCTAGTCTCAAACTCCTAATCTCAGGTTATCTGCCCGCCTCGGCCTCCAGGGGTGCTGGGATTTCAGGCATGAGTCACCACGCAAGGCCCAATTTATTAATCATAAAGCAACTGATCGGCCTGGCATGGTGGCTTATGATTCTGATCCCAGGATTTGTATGGCTGAGCGTGGGGGATCGCTTGAGCCTAGGAGTTCCAGGCTGGCCTGGGCAACATGATGAAACTTGGTTTCTCTTTTTTTTTTTTTTTTTTTGAGACAGAATTTCGCTCTTGCTGACTGGCTGGAGTGCAGTGGCGTGGTCTCGGCTGCCTGTGGCCTCCGCCTCCAGGTTTGGTTGGTTCTCCTGCCTCAGCTTCCCAAGTGGCTGGGATTGCAGGTGTGAGCCACTATGCTCGGCTTTTTTTTTTTTTTTTTTTTTTTTTTTTTTTGGTAGAGACGGGGTTTCTTCATGTTTGTCAGGCTGATCTCAAACTCCCGACCGCAGGCGATCCGCCCGCCTCGGCCTCCCTGGGTGCTGGGATTGCAGGCTTGAGTCACCATTCCTGGCCCAATTTATTAATTAGAAAGGAATAGATTGGCCTGGAGTGGTGGCTCATGCTTGTGACCCCAGGAATTTGGACGGCCGAGCGCGGCAGATCGCTTGAGCCTAGGAGTTCCAGACCAGCCTGGGCAACACGGTGAAACCTGGTCACTTTTTTTTTTTGTATTTTTTTTTTGAGGTGGAGTTACGCTCTTGTTGCCCAGGCTGGAGTGCAGTGGCGTGGACTCAGCTCACTGGGCCTCCGCCTCCCCGGTTTGGGTGGTTCTCCTGCCTCAGCCTCCCGAGTGGCTGGAATTGCAGGTGTGAACCACCATGCCTGCTAACTTTGTATTTTTTTTTTTTTTTTTTTTTTAGTATAGACGAGTATTCGCCACATTGGTCAGGCTGGTCTCAAACTCCCGACTGCAGGTTATCCACCCGCCTCAGCCTCTCGGGGTGGTGCGATTCCAGGCATGAGCCACTGTGACCGGCCCAATTTATTAATCAGAAAGGAATAGATTGGCCTGGCGTGGTGGCTCACGCTGGTGATCCCAGCTGGGACTTTGGACGGCCGAGCACTGAGGATCGCTTGAGCCTAGGAGTTCCAGACCGGCCTGGGCAACGTGGTGAAACCGGTCTTTTTTTTTTTTTTTTTTTTGAGGCAGAGTTTCGCTCTTGTTGCCCAGGCTGGAGTGCAGTGGCCCGGTCTCGGCTCCCCGCAGCCTCTACCTCCCGGGTTTGGGTGGTTCTCCTGCCTTAGCCTCCAGAGTGGCTGGGATTGCAGGCGTGAGCCACCATGCCAAGTTAGTTTTTTATTTTTTTATTTTTTTGGTAGAGACTGGGTTTCTCCATGTTACTCGGGCTGGTCTCCCGCTCCTCACCTCAGGTGATCTGCCGGACTCCACCTTCTGGGGTGCTGGGATTGCAGGCGTGAGTTACTGCGCCTGACCCCGACACCAGGTCTCTTAACAAAAAAACAAAACAAAAACCATAAAGATTAGCCTGACCTGGTGGGCCCGGCGGGCAGTCCCAGCTACTCTGAAGGCTAATGTAGGAGGATTGCTTGAGCCAGGGGGTGAAGGTGGCAGTGAGCCATGTTGGCGCTGCTGCAGTCCAGACTGGGCGACAGAGCGGGACAGTGTCTCAGGAAAAGGGAAAGGAAAAAAAAATAAAGAAAAAGAAAGTGTATAAAATTGCTAAATCAGGGAACAGCTTAAGAGTATATTATTGAGAGAAATAGAGGCAAAGGTGAGCAGACACCAATGTTCACTTAGTGGAACTGCAGGTATCTCTAGACAGGAGGCGGCTACTTTTCCAAAAGAAATCTACTACTGACTTAAAAAAAAAAAAAAGGTGGTTTGTTACAATATACAAATAGCTAAACTTTATATAGCCACCACCCTCTTCTAGCACTGCTCTAAGCCTTTTCCTGCTCTGAAAGAGCTACTGTTACCTCCATTGTAGAAAAAACAGATGCCAGAGGTTGTTGTGGAAGGACCACGGAAACTATGAAATTTACTTGTAAGTTTCGGACTTAAAGGTTCTTCCTGCTCTGCTCCATACACTGCAACATTTTAGTTAACATACCTCTTAAAATACTGGTCCTTTCTGTATTTGGAGAGACTCATATTGCAGTTTGAAGTTTTTTCTGGCACTAAGCATTTGGTCATAAGCTCATTTGTGTTTTATGACAGGTTTAAGTACCTCTTCAGACATTGTTCAGTTAGGAATGTAAATATGAGCAAACAGGTATCTGAAATAGATAACCTAGAAAAAAATCACTTATGAGAAAGTCAAGAAAATGTAAACTCTGAATTTGTGGCTATTTTCAGAATGTATTTTTTGGTATTTAATGGCATTATGAGTATATTCATTTTTTAAAATTCCTTGTCTTCTACAGATACATATAAGGTAATTTAAAAAATGATATGATATATAGGTTTTACTTCAAAATAATTCAGAGGAAGAAGGAATGTATATAAATGAAGTGGGAATACAAATGGAACAAAACAGGATGTGGCCAGGTGGCCTCTCCTTGGGCAGAGGAGGTGAGGCTCACCTCACAAAGATCTTTGGAGAGAGGGAGGCGGGGATCTGAGCACAGTGGGAGCCCCCCTCTTCCAGCCTGCCCACCCCGCCTGAGGGCTCCACTCACCACCATGCTTGCCTGCAGCCCCAAGCTCCTGGGGGGCTGGGGCTCCTGGACCGGGCTCATCAGCAGGGTTCTGGGCAGTGGCCAGGAATTTTCTGTGCCCATTGTTGTAGTTGCTATAAGCCGCAACACCATCTGCTGCAGCTCCAGCAGCTTCACCTGGAGGGAGGGGTGCTCAGCTGCCATGCCGCTGCCTGCGCCCACCCTCACACCCACCCCCACCCCCACAGAGATGTTGCACACCCTACCTTCATCTCCTCCCTGAGCTCCAGCCTGATGGTGTCCTCCTACCAGTGCCGCATCTTTGGCACGGCCCCCTGGTTCTGATAAAAGGTGATGGATTTTCCTGCGGGAGGACAGGGCTCAGACGCTGGGGCCCCTCCGACGGTCCTGCAGCTCCCCCTGCCGTGCCCTGGCCTCCCACTCACTGATGGCATCTATCTCGCCAGTGGTGGATGAAGCAAAGTTCTTTTTTCTTCACCAGCTCACTCAGGTCTGCCTTCTCCTCCAGTTGGTCCATAAAGCTGCTCTGGAGCCAAAATATTGCAGTCACATCTCGGCAGCGACCTGCCCTCAGGTGGCATTTTCAAGTCATGGAGAAGGCGGAGGTGAGTCCTGGCATGGGCCAGCTTCTCCGTGACTTCCTGCAGGGCCCAGTGGGTCTCCCCACTCACAGACTCGCCCCCAGGCCCTGGGGCTCCAGGGCCTCTGGCTGCCTCTGGCTCCTTCTGGGCCGAGGCCACCGGGTGAGCCAGGCGCTGGCAGCACACCCTCTGCTCTTTCACCTGCTCTTGTAACTGTGCCTGCTTCTCCTGGGCACTAGCTCCAGCGGACTTGAAAAATGCCACCTGAGGGCAAGACGCGAGCATTCTTGTAGGGGCATACACGGAGCAAACGGGGCAGAGAGGTGGAGTGCAGGCCCTTCCCTTGGGGCCTCAGAGAGTACACGTTTGTCACAGGTGAAATGGTGTCTGACCACTGGCTCCCAGAAGGGGTGAGGGTCCAGAGAAATCAGAAGGCAGGGAAACGAAGAGCATAAAGGGGTCTTGGAGGGACCACAGAGAAAGGTGGCAAAATGGGTGCAGGGGGGAGTCAGGCTCACCATGGCCTCCCTGCTCTCCAGGTCCTCTGGGACACTCGGCATGGGCCGAGGTGCCTCCTCCCCGTCACTGTCCAGATGTTCTCCTCCGTGTCCTGTGGGGGGTGGCCAGAGGGGTCTTCAGACAACCCAACAAGGGAGGTACTGTGGGCCCACCTCTACCTCCACCCTCACTGTGTAACCCTGAGCCAGCCCCTCCCCAGAGAGGAATGAGCTGTTGTTCTTTATTTTTACTTTTAAGAATCAAGATCTTGCTATTCCGCCCAGGCACACTCCCACTACTGGTCGATGTGGGAGTTCTGACCTGCTCCCTTTCTGACCTTGGCCAGTTCAGCCACCCTTAGGCAACTTGGTGACCCCCCGCTCACAGGAGGTCACCACACTGATGCCGAACTTAGTGCAGGCACCCGGTCGGCATAATGACCAGCTGTTCTAAAGGTCTCTTCCAACTCCTCAATCCTATGCTGCTAGCAGTCCCCCCTTCCTCCTGGGGCTCTCTCCTCTTCCTCTGAGCAGTCTCCCGTACCTTCCCCAGGGAGAGCCATGAGGCTCAGCTGGGCCGTTAGCTGCTGGTTCTGCTGGCTGGCCGCTTCCAGGTGCTCCTAAGGGGCCAGGACAGAGTGAGAAGGGATGGAGTTTGCCAGGTCGTCCCCCTCACAGCCCCATCCTTGGCAGCTCCCTCCCCTGGGTCTCCTGCAACTTTTGGCAGGCCATCTCGGCCACTGCTTTGCCCCAAACTTCCTGCTGCTGCAGCTGTTTCATTAGCTGGGTCTGTTGCAGGCACTGCCTGTACAGCGCCTCCTTCTCACAGGTCAGCTGCTGATAGGCGGCCACCTGCTGCTGATAGGTGGCCACGTACTGCTGCAGGTGACCCAGGTAATGGTCTGGCTGCTGCTGCAGACTCTGAGCCTCTTGGCTCTTCAGCTCCACCTGCAGGAAGACCCTGGGTGTGAGGGCATGTGGTGGCTGGCTTCCAGATTCTGGGCCCATTAACAGGGTAGCAACAGCACTGTGGGGCTCTGTCGCCTGCCCAGGCCCCTGTCCCCTTACTCCAGGCCTAAGTGACTGCCTCCCTTTCCTAGAACCCCATGCCTCCTTCCCCAGCCTCAAATCTCATACCCTCTTCTCATTTAATCCTCAGCACCTCTGTAAGGAAAATGCTAACTTCCCTTTGAAGTTAAAGAAACAGAGACTTAGAGATGCAAAGTACTTGAATGGTGACCAGTGGAACCGAGGCTGGAATCCAGTTTTAATCTAAGGAGACTTTTTGTTTTGTTTTCCGACAAGAGTGTCACTCTGTGGCCCAGGCTGGAGTGCAGTGGTGCAATCTCAGCTCACTGCAACCTCCACCTCCTGGGCTCAAGCGATTCTCCTGCCTCAGCCTCCAGAGTAGGTGGAATTACAGGCATGCGCCACAATGCCCTGCTAATTTTTATTTTTTATTTTTGTAATTTTAGTAGACATGAGGTTTTACCATGTTGGCCAGGCTGATCTCAAACTCACGACCTCAAGTGATTCTCCTGCCTCAGCCTCCCAAAGTGCTGGGATTACAGGTGTGAGCCACTGCAGCTGGCATAAGGAGCCTGTTATAGCACTGTCTCTTCCCCTGTGATTGGGGGCTCCATGCCTCTAGCTGGGATGATGATGTCCAGACCTGAGAGGAGCCCAGGGCTACCCACCTCTAAAAGTCAGAGGGCAGGAAGCAAGAAACAGTCACAGTACTGCCCTGGATGGTGCTGGGGTCACCAGCCCCCAGGCTGGAGCTGCCTCTGGCTTGGTACCTCCCCTCCCCAGAGGCTGCTGCCTGCCTCCCAGCCCTTTTTGGATGGGGTGGAGGTTTCCGTGTCCTTCACCTCACCAAGCTTCTCCTGTAGCTCCTTTACTTGCTGCTCCAACTGCAGTGCGCTCTTGTTCTCATTGTTCTGGACAGAGAGAAGCAATCAGCAGCCACCCACTGCAGCTGGAGACCCCAGAACTTGGTGTCTGCCTCCCATGGCACTGGGAAGGCTGGAGGCCGGTTAGAAAAATCATCCCCTCTCTCCCACAGCCACCTGGCTCACAGGTGCCTTTAGAAGTAACCTTTCACATGAGGGCTACACTGCCCCATTTTAGAGGTGGGGAAACAAAGGCCCAGAGGGCTTGGGAGGGCAGGCTCCCCAGGAGGGGCAACGCACCAGCTCCTTGAAGATGCTCTGTGGCTCGGCCAGCTGCTGAAGCCTCTTATGCTGCTCCTAAAACCTCTCCTCCTGCTTCCGAAGCCTCTCTTCCTGCTCTCGAATCCTCTCGTCTTGTCCCCAGTTCAGGAGACTTATGCGCTGATTGTTTTTGACCTGGACCTGGAGCTCTCCTGCCACTCTATCTAGTTCCTTCCTCAGGTGCTGCGGCTCCACCTCAGAGGGCACTGCTGGGGGCTCTGGAGGCAGGGGTTCAGCTGAGAAAGGAAGCAGACAATAAGGGCTTCTGGATTCTCAAACAAAACAAAACAAAACAAAAACCGTCCTCTTGGTACACAGCTCCTCTCAGGCTCCCCAAACTTGGCCTCACTGCTAATGATTCCTCACAGCCGGATGGTAGCCAGTCTTCAAAGCCACTTTCAGATAGAGAGAACTGTGGGTGGCTGACAATGGGCCCCCTTTGCTGATAAGGACCCTGAGGCTCATGGAGATGACAAGACTTGCCGTCTCCTAGCACAGACCTCTTTCCCTCTGCCTCCCTCTCCCTTCCATCCACCCACCTCCCTGGGGCATTCGAAGCCACCCTCACAGCCCTCTGATGCCAGTCCTGCTCCCAGGTCACGCCAGCCCCATCTTACCCATCTGGTTTTTGAGTTTGGACAAGCTCCTCTCCAGCCCCTCTACCCGATGTGTATAATGCTCCTTCTCTGTCTTCAGTGTGTAAACCTGCCCAAAGCACAGGGGGAAAGGGCCCTGGAGAGAGGGGCTGGAGGCTGGACAGGCTGCCCTCTCCCTCTCTGCCCCCACCTCCACAAAGCCCAGACCCATGACCACCTCTGGCTCTACTATTCCCATTTTACAGATGCCCAGAAAGATCCAGTGACCTATCTAATGTGGGGGGGCTGAAGGGTCAGATCTCACCTCCTGCGACATTTTTCTCATCCTCTGCTGCCACCGGGCCCTCTCTCCTTTTATTTGTTGAGCATAGTTATCTCTCTGTAATTGGACTTGTTGAAACGACTCCTTCAACTGCAAGAATGGGCACAGAAGTTAGGAAGGGCTGTCACTGGTCCTCACCTGCTCCTGGCCACCTGGGGTCATCTTCCTTCCACATCCCTCCCTCTGCAAAACCTCACCTGTGTTAGCTATGCCTTCAGCCGTGCCTTCTCCTGTAGGGACTGCTCTAACTCCCACTCCGTATGTGCTCTGCTGCGGCTCGAGAACTGGATGGCGAAGAGTGAGAAGTTCCAATCTGGGGAGGCCGGGACATTCCACACAGTACCCCTTAAAAGGGCCAGGGCTAGGCTCAATATACAACTCGGTCAGTAAAGATCAAGGCATTTCCAAGCCCATGGTCTGGTTTTTAAAAGAACTCAGAAAAGTTGGAAGGGACAGGGAAAGAGATCGAATTTACAGCTGGCTAACAGAGGCCCAGAGAGATCAGATAATATTGCTATGGTTATTACTGTTATTATTACCACTGTTTGAACCTTTATGGAGTGCTTCAACGAGTTCCATGCTAGCAATCCCATTTAATCCTCGCCACCATAGGAGACAGTTACTATGATGACCTCTATTGTGTAGATGAAAAAACATGGAGTATTTGAGGTTAAGTGCTTGCCTAAGATCACTTAGGCAGAGCTGGGATTTGAACACCCAGGTCTATCTGATTCTCTAAACCCATTTTTCTTGCTGGGGGTGGGGGCACAGATAGGAAGGGGAAAATTAATCTTTTGTTCACTTTTTGAAATGATGATACATTCGCATAGTCCCAAACTCAGAAAGTACAGAAGGGAAGTATCTCCCAGCCACCCTGTTGCTCTCTCCTGAATTTTTTATGAACACTTGCAGACATGTTTTATGTATATTATCATAGTATGTACACAAACATGCACACACACACACATTTCCTCTCTCTACAGAAATGGTAACATACTAAAGGTACTCTTCTGTACCTTCACAGTACAAGTACCCAATACCCCACCTAGGACTTGGCCGAGACCACAGCCAGGTAAGGGCAGGGCAGGCACTTGGCCTCCAATCTCTGTGTCCAGTGCTCACTCCCCAAAGTGCCCCCCAACTCACCCACAGCAGCTGACTCAGCCCCACGCTGCCTCTAACAACCATACAAAAAAGCAGCGAGAAATGGCCATGCTGCCTTCTGGGCAGGACACTCCAACCTGCAGAAGGGACCTTTAGGCTCGCTCCTCCATCTGTGAAACTGGGCACCCAGGGGACAGGGCAAGTGGTTGAACTCACACTGATCTCCTTCTCCTCTGTGGTGGTGACAGCAGAGAGAGCCCGCTCTAACTCTCCTATACACTGCAATGAATATTGCAGGCAGCCCGCCAGATCCTTGGACTCTTCAGTAATGAGAGAGTTGAGATGGGCCCAAACGACTCCCCGTGAAGACCCGTCAAAGTGCCAGGTTGAAGGATGACAGGGTGCCCAGATTCCTACCTTCAAAGTATCTGAGAGAACATTTCGTGTCATATAGGTCCGTATTTAGTTACTTTTTCTGTATGTTCAACCTCTGGATTTGAACCTTTGGGAGAAAAACCAAGCAAGTGCTGAAAGAGAAGGAAAGAAACACTCTCCCCGGAGGACAGGAGGAAGCTTCACGCCCTCCACTCACCTCTAGCTCCCTTTTGGCTTTTTGTTTCTCGTTTGCTTTTCCTATAGGAAGAGGAAGACAGAGCTCTTACCAGGGAGACGCAGAGACGGCACAGCAAGAGACATGCCCCCAGAATGCCACCAATGCCCCAGGACAGGCCCACCCATGGGACCAGGTTATCAGGGACCCTGTGGGGATGGGGTGGAATCTGAGGGGTGAGCCTCCTTCCCCAGGCTGGGAGTGGGCGAGATGAGACTGAGGCCTCTATGTCTGAGTGCCCCCCAAACCCAGCAGTCGTGTCGCGAGCAAATAAAGAAATCACGTTACTTCTTCCAGCTGATGTTCCACTTGTTTCTTCTGTTGTTTCTGTGGGAAGAGTCAAATTAAGGTGATGGAGGGTGGCCCCCTCAACTCTATTCCCCAGACAGGAAGCGGTAGGCAGGGGTCAGGAATGGATTTTAAAGGCAAAGTTCTCAGACCCAATGGGAACATGAACTGGTAAACTCTCTTCAAGCTCCCAAGGACAGAGGATTTGGGTCTTTGTTGGTTTTTGCCCACAGCCACAGAACTCAAAGTCTGAATCAGGACTCTCTTGAGAGGACAGTAACATAAACCCCTAGAGATGGAGTTTCAGAAAGGCCCCTCCTTCTGGCAGCTTGTGATTTAGAAAAGTGGGTTCACTCAATAAACGTGTACTGAGCATGTATGGGCCAGGTATGATTCTTCACAGCAGATATAGGATGGAAAAGGACAGACAGGAGCCCTTGGCCCTGGGTTTCTATTCTAGGGGGCCTTTAAATCTCGGACTCTCAGAGCTAACAGAGACCTTTGATACTCACTACCTCCTCTGGAAACACAAGACCAAAAAGGAGAGGTGGCTTGTCCAGAATCAAAGAGCAAATTAGGAACTGAGTCACAGCAGAAATACAGGGCCCCTGACAACCAGTCAGGCTAGTAATTCCCCGAGAGGCAACAACCCCAGGGCGTGTGTAGCAAGGACTCGAGCAGGGGTGTCTGGAGAGGAGAGAGTCGGCAAAGAGGGCAGCAAAAGCAGAGCCATGCTGCATGCTCTGGGGTCCCTCCAGGTGAGGCCTGGGCACCCCAGCTCCCTATTTGTCCTTGGCACCAGGGGCCCCCAGCACTTTCTTCAGGGCCCTAAGGGGAAACTGGAGCCCAGGATTGGCAGCGTGGACTCAGGGGACCCCACTGGACTCTTACCAAAGATTTGATGGTGTTCTTCAGTTGACTGATTTTTACGGACCTTGGGTTCAGGACTACTGCTGGCTCTTGGCACGGGCTCTGAGGCGCATGCAGAGAGGAGGAGGTGGAGGAGGAGTCGGGGGAGAGGTAGAGAAAACGATCATCAGGGCTGGGGTGTGTGGGCTGTCTCAGCTGGCAGAGGGGCACCCAGTCCCCACTGTGTGAGGAGGATGGAGGGCTGGCCTGCAGGGTCACTGCACCTCCGCCCAGAGCCTCCTACCTCCAGATCCTTCAGGGTAGCAGATGATGTAGGGCCCTCCCCGTGGATACCTGTTGCTGACTACAAGAGATGAGAGTGCACATGGAGATGTTCTGTCCCCCTCGGTGTCTGAGCCCTCTGACTTCCTTTCTTCCCCATCAACTGGCAACATTTTCTTTTCTGCCTATCTTGGACCCTTTGTCCCATAACTCTGTGCCAACTTCTCTCATGGTTCTTTTCTCCACATCATCCCACCCTGGGGCCCTTTCAGTGACTCCTGATGGCAAGTGACTGTTCTCATTGTCCTGGCTTTCCCTTGAGACTGGGGATGAGGAAAATCAAACAGCAATGCTGGGTGTCCTGGGTGTTTACGGCAGGCCATGTACTAGGGATTAACATAAAAACAACAAAAACAAATCTCATTTAAACTTCACAAATGGAAGTCAAACAATACCATCTCTGTTATACAGATGTAAAAAGAGAGGCCCAAAGAGCTCAAGCAACTTGCCGTAAATCATATCCCTACCAGGCGGAGAGGCAGGATGCAAACCCAGAATTCCATTTTTTTTTTTTTTTTTTTTTTTTTGAGACGGAGTCTCGCTCTTTCCCAGGCTAGAGTGCAGTGGCACAATCTTGGCTTACTGCAAGCTCCACCTCCTGGGTTCACGCCATTCTCCTGCCTCAGCCTCCTGAGTAGCTGGGACTACAGGCGCCCACCACCATGCCTGGCAAATTTCTTTGTATTTTTTAGTAGAGACGGGGTTTCACCATGTTAGCCAGGATGGTCTCAATCTCCTGACCTTGTGATCCACCTGCCTTGGTCTCCCAAAGTGCTAGGATTACAGGCGTGAGCCAGCACACCTGGCCAAACCCAGAATTCTTAACCATCACCCAACAGTCCATCCGTGATCTCAACAATTACCTTCTATTGCCCCTTGGGCCCCCTGTCCCCAGAAGCCTGGCCAGCCAAGACTCACATCCCCAGGTGACTGGCAACCACCAGAAGTGGCTGTCTCAGGGATACTGCCATTTGTTTTCCTGTTCCTCTTGGCTCCTTCTGGAACTCTAGGGCTGTTTTTCTGCCAATATTCTTTTAACTGTGGGAAAGAAGAGCAGTAATACTCATAAGAACTGTCAGCCCCTACAGCCACATCCTCCTTTACAGTTTTTACAAAATACTCTTATACACCATCTGATTTAACGACACCAACAACTGTACAAGGTGTTGTCACAATCATTTAGTGACTGAGAGGGATTGATATCATGGCTAGAAAAAAGAAAAAAAAAGAAAAAGGCGATACTGGGACTTTGAAACTCAGTCTTCTGACTCCAAGCTCTGGGGTTTTGCCAAGAATCAGCAGCTGCCAGGGACCAAAACCAGAGGCAGAGGTAGAAAAGTAAACATTAAGTAGGCAGGAACTGTATGCCATGTGGTTTAGAGTCATACATCCTCACACGTCTGTTAGTGTGAAGAAGTGCACCAGTACCTCTCAAACTTTTATATCAATGTGTCCTCATGGCAGAAGGCAGGCTTTTTGTTAAATCTGGGAATTTATCAGAAAGATGACAAACCAAGCCTCATTTCAGAGAGAAGTCTGGTATACTCTTAGAAGCCTATGTGACTGTCATCCCTAAGTACATTCATGTTTTTTCTCTTGATCTCAAGAGAATCAAGGGAAACTGATGCTTCAGAAAGATGTCCCACATTTATTCTGTGGCACTCAAAGTACCCAAGGTTGAGATAATATGAGGAAGATTCAAGCTGTCAAGTTCAGTTTCCCAAGATCTATTCCACAGAAGATGAGCAAATCTCACTTCAGAGACCACTGACTGAAGGGCAGTCTGGTCCCAGAACCATGGAGAATTAGAATATGAGGTGGAGAACTGAGAAAAAAGTTAAAATCTCTCTGGAAAGTAGAAGCCTGGGAGAAAACCAAACCAAACCAATTCTCCCATTGCCACCCAGAGACACTGTTAACGTTTTGAGCTCATGGGGGAAGTGTAGGCTTTTCCCACTGTCAGTGTCTATGTTAAGGGAGTAAGGCAGCCTGAAACCTCTTGCTCCTAGGTCCCATAATCTCCATTCCCTTTGCAGCTGGAAATTTGTGCTGTGACCAGAGGAATCAGAAATGGGGTGACAACGCTTAGGGGACTGGGTCATAAGATCAAAGGCTGGTCTTGCAGTAATGACAGTTCCCAGGTGGATTGTGACATCACTACATTCCACCCTTCTGGTCATGGGGAGGGACATCAGCACGATGTCTGAGTTGCTGCTCCATGATGGGGGAGGGAAACACAGGGTTGGGACCCAGCTCCTTGGAGACGCCAGCGCAAAGAGCCCAGGGAGGTCGACCTTGAGGCAGCAGGAGGGGAGGGCAGAGTCTGCAGCAGGGAGCCTCAGGAGTCACCAGCCCAAAGTCACCCAGGGATGACTGGCGAGGGCGGGGCCTGGGGCTGGGGGACCAAGGTCCTTGGAGATGTGAGCCCAAAGAGCCCAGGGAGGTTGAGTTTGGGGCGGTAGGAGGTGAGGGCCCAGTAATGGAGTGGGAATCCCCAAGAGTCACCCACCCAAAGTCACCATGGGGTGATTGGAGAGGGCAGGGACTGGGCTGCTTGCTGAAGGGGCAGGGCTGACTGACAAGACTTTGGTGGGTGGAGCCCAGAGGCAGTCCGGTGTGCCTCAGGAGTGGTATGGACTCTGGCAGCGGTCTTGTCATCAGAGGGGATCTGTGGCTGGGTTGGGGGGTGATGACCTGGAATTTTTACCTTTGTATTGGCTACAGCCAATTTGCTCTGTCGAGTTTCTTCTGCTATTGTGGGGTGGGTAGGGAGGCAGGGTTGGGGCCACGTCAGCGAAATCCCAGTGAGCACTATCAATGCATCCAGTCACCTACCAGGCAGCCGTGTGACTGAGCCAGAGGAGGCGTAACCAGGGCTCCAGTAGAATGCAGAATAGGGGCGTGGCCTTAATGCTCCAAGCCCATTGGTCAATGACAAAGATGAAAGGGAAAGGGGGCGTGGCTGGGCCCCAGTGTGTCCAGAGGGACCTGTGGCTCACAAGGAAAGCTGCCCAGGCAACCGCTGTCCCCGCCCACTCTGTGAGAGGGGAGGGGCCAGCTTTTGCTTTAAAATTTAAAAAAAAGTGTGTATACTTTATACATACATATATATATATATATACATATACATATACATATATGTGTGTTTCTGTGTATGTGTATCTATGTGTTCCTCCAGAGCTGTCTTCATTACCCAGCTTCTATGCAAGGTCTATGATTTTGGCCTATATTTTTCATCTTCAAATCCATTAAAAAAATTACCAGTATTACCTTAACTGAGACACAGATCCTATAAAAATGGAAAATCCATAGCATGCTTGATGATTAATGAAGAAGACTATATTATCCAACATTCCAATAAGATAAAATAATCACAGTGATTCTCTTTTTTGGAAAAATGTTTATCTTATTCTCCTACGTTACTGTTAAGATTTTTTTTCTTAAACAAGAAACATGTCTAATATCTGTAAAAACACAAAGCTTTTGGGGCGGATGCAGTGGCTCACGCCTGTAATCGCAGCACTTTGGGAGCCCAAGGCGGGTGGATCACCTGAGGTCAGGAGTTTGAGACCAGCCTGGCCAACATGGTGAAACCCCATCTCTACTAAAAGTACAAAAACTAGCCAGGCGTGGTGGTGGGTGCCTGTAATCCCAGCTATTCGGGAGGCTGAGGCAGGAGAATCACTTGAACCCAGGAGATGGAGGTTGCAGTGAGCCAAACTCATGCCACTGCACTCCAGCCTGGGTGACAGAGTGAGACTCCATCTCAAAAGAAATAAAATAAAATACAAAGTAAATTTTAAAAGCTTTCAATTTAATAAGCACTCAAAGCTCTTTACCAATTTAAAACAAATACAAGGTCCATTTTTCTAGAATCACTTGGCTTCTCTAAGCCTTGCAAATGAAACTGAATTTCTCACTTGATACTTGGCTATGACTTACAATCATGAAAACCAAGAATTGTGTTATGTCACTGTGTACTGCTTGTTACCTGAATTTCACACGAGGCTGGGATCAAGGGTTGAATCTTTCATGATTTGCTCCATAACCTGTGTGCTTCTTATGCCAGACCAAACTAAGCTTTTGTTTAGAGTGCTACAGTTTACAGTTAGTAGACAAGAGTGGTTCTCAGTAATGTAGTCTCTGGACTAGCAGCAGCAGCAGCAGCAGCAGCAGCACCTGAGAACTTTCTGTAAGTGCAAATTCTCAGGCCCTACCCTGGACGTGGTGAATCAGAATCTCTGGAGTAGGACTCAGCAATCTGTGCCGCAGTAATCCCTCCAGGTGCTCAGGAACCTCTGCCATACAGCAGGTAGAAAAATGTGTTTCTTCTGTAGGTCCAAAGCCAGGGATACTATATATTCTATCTCGATATGAAACAATGACATGCAATTAAAACACTTAACTCTCCTTCCTACTCCCACCCTCCATCCAATGTGTTTTATTTTTATGAGTTCAATAAGAAAACAAGTGGCAGTCAGAAGTTTAGTCTAAAAAACATATTTACAAGTATTAGTTCTCATCCAGCCTGACTTCATACAAAACCATTTACATCCTCTTACAGCTAAAATTTTAAAAAAGTATCTTCACAATATAAGTCTCAGGCACAGTAGGAGTTCTATAATAAAACACCAAGTAGATTGGAATGTCCAAACTTACTAGAGAAGAAAAGTGGAATCATTGGCTATATTTTCAAATTGCATTCCAAGGAAATTTAAGTTCTGAATTTTTTTCACCTTCATACTTCCAAGTTAATAGAATTCAACCAGAACACTCCATTCCTTCAAAGCCTCTAGCCAGGCAAAGTTTTACTGTATTACTTCTTGCTTTCAATGGATATAAAGCAGCGTCCTGGTAGGCACATTTTGTGTGCCTGCAAAGATGCAGAACTAAACAGTTCTGTCTGTTCCATATTAACACAAAAGTCCTATAAACCTTGGATGGTGAGTGTAATACTTCAGCACTAGCACCAAAGCCTCAAATATGAAAAGATACCAAGAACATCACTAGCAAAGAAAATTAAACTCTCAGCCAGGAGCAGTAGTACACATCTGTAATCCTAGTACTTTGACAAGCCAAGGTGGGAGGATTACTTGACGTCAGGAGTTCAAGACAAGCCTGGGAAGCATAGCGAATTCACATCTCTACAAAAAATTTTAAAAAACAGCTGGGCATGGTGGCACACACCTGTAGTCCTAGCTAGTCAGCAGGCTGAGGTGGGAAAACTGCTTCTGCCCAGGAGTTCGAGGCTGCAGTAGCTATGATTATGGCACTGCACTCCAGCCTGGGTGACATAGCGAGACCTAGATAATTACATTCTCTCCTGCTCCTGTTTACACAAAAATCACTAAGTTAAAAAGCTTTCAAATTTGGCAGGATAAAAATGAAGTGAAATGTGACTTTGGAGTTTGGAGGGAGAAGGAAGAAAGGAAGGAAGGAGGGAGGGAAGGAGGGAGGGAAGGAGGGAGGGAGTGAAGGGGAAAAGGAAAAAGAAAAGAAGGAAGGAAAGAAAGAAAGAAAAGGAAAAAAGGAAGGAAAGAAAGGAAAGAAAAAAGAAAGGAAAGGAAAAAAAGGAAAGGGAAGGGTAGGAAGAAAGAATAGAAAAAATAAAATGAAATGACAAATTACTTACTAGGAGAAAGTTTTTGTAACCTCAGTGACAAATAAAAAGTTTGTATCCTTAGCCTATAAAGAAATGTTTAAAATTACTCAGAAACAAAAAACAAATGATTTTCAACAAAAAATGGGCAATAGAGAAACAGGCACTACTCACAAAAATAAAAATGGCCAATAGGTATATAAAAAAGATTCAAAAGCACTAGAAATCAAGGAAATGTCATGAAAACAATGACATTTTCTGTATAAAGGCACAACGATGACAAATGGAAGGGGGAACCTGGAGCTCTGTCCCTGTTGGTGGGAGTATAAACTTAGCCACTTTTCCTGGAGGATAATTTGAAAATTTCTATTAAAGACCCTAAAAATTATTACCCTCCAGAAATTCTACTTCTATGAATTCAGTCCAAAAATGCTTGCTCGAGTCCATTAAAATGTGTATATAAGAAAATTCACCTCTGGGGTGCCAATGATTAACTTAATATACATCCAGCTATTAAAAATGATGATGCCAGGATATATTTACTGCCACAGAAATATGCCCAAAATATAGTTAGTGACAAAAGATTATCTATTATGATTCTACTTTTCAAAATGTTTACATGTATAAAAAGATATAAAAAGCAACACACCGGCTGGGCGCGGTGGCTCACGCCTGTAATCCCAGCACTTTGGCAGGCCGAAGGGGGCGGATCACGAGGTCAGGTGATCCAGACCGTCCTGGCTGACACGGTGAAACCCCGTCTCTACTAAAAATACAAAAAAAATTAGCTGGGTGTGGTGGCGGGTGCCTGTAGTCCCAGCTACTCAGTAGGCTGAGGCAGGTGAATGGCGTCAACCCGGGAGGCAGAGCTTCCAGTGAGCTGAGATTGTGCCACTGCACTCCAGCCTGGGCAATAAAGCGAGACTCCATCTCCAAAAAAAAAAAAGCAACAAACTGGAATGTTTTGAGTGGCAAATTAAAGATTTTTCTTAATATTTGTCATCCAACTTATTTTTAAAAGAATGTGATTTCCTTTGTAATCAGGGAGAAGTGTTATTTTCATTTATTTATGTTTAAATCTCTTTTTCTTATTTTTTCTCCCGTATGTATCCCATGTAGGCTAGAATCCCTTCCTCTTCAGGGAAACCAGCCTATTTTTGGGAAGTGCACTACGTAAAGCTGCCCCATCTTCATTTATTTTAAGAGATCTGGAGACATTTTTATTTCAAATTGTTTTATTGTTCTCAGAATATTTTTTTTAATATATGAAATTGAGGAAAAGACAAAGGAAAGGCTGACTCCCTACCCTACTGGGGCTACTCTTCCAATTTTTGCTGCTATTGGTTATGTATTAATATTCACTGGGTATAAAAAGATGGGCAGCCCCTTAGATCCTTTGTTCTTATCTCTTTCTCATAATCCTACTTCATTCCTCCATTCACTTATTTTTAAAAGGGTCATGTGTACAAGTACATAGTTCAGAAAATTTTTAAATATAACCATAAAAGTGTGCAGTAAAATCCCATTCACAGTCTTATACTCCTTCCACAGCCAAACACTTTTAATTGGTTTCTTATGTATCTTTTCAGAATTTATCTTTGCAAATACACATGTATATTCTTATTCTACTCTTCTCTACAACACAAAAAGTAGCATACCACACATATGATACCATTCCTTTTTCCTCTGGAGAAAAACACACACAATATATCCGGGTTCTCCTAGACGTGTACAGAGTCTTTCTCATTCTTCTTTTCATCTGCACAGTATGCATCATTTGGATGTACCACAGTTTACTTAACCAGTTCCCTGTTGGCGGACACTGAAATCATCCCTATCATACTATTTATAGGCAATAATGCCAAGCATAGCCACCTACACACACCAAGTTCATTTCTGAATCTGCCTTTGATGAAGCTTCTGTTTGAATCACCACAAGGTCACAAGGCTGAAAAGTTAGTCCCTGTTTTAGTTTTCATTATGTACAGCAGTATGTAGCAAAAGACTCCCTCGGGCAAAGCAAACATACTCTTTGGGGATTTACTTCCTAACAGTAAATGGATAAACAGAACACCAAGGAGAACCATAAAAATTAAAAATATTAGCTGAGTGTGGACCTATAGTCCTACGTACTTAGAATCATTTGAGCCTAGGAGTTTGAGGCTGTAGTGAGCTATGACTGTGCTACTGCATTCCAGCCTGGGCAACAGGGTGAGACTCCATCTCTAAAAATAAAATTTAAAAATAAATAAAGGCCAGGTGTGGTGGTTTATACCTATAATCCCAGCACTATGGGAGGGCTAGGTGGGAGAGTCACTTGGGGCCAAGAGTTCGAGACCAGTCCGGGCAACATAACGAGACTCCATCGCTACAAAAAAATTTTAAAATTAGCCCAGTGTAGTGATGCACACCTGTAGTCCCAGCTACTCTGGAGGTTGAGACAGAAGGATTGGTTGAGCCCAGGAGCTCGAGGCTGCAGTGAGCTATGATCACACTATTGCCCTCTAGCCTGGGCAACAGAGCAAGACCCTGTCTCAAATGAATGAATGAATGAATGAATGAATGAATGAATGGAATAATGGCCCATGCTCAGCAAGACACATTACTGACTTTTTAATGTGAGGGGGGGAGAAGAGGAAATAAGCCAACTAACATTTCCATAGCTGTAAAAATGAGAACTAGCCCAACAGTGTGAATGGACTGATGCCACAGAACTATACACTATTAAGTTAAAATGGTCAATTTTATGTTTTCTTTATTTATCTTACATATAACCACAAGTTTATTTTATTTTTGTCTTAAATTTTTTTAAAAAAGAGATAGGGTCTCATTAAGTTGCCTAGGCTGGTCTTCAACTCCTAAGCTCAAGCTATCCTCCTGCTTTCACCTCCCAAAGTGCTGGGATTAGAGGTGTGAGCCACCACTCCTGGCCATTGCCACAACATTAAAGAAAGAGACAGAGAACAGACCACATTCTTGACTATTAGGTAATGCAACTTTATTTCAACAAAGGAGAGTAAAGGCAATAAAATCCCACACACCTGGAAAGTTTTAAACCAGCTCACAAACAATCCTAGATGGAAGGAAAATTTTAAAAGGAGACCTGAAACAGTCTGTAACAATAACGGAAACATTACATGTCAGAACTAATGGGCTATTGCTAACACTACATCGAAAGGAAAGTTCATAGCCTTAAATGATTCAATAATGACACAAGAAAGAAACAAAGAAAATGAAGTTACAAAACAATAAAAAGCTGGGGTACAGAACTAGGGATAAAAAGCCGTTTCTCTTTCCCAATAAATAAAGACAGGGCAGTGTCTTTCCTATACCCAGCCAGTATATGATATATAATTTCATAAATGTTAACTATAAAGAATTGGACCTATAGTGGAGAGCTAACTTAACTAATAAACACATTAGCTGAATGTGATGAAGAATTCAAAGGAACTGTCAGCTGTCATCTTATTGCAGTGCTTTTAAAATTAAATGTGTCTGTCTCTTACTGTTAATGTTTTCATTATGTTTTCTATTTTACACTAATATCAATTAATCTTCCTCAAATTTATAGATGTATTCTCAGTCAACATCCCAATAGGTAAACTAAAGTTGATTTTAGAAATTACATGCAAATGAAAAAGGGCAAACATAAATTCTTGAAAAAAGATATTAATGGTAGGCCAAAACATTGCATATATTGAAAATATATATTAAAAGTAAAGACTATTAATTGAGATAGTGTGGCACAGAGATAAGTAGGCCAACACAACCAAATAGAGCCTAGAAAGAGACATGTCCATTGATGTGACAGAGGTGACACTGCAGAGCAGGGGAGAGAAGACACACTTTGACTCCGTGATATGGGGAAACTGATTATCTGTATTTATTTTTAAAATAAAAAACAGAACTAAACATAGCACCACACACAAATATAATTTTAGTCTCCATGCCTACTTTCCAACAAACAGCACCAAAATTAACATCTGAAATATATTGCAGTGTTTTAAAAATTAAATGTGTCTATCTCTTGCTGTTAATGTTTTCATTGAGTATGTTTTCTATTTTATACTTAAACATTAGTTGTTTCACATTTGTGGATTGATCTTTCCTCTAAGGGCTTCAAGGTACCTGGAATTTTTTTTTTAACACATTTTATTGTTTTAGTAATTCACTGAATCAAGAACGTAGGATTTTCATTTCTTGCAGTATGGTGGGCAAGCTACCTGGACAACCCTATCCCTCTGAAAGCAACTAAAAATACTGTATATAAAATTTGAAACAAACAAACAAACAAAAAAAAACCTTAAAAACATCTATAAAGTAGCACCAAATTCTTTTTTTTTTTTTAGATGGATTCTTCTCTGTTGCCCAGGCTGGAGTGCAGTGGCACAATGTCGGCTCACTGCAACCTCTACCTCCTGGGTTCAAGCAATTCTTCTGCCTCGGCCTCCGGAGTAGCTGAGATTACAGGCGCGTGCCACCACGCCTGGCTAATTTTTGTATTTTTAGTAGAGACGGGGTTTCACCATGTTGGACAGGCTGGTCTTGAACTCCTGACCTTTTGATCTGCCCGCCTCGGCCTCCGAAAGTGCTGGGATTACAGGTGTGAGCCACTGCACCTGGCCTATACATCTTTTTTTAACAGTGTATAACTCTAATTTATCACAGTTGACTTTCAAGTAATGATATACAAATTCATATATATGAACCTCATGTATATTAGAACTTTGTATCATAGCCTTATTTATATAATGTACATAATGATATGCAAATTCCTAAGAACCTCACACCAGAATAATCTAGCATTCTCCTTCTACCCTTCCTAATATTGTCATACATTTTATGTCTACATATGTTATAAAGCTCACAATTCGTTGTTATTTCTGCTTTAAACAGCTATGTTTGGCTGGGCATAGTGGCTCATGCTTGTCATCTCAGCACTCTGTGAGGCCAAGGCAGGAGGATTACTTGAGACCAGGAGTTCAAGATCAGCCTGGGCAACATAATGAGACCTTATCTCTATTAAAAATTAAAAAAAAATTAGCTGGGCATGGTGGCACATGTCTGTTGTCACAGCTGCTTGGGAGGCTGAGGTGGAAAGATTGCTTGAGCCTGGGAGATTGAGACTGCAGTGAGCTGTAATCCTGCCACTGTACGTCAGTGTGGGTGACACAGTGAGACCCTGTGTCTCAAAAAGAAAAACAACAGCAGCTTATGTTTAAAATAGGTTCAAAAATTAAGGAAAACAATTCATTATATTTATTCACATATTTACTTTTTTATTCTTTGTTTTTTTGTATAGATTTAATTTTCTTCTCATCATTTTTTTCTGCCTGAATAATTTCCTTCAATATTTTTGTAGTGCAATTCTGCTGGTGATGAATTTTCTCAATTTTTGTATGTAAGAATGCAGCCCGCCATGCTCGAGACCCCCTCTCCCCTCGGTGGGCTCCGACGCCGCCCGAGCCTCCCAAACAGGCGCGGCCCCCTGCTCCGCAGCGCCAGGTCCCATTGACCGCCCAAGGGCCAAGGAGTGCAGGCGCATGGTGCCGGACTGGCGGGCAGCTCCACCCACAGCCCTGGCGTGGGATCCACTAGGTGAAGCCAGGTGGGCTCCTGAGTCAGGTGTGGACTTGGAGAACTTTTATGTCTAGCCAGAGGATTGTATATGCACCAGTCAGCACTCTGTGTCTAGCTTGGGGTTCGTGGATGCACCAATCAGCAGTCTGTATCTAGCTAATCTGGTGGGGACTTGGAGAACTTTTATGTCTAGCTAAAGGATTGTAAATGCACCAATCAGCACTCTGTGTCTAGCTCAAGGTTTGCAAATGCACCAATCAGCACTCTGTCTAGCTAATCTAGTGGGGACTTGGAGAACTTTTATGTCTAGCTAAAGGATTGTAAATGGACCAGTCAGCACTCTGTGTCTAGCTTGGGGTTTGTGGATGTATCAATCAGCACTCTGTATCTAGCTAATCTGGTGGGGACTTGGAGAACTTGTGTGGCTAAAGGGTTTTAAATGCACCAATTTGTTTAGTGACCTTGTAGTTGCACAGTTAGGGAATTAGAGTTTTATAATGCCTGGGAAGGGAGAAGAGATAAGGCTCACTAGCCATAGAAAAACAGGCAGTTTCTTTTAAAGGACTCCAGCTCTTTCTCATTCTCAGGGGGAAATGGTTTTTTTTTTTTTTTTTTTTTTTTTAACATACAACTGTTTTTGCTTACACATTTTTAAATGTCTTTTAATTCCTGTTCCAATCCCAGCACCCAGAGAGGCTGAGGCAGGCACATAACTTGAGGTCAGGAGATTGAGACCAGCCTGACTAACATGGAGAAACCCCATCTCCACCAAAAAAAAAAAAAAAAAAAAAAAAAAGCAAAATTAGCTGAGCATGCCTGCAGTCCCACCCACTCGGGAGGCTGAGGCAGGAGAACCACCCAAACCCAGGAGGCAGATGCCCAGGTGAGCCAAGACCTCACCACTGCACTCCAGCTTGGTCAACAAGAGTGAAACTCTGTCAAAAAAAATAAATAAATAAATAATAAAAACATAAATAAAATAAAAAGAGTAATCTTAGTTCTCAGGAGATCTGGTTGTTAAAAAGAATCTGGCACCTCCCTCCTCTCTCTTTCTGTCTCTCTCACCATGTGATGTCTACTCCCCTTCACCTTCTGCCATGAGTGGAAGCAGCCTGAAGCCCTCACCAGAAGCAGATGCTGGCACCATGCTTCTTCTATAGCCTGCAGAACCGTTAGCCAAATAAACCTCTTTTCTTTATAAATTATCCTGCCTCAGGTATTCCTTTATAACAAAGCAAAACAGGCTAACACAGGCATTACTGGTGGGATAGGCACAGATTGATAGCCAGGTGTGGTGGCTCATGCCTGTAATCCCAGCACTTTGGGAGGCCAAGTTGGGGGGATCACTTGAGGTCAGGAGTTCAAGACCAGCCTGGCCAACATGAGGAAACCTCATCTCTATGAAAAATACAAAAATTAGCCAGGTGTGGTGGCACATGCCTGTAATCCCCAGCTACTTGGGAGGCTGAGGCAGGAGAATCACTTGAACCTGAGAGGCGGAAGTTGCAGTGAACCGATCACACCACTGCACTCCAGCCTGGGTGACAGAGCAAGACTCTGTCTCAAAAAAAAAAAAAAAAAAAGGCTTATCTAGATGTAGATTCACCTCTTGCTCCCCTCTAGTTTTCTATAAAATCACCCCAATCTGGCTCCCATCTCAATTTGTTATTTACGAGTCACTGATAACTCCATCTTACCAAATCCAAAGAAATGTCTATTTTATTATTATTATTATTATTATTATTATTATTATTATTATACTTTAAGTTTTAGGGTACATGTGCACAACGTGCAGGTTGGTTACATATGTATACATGTGCCATGTTGGTGTGCTGCACCCATTAACTCGTCATTTAGCATTAGTTATATCTCCTAATGCTATCCCTCCCCCCTCCCCCCATCCCACAACAGGCCCCAGTGTGTGATGTTCCCCTTCCTGTGTCCATGTGTTCTCATTGTTCAATTCCCACCTATGAGTGAGAACATGCAGTGGTTGGTTTTTTGTCCTTGCGATAGTTTGCTCAGAATGATGGTTTCCAGCTTCATCCACGTCCCTACAAAGGACATGAACTCATCACTTTTTATGGCTGCATAGTATTCCATAGTGTATATGAGCCACATTTTCTTAATCCAGTCTATCATTGTTGGACATTTGGGTTGGTTCCAAGTCTTTGCTGTTGTGAATAGTGCTGCAATAAACATATGTGTGCATGTGTCTTTATAGCAGCATGATTTGTAATCCTTTGGGTATATACCCAGTAATGGGATGGCTGGATCAAATGGTATTTCTAGTTCTAGATCCCTGAGGAATTGCCACACTGACTTCCACAATGGTTGAACTAGTTTACGTTATGGTACCACCAACAGTGTAAAAGTGTTCCTATTTCTCCACATCCTCTCCAGCACCTGTTGTTTCCTGACTTTTTAATGATTGCCATTCTAACTGGTGTGAGATGGTATCTCATTGTGGTTTTGATTTGCATTTCTCTGATGGCCAGTGATAGTGAGCATTTTTTCATGTGTTTTTTGGCTGCATAAATGTCTTCTTTTGAGAAGTGTCTGTTCATATCCTTTGCCCAATTTTGATGGGGTTGTTTTTTTCTTGTAAATTTGTTGGAGTTCATTGTAGATTCTGGATATTAGCCCTTTGTCAGATGAGTAGGTTGCAAAAATTTTCTCCCATTCTGTAGGTTGCCTGTTCACACTGAAGGTGGTTTCCTTTGCTGTGCAGAAGCTCTTTAGCGTAATTAGATCCCATTTGTCAATTTTGGCTTTTGTTGCCATTGCTTTTGGTGTTTTAGACATGAAGTCCTTGCCCATGCCTATGTCCTGAATGGTATTGCCTAGGTTTTCTTCTAGGGTTTTTATGGTTTTAGATCTAATATTTAAGTCTTTAATCCATCCTGAATTAATTTTTGTATAAGGTGTAAGGAAGGGATCCAGTTTCAGCTTTCTACATATGGCTAGCCAATCTTCCCAGCACCATTTATTAAATAGGGAATTGTTTCCCCATTTCTTATTTTTGTCAGATTCGTCAAAGATCAGATAGTTGTAGATATGCAGCATCATTTCTGAGGGCTCTGTTCTGTTCCATTGGTCTATATCTCTGTTTTGGTACCAGTACCAAAACAGAGTTACTGTAGCCTTGTAGTATAGTTTGAAGTCAGGTAGTGTGATGCCTCCAGCTTTGTTCTTTTGGCTTAGGATTGACTTGGCAATGAGGGCTCTTTTTTGGTTCCATATGAACTTTAAAGTAGTTTTTTCCAATTCTGTGAAGAAAGTCATTGGTAGCTTGGTGGGGATGGCATTGAATCTATAAATTACCTTGGGTAGTATGGCCATTTTCACAATATTGATTCTTCCTACCCATGAGCATGGAATGTTCTTCCAATTGTTTGTATCCTCTTTTATTTCATTGAGCAGTGGTTTGTAGTTCTCCTTGAAGAGGTCCTTCACATCCCTTGTAAGTTGGATTCCCAGATATTTTATTCTCTTTGAAGCAATTGTGAATGGGAGTTCACTCATGATTTGGCTCTCTGTTTGTCTGTTATTGGTGTATAAGAATGCTTTGTGATTTTTGCACATTGATTTTGTATCCTGAGACTTTGCTGAAGTTGCTTATCAGCTTAAGGAGATTTTGGGCTGAGACAGTGGGGTTTTCTAGATATACAATCATGTTATCTGCAAACAGGGACAATTTGACTTCCTCTTTTCCTAATTGAATGCTCTTTATTTCTTTCTCCTGCCTGATTGCCCCGGCCAGAACTCCCAACACTATGTAGAATAGGAGTGGTAAGAGAGGGCATCCCTGTCTTGTGCCAGTTTTTGAAGGGAATGCTTCCAGTTTTTGCCCATTCAGTATGATATTGGCTGTGGGTTTGTCATAAATAGCTCTTATTATTTTGAGATACGTCCCATCAATACCTAATTTATTGAGAGTTTTTAGCATGAACGGCTGCTGAATTTTGTCAAAGGCCTTTTCTGCATCTATTGAGATAATCATGTTGTTTTTGTCTTTGGTTCTGTTTATATACTGGATTACGCTTATTGATTTGTGTATGTTGAACCAGCCTTGCATGCCAGGGATGAAGCCCACTTGATCATGGTGGATAAGCTTTTTGATGTGCTAATGGATTCGGTTTGCCAGTATTTTATCGAGGATTTTTGCATCGATGTTCATCAGGGATATTAGTCTAAAATTCTCTTTTTTGCGTGTGTCTCTGCCAGGCTTTGGTATCAGGATGATGCTGGCCTCATAAAATGAGTTAGGAAGGATTCCCTCTTTTTCTATTGATTGGAATAGTTTCAGAAGGAATGGTACCAGCTTCTCCTTGTACCTCTGGTAGAAATTAGCTGTGAATCCGTCTGGTCCTGGACTTTTTTTGTTTGGTAGCCTATTAATTATTGCCTCAATTTCAGAGCCTGGTATTGGTCTATTCAGAGATTCAGCTTCTTCCTGGTTTAGTCTTGGGAGGGTGTATGTGTCCAGGAATTTATCCATTTCTTCTAGATTTTCTGGTTTATTTGTGTAGAGGTGTTTATAGTATTCTCTGATGGTAGTTTGTATTTCTGTGGGATTGGTGGTGATATCCCCTTTATCATTTTTTATTGCGTCTATTTGATTCTTCTCTCTTTTCTTCTTTATTAGTCTTGCTAGCAGTCTATCAATTTTGTTGATCTTTTCAAAAAACCAGCTCCTGGATTCATTGATTTTTTGAAGGGTTTTTGGTGTCTCTATCTCCTTCAGTTCTGCTCTGATCTTAGTTACTATTTCTTGCCTTCTGCTAGCTTTTCAATGTGTTTGCTCTTGCTTCTCTAGTTCTTTTAATTGTGATGTTAGGGTGTCAATTTTGGATCTTTCCTGCTTTCTCTTGTGGGCATTTAGTGCTATAAATTTCTCTCTACACACTGCTTTAAATGTGTCCCAGAGATTCTGGTATGTTGTGTCTTTATTCTCACTGGTTTCAAAGAACACCTTTATTTCTGCCTTCATTTCATTATGTACCCCATAGTCATTCAGAAGCAGGTTGTTCGGTTTCCATGTAGTTGAGCGGTTTTGAGTGAGTTTCTTAATCCTGAGTTCTAGTTTGATTGCACTGTGGTCTGAGAGACAGTTTGCTATAATTTCTGTTCTGTTACATTTGCTGAGGAGTGCTTTACTTCCAATTATGTGTTCAATTTTGGAATAAGTGTGATGTGCTGAGAAGAATGTATATTCTGTTGATTTTGGGGTGGAGAGTTCTGTAGATGTCTATTAGGTCTGCTTGGTGCAGAGCTGAGTTCAGTTCCTGGATATCCTAGTTAACTTTCTGTCTCATTGATCTGTCTAATGTTGACAGTGGGGTGTTAAAGTCTCCCATTATTATTGTGTGGGAGTCTAAGTCTCTTTGTAGGTCTCTAAGGACTTGCTTTATGAATCTGGGTGCTCCTGTATTGGGTGCATATATATTTAGGATAGTTAGCTCTTCTTGTTGAATTGATCCCTTTACCATTATGTAATGGCCTTCTTTGTCTCTTTTGATCTTTGTTGGTTTAAAGTCTATTTTATCAGAGACGAGGATTGCAACCCCTACCTTTTTTTGTTTTCCATTTGCTTGGTAGATCTTCCTCCATCCCTTTATTTGGAGCCTATGTGTGTCTCTGCATGTGAGATGTATTTCCTGAATACAGCACACTGAGTCTTGACTCTTTATCCAATTTGCCAGTCTGTGTCTTTTAATTGGAGCATTTAGCCCATTTACATTTAAAGTTAATATTGTTATGTGTGAATCTGATACTGTCATTATGATGTTAGCTGGTTATTTTGCTCGTTAGTTGATGCAGTTTCTTCCTAGCATCAATGGTCTTTTCAATTTGGCATGTTTTTGCAGTGACTGTACCAGTTGTTCCTTTCCACATTTAGTGCTTCCTTCAGGAGCTCTTGTAGGGCAGGTCTGGTGGTGGCAAAATCTCTCAGCATTTGCTTGTCTGTAAAGGATTTTATTTCTCCTTCACTTATGAAGATTAGTTTCACAGGATATGAAATTCTGGGTTGAAAATTCTTTTCTTCAAGAATGGTGAATATTGGCCCCCACTCTCTTCTGGCTTGTAGAGTTTCTGCTGAGAGATCAGCTGTTAGTCTGATGGGCTTCCCTTTGTGGGTAACCTGACTTTTCTCTCTGGATGCCCTTAACATTTTTTCCTTCATTTCAACTTTGGTGAATCTGACAATTATGTGTCTTGGAGTAGCTCTTCTCAAGGAGTATCTTTGTGGTGTTCTCTGTATTTCCTGAATTTGAATGCTGGCCTGCCTTGCTAGGTTGGGGAAGTTCTCCTGGATAATATCCTGCAGAGTGTTTTCCAACTTGGTTTCATTCTCCCCCTCACTTTCAGGTACACCAATCAGACGTGGATTTGGTCTTTTCACATAGTCCCATATTTCTTGGAGGCTTTGTTTGTTTCTTTTTATTCTTTTTTCTCTAAGCTTCTCTTCTCCCTTCATTTCATTCATTTGATCTTCAATCACTGATACCCTTTCTTCCAGTTGATCGAATCAGCTACTGAAGCTTCTGTATTCGTCACGCAGTTCTTGTGCCATGGTTTTCACCTCCATCAGGTCATTTAAGGACTTCTCTGCACTGGTTATTCTAGTTAGCTATTCGTCTAATCTTTTTTCAAGGTTTTTAACTTCTTTGCAATGGGTTCAAACTTCCTCCTTTAGCTCAGAAAAGTTTGATCATCTGAAGCCTTCTTATTTCAACTCGTCAAAGTCATTCTCCATCCAGCTTTGTTCCATTGCTCGTGAGGAGCTGCGTTCCTTTGGAGGAGGAGAGGTGCTCTGATTTTTAGAATTTTCAGTTTTTCTGCTCTGTTTTTTCTCTATCTTTGTGGTTTTATCTACCTTTGGTCTTTGATGATGGTGACATACAGATGGGGTTTTGGTGTGGATGTCCTTTCTGCTCAGTTTTTCTGCTCTGTTTTTTCTCTATCTTTGTGGTTTTATCTACCTTTGGTCTTTGATGATGGTGACATACAGATGGGGTTTTGGTGTGGATGTCCTTTCTGCTTGTTAGTTTTCCTTCTAACAGTCAGGACCCTCAGCTGCAGGTCTGTTGGAGTTTGCTGGAGGTCCACTCCAGACCCTGTTTGCCTGGGTATCAGCAGCGGAGGCTGCAGAACAGCAAATATTGCTGAACAGCAAATGTTGCTGCCTGATCATTCCTCTGGAAGTTGCGTCTCAGAGGGGTACCTAGCTGTGTGAGGTGTCAGTCTGCTCCTACTGGGGGGGTGCCTCCCAGTTTGGCTACTCGGAGGTCAGGGACCCACTTGAGGAGGCAGTCTGTCCGTTCTCAGATCTCAAACTCCATGCTGGGAGAACCACTACTCTCTTTAAAGCTGTCAGGGACATTTAAGTCTGCAGAGGTTTCTGCTGCCTTTTGTTCGGCTATGCCCTGCCCCCGGAGGTGGAGTCTACAGAGGCAGGCAGGCCTCCTTGAGCTGCAGTGGGATCCACCCAGTTCGAGCTTCCCGGCCGCTTTGTTTACCTACTCAAGCCTCACCAATGGCAGGCGCCCCTCCCCTAGCCTCGCTGCTGTCTTGCAGTTTGATCTCAGACTGCTGTGCTAGCAATGAGCGAGGCTCCGTGGGCATGGGACCCTCTGAGCCATGCATGGGATATAATCTCCTGGTGTGCCATTTGCTAAGACCATTGGAAAAGCACAGTATTAGGGTGGGAGTGACCTGATTTTCCAGGTGCCATCTGTCACAGCTTTGCTTGGCTAGGAAAGGGAATTCCCTGACCCCTTGCACTTCCCGGGTGAGGCGATGCTTCGCCCTGCTTCGGCTCATGCTCGGTGTGCTGCACCCACTGTCTGACAAGCCCCAGTGAGATGAACCCGGTACCTCAGTTGGAAATGCAGAAATCACCTGTCTTCTGCGTCGCTCACGCTGGGAGCTATAGACTGGAGCTGTTCCTATTCGGCCAACTTGGAACTGCCCCACCAATTTGATTTCAATGATATTTGCACCGATGCTATATTTTCTGAGAATTCATTAAGTTGTACAGTTATGTTGTGATTTCTAGAGGTATGCAATACTTCAGTAAGAAACTTTGAAATATTTTGACTTTGTCTTGTTGGCTTTGCTTTGTAGTAGGTTTTGCAGTGTGACTGTAAGGTGGCTACTTGGAATATATTTGATGTTAAAAAGCTGTTACTTTATAACAAAACATAAACAAGCAGGAACTGAGCACATGGACATGTAGTTTTATATACTTGCACCATTTAGATTAGTCCGACCATTATGATTCACTCTTAGTACAAATTTAACATTAAATTAAAATCAGTGGTGTTTATTCCTAGAGGCCTGATTATAATCAGCAAAATAATTCATGCTAAAAGCTGCAAGATTGCAAGGTAAGCATCAATATTTTACAAGAAACCATGGAGAATACTATCCAAGGAGTCACCATGACTAGTTAGGCAGAGGACACATAGAAGCAGAAGGAAGAAAACTTTCCAAATATCAAGAAATAAAAACAAAACGATGATAAAGCTGGCTTTTTCAAAGGGCTTCTCAGTGGTGTACTGGGTTGGCCCCAGAGGGACTTTGGCAAATCTAGTCCTCAAAAGTAAAATGAGAGAAAATGACCATTGATGAAGGGCATGAAATTGCATTTTGTATGGAAATATTCATAACTGTCCTCTGTTCAGGCCCTATTATGTTCCATTTCAGTGTTGCGGATACCTTGTTTCATTCATTCATACCACCATTTTATAACTGCAGAAACTAAGGCTTGGCAAGTTAAACTACTTGGTTCAGGAACCCCAGCAGGCCAGAGAAGGGTGATAAGTCAGACTCAGGATGTTCTGACTGGCTTCAGCAAACTGCACAGAAACACATGGGCTCCCTGCTACTCCTATGGGTCCTGATTACAATCTGCCTCCCTGAGGCGGCTGCTTCCACCTTCTCCCCACGGGGTGGCCACCCTCCAAGATAGCCCCCAAGGATCCTTCTGTGTGGCCCCCTCCACTTTGTACTAGGGTTAGTCTGTATGACCGATGGATTATAGCCCATGTGATGGGATGTCACTTCCGAGATTACTCCATGACAGACTGTGGCTTCCATCGTAAGCTGTCTCTTTACCTCTCTCTGATCACTTGCTCTGAGGGAAGTCAACTGATGCCTTACGAGGTTGCCCAGGCAGCCAGGGAAGAGGCTGTGGTGAGGCTCTGAGGTCTCCTGCTGACCGCCAGTGAAGAACTGAGGCCACCAGCAGCCCTGCGAGTGGGGATGGAAGAAGGTCCTGCAGCCCCAGCTGGACTGCAACCTCGAGAAGGACCGTGAGCCAGTTACGCCACGCTTGGATTTATGAGCCTCAGAAATGGTGTAAGAAATATATGATGGTTATCTTAGGCTGCTAAATTTTGGGATGATTTTGTATGCGGCAATAGATGACTAGTACACCACAATATCAGACTTTGACTAAACATTACTGATTAAAAAAAAAAAAAAAAAAAAGAACTGCAATGGAATGACATACAAATGCACTAGAATGGCTAAAGTTAAAAAGACTGACAACACTAAACATCAAAGATGATGGAGCAAGCAGGACTCTCGTATGTTGTTACAGTGGGAGTATAAAACAATATGAACACAATTGAAAAGGCCTAGCAGTTTCTGTAATACTCAACATACCTCTGCCTATGACCCCGGCTACATCTACCTGGGATCCAGAGAGTTCACTAATAGGTGTTTACCCAAGAAAAACAAAGCCACATCTCCATAAAAAGACTTTTACAGAAATGTCTGTAGTAGCTTTACTGATAGTAGCCAAAGCCAGAAACCACCCAGATACCCATCAAATAGTGATGGATAAAAAAAAAACTGTGGTATAGCCACACAATGAAACACTACTTAGCACACTTCATTCTTTCTTCAAAAGAAATGAACTGCTAATATACTCAACATAGATGAATTTCAGAAATGTGCTTGGTGGAAAAACCAGACACAAACCTTGCACACTGTACACTTTCATTTATACGAGGTTATGGAACAAGCAAAATCAATCTAGGAATGCAAAAAAAAAAATTGAGAACAATGGTTGCTGAGGGGTGGGCTGAGGTGGGGAGGGGTTTTGACCAAGAAAAGAAGTGAGGAAACTTTTTGAAAGCAAGGTAGTGTTTGATTTTTTTATTACAGTTTCAGACACAAGGTTTGTCTATTCGTCAAAACCTATTAATGGCATACCTAAGTCTTGTGCATTTCACTGAACATAGATTTTACCATAAAGAAGAACCAAAAACATATTGCACTCCAGTTAATAATAGCCAGGCAGAAACATTTAAGGTGAAACATAAGCTACATATCTGCAACTTAACTTGAAATATATAAAAAATTAGATGAATTGATGGATTCATGGAAGAATGGATAGATGGATAGGTACATATATGTGATAAAGAAAGTAGGGTAAAATGTTAATTGTAGAATCTAGGTGGTGGGTACATGGTGTTCACTGAGCAATTCTTTCATCTTTTGCATGTTTGAAAAATTTAATAGTATACTAGTGGGGAAAATATTTGAGAGTGGTGAGTTCTGTGTGTGCGTGGAACTATCTGTAACTTGGAGGAGCTAGAAAAATCCATTTGGACAATGTGTTCATGGACTCAGAAAATCAGAATATAATTTTTTTGAGGCAGGGTCTCACTGTGTTGTCCAGGCTGGATTGCAGTGGTGCAATCATAGCTCACTGCAGCCTTGACCTCCTGGGTTCAAATGATTCTCCTGCATCAGCCTCCTCAGTAGCCAGGACTACAGGTGTGAGCCACCATACGTGGTTAATTTTTGCATTTTTAGTAAAGACAGGGTCGTACTATATTGCCCAGGCTAGGCTCCAACTCCTCGCCTCAAGTGATTCTCCTGCCTTGGCCTCCCAAAGTGCTGGAATTACAGGCGTGATCCACTGCACCTGGCTTGTATTTGTTTTAAACCAATTTTGATCTCTATCTTGGAGGCAGATCCAGTTCATTAGAGATCATTCCTGTGGATGCCTCTTCAACTTCTACACTACATATTCATTTCTCACCTTAGACCCTTCAGATGATCCACTGCAGTGAATTCTTACAATGTTATGCTTTCTTGGTACCTATTTTGAATATATGTTGGACTTTCTCATACCAGAAGCAGGGCTTAGTCATCCTTGAAAGTTTCCACGTCTCCACCTCTTCCCAGGCCCTCAAAATGGTCGATCCAGAGATGTGCCTTATATAGCTGCCTCCTGGTGACCAAGTCCCTAAGGGACAGCTAGATGCAACCTACTTGACCCACCCTGCAGACCCTCACACCCGGCATGGACTGCCCAGATATGCTGCCATGACCACCTCTCCCTCACAACATGGCCTCCCGTAACTTGTGCCTACCTGATCTAAGCCAACGAATTACAACTTCTTGGGAACCTGCTGGGGTGATGGCCTGGACCCCATAAAGGCTTCAGCTCTCAGGGCCCACACTCCATCTCTCTTGCTCCCCACCTGCTGGCGAGCACAAGGGTCCTGACGGCTCCCCCAGTCCAGCGTGCTGCCCTCTTCTCTCTGGACCTGCGAGGAACTCACTGCTTCTGGTATTTCATGGGTTTTGTTGAGTGGCCTCCTCTGTGTCTCACTTGACCAACACACCTGATCCTAACTTCTTTCCAAATTCAGAACTCTCCTGAAGAGTGGCTATCTTGGTAGGCTAAATAAATAAATACACCAGACACAGACAAGAGACTCAAGGGTATCTAAGAGGGTAAACAAGTTTCTCATGAGAGACCTGGGCACAGGTCAGACACAGGGATTCTGCCATCCACCAGGATAAAGAAGTACCCCGTGAAGGCACATCATAAACATGCACAACCACCTCCCCTGGAGCCCCATCAGGGCAGGGCTGGAGTTCACAGCCACTCTACAGAGAGAGGGAGACCTCAAAAGCAAACTAAAAGGAGAAAAATGCAACCCCCTCTCTCTGCCATTGCTGACAAAAGCCAGTCTATGGCAGTTTCCACAAAGCACGCAAACCAGCCATGACCTCGCATCGGGTCTTCCTTGGCGTCTCCTCTTCCACGACGTTTCTCTACACACACTCTTCCCAGGGCACCTGGACCTACTCCCTGCCTTTACACAGCATATACGTCCCTGCCAGCACGCCACGGCGCATGCTCTGTGTTCTGCCCGGATGTTCTCCACCCGTCTCCACCCACCATGCCTCTGTCTGTCAAGGCCCTCCTTCACGGAGCTCCGTGCATGCTCATGGTCGGAGTTCCCTCCTCATCCCTCCAGGTCTCTCTTCCTACAGGCTTCTCCCGGCACAGTGCCCATTTGCCCTGTATACAGCAGGCAATGTTCCTGCAGGTCTGCACCAGGGCATGAGTGACGATGACAGCGATGGAGTCCTATTCCCCTGTGCTTCACAGAGCAGGGGCCGCCCCACACAGAAACCACCCAAGGCTTCCCCAGTGTCCTCGCCTCGGTTTGGGGCCCTTTTTTCCTGAAGGTTTCCATCGGGCTCTGAGTGAAACCTTTAACCAAAGGGAGTGTGAAGCAGGACAAAAGGACAGCAAGCTTTCCTCAAGGTTAGGACCCTGGGGATGCAGACAGGACTCTTCCCACCTTCTGGAACCTGCCTCTGGCACCCAACCATTCCCAGTCTTACTGGATGTGACAGGAAGAAAATCAGCTCTAACTTCAGTTCCACCTTTAACTCCAAAGACACCGTCAGCAAGTCCTAGGTCCTTAGTGGTTCTTGGTTTCTGCCTTCTAAAGCGAGGGGTTTGAGCCCCTCCAAGTCTGTGATCAGAGCTTTTAAACCCCAAGCAAAGCTCCCTTCATAGTCCTTCTTGGCAAGTTTTGACCCACTGCTAGTCCTTCCCTATCTAGAAAGACTCTCCTTTGTTTTGACCCCAAGTAGCCCCCATTTCCTCTTAGGAAAACCTGGTACTAAATACGGCACTACCTTGGCACTCCTGGGACCTACAGGTCACCTTGCTCACTGCCCTCAATTTTACAGATGAGAAAACAGAGAGCAGAAGATCAAGAAATTTGTTGAAGACTGCACAGTAAATTAGTAAGGCCTAGGGCTAGCGGAGCAAATAATATTTCCTGCCTGAAAACACAAAGACCTCCCATCCAAACATCCTTCCCAGCAGCCAATGGAACCAGGCGGGGAGAGACCTGGGGGCAGAGAGCCCCGACACCGCCTTGCCGCTGCACTGAGGATGGCGCCTGGTGCTTCCAGGGAGAGTGTGTGAAGGCGCTAACTCCAACCTGGATGTTTCAGAAAGCAGACAGTGGGGCATGTACTACAACTCTCTTATTCAACATAAAAGAATGCAAATGATAAAATTCTAAGATGCCTAAGTGGGGTTTGAAAAAGTCGATGTAACTGGAGGTTAAATGTGACATGTGAAACCCACAAGCAAGTGAAGATCTGAAAACTGTCTTGTTAATTCACTTCAGGCTGCACAGTTTTTGCAGGGACAGCTGTGGCTACAAACGTGGGCCATGTGGGAAGGGCACTCTCCCTGCACTGTCACCTGCATGCCCAGGATTGACAAGGAGAGCCACTGCCCCCCACCTGCCGGCTGGTCTCCAGCAGCATGAAAACAGGGGGCGTGGCAGTTCCTGCCATAAAGAGGAAAATGATACACTTTATCCCAGATGCCAGGTGCTGTCTGCATCAGTCCTTTTAAAAATTTAATCGCTTTATACAATTGACACCAAATAAAATGCACATATTTAAAGTTTACAATTTGAGAAGCTGACACGTGTCCATACAGACACACCTCATTTTACTGTGCTTTACTGTATTGCCCTTTGAAGATACTGCATTTTCTTTTTACAAATTAAAGGTTTGTGGCAACCCTGTGCTGAGCAAGTTTATTGGCATCATTTTTCAAACAGCATGCACTCACTGTGCATCTCTGTGTCACATTTTGGGAATTCTCACAGTATTTCAAACTTTTCCATTAGGATTATATTTGTTATAGTGACCTGTGCTCAGTGATCTTTGATGTTACTGTTGTAATTACAACAGTTCTGGTTCTGGGGCACCACGAACCACACCCACACATACCGATGAACTTAATAAACGTTGTGTGTGTTCTGACTGCTCCACTGACCAGTGATTCTCCGGTCTCCCTCTCCTCAGGCCTCCGTATTCCTTGAGACACAACATATTAAAGTTAGGCTATTAACAACCCTAAAATGTCAAGTTGTTCAAATGGAAAAAAAAAAAAAGAATAGAAAAGTTAGAAGCTAGCAGAGGTTGGTTCATGAGGTTTAAGGAAAAAAGCCATCTTCAATAACATAAAAGTTTTATGTTATAGCACTGGGGAAGTGGCAAGTGCTGATGGAGAAGCTGCAGCAAGATCTCTAGATCTTAGAAGATCTAGTTAACATCGCTGATTAAGGTGGCTACACTATACAACAGATGTTCAATGTAGACAACACAGCCGTCTATTGGAAGAAGATGTTATCTAGGCTAGATGAGAATAAGTCTCTGCCTGGCTTCAAAGCTTCTACAGACAGGGACAATTGTAGCTGGTGACTTTAAGTTGAAACAAATGCTCATTTATCATTCTGAAAGTTCTAGTGCCCTTAAGAATGACACTAAATCTACTCTTCCTGTGCTCTATAGGAACAAAGAAGCCTGGGCACAGCACATCTGTTGATACCTTGGTTTACTGAATATTTTAAGCTCATTGCTGAGACATGCTGCTCAGAAAGAAAGATTTCTTTCAAAATATTACTGCTCATTTGACAATGCACCTAGTTACCCAAGAGCTCTGATGAAGATGTTCAAGATCAATGTTTTCATGTCTGCTAATACAACATCCATTCTGTACTCCACGGATCAAGGAGTAATTTTGACTTGCAACTCTTATTACTTAAGAAATACATTTTATAAGGCTATAACTGCCATAGACAGTGATTCCTCTGATAGATCTGGGCAAAGTACATTGAAAACCTTCTGGAAAGGATTCACAACTCTAGAAGTCAATAAGAACATCTATGATTCATGGGAGGAGGTCAAATTATCGACATTAACAGGAGGTTGTAAGAAGTGGATTCCAACTCTCATGGATGACTTTGTGGGGTCCAAGACTTCAGTGGAAGAATTAACTGCAGATGTCGTGGAAGAGAACTGGAATTAGAAGTGGAGTCTGAAGATGTGACTAAATTGCTACAATCTCAAGTTGGGGAGTTGCTTCTTATGGATGAGCAAAGGAAGTGGTTTCTTGAGATGGAATCTGCTCCCGGTAAAGATGCTGTGAACATTGCTGAAATGACAAAAAGGATTTAGAAATTACAAAATGCATTTGATAAAGCAGCAGCAAGGTTTCAGAGGACTGAGTTCAATTTTGAAAGAAGTTCCACTGTGGGTAAAATGCTATCAAATAGCATCACACATGCTACAGAGAAATCTTTCATGAGAGGAAGAGTCAATTAAATGCATCAAACTTCATGATTGTCTTATTTTAAAAAATTGTCACAGCCACCCCAACCTTCAGCAATCACCACCCTGATCAGTTAGCAGCCATAAACATTGAGGCAAGACCCTCCACCAGCAAAAAGATTATGACTCACTGAAGGCTCAGATGATTGTTAGCATTTTTGGCAATAAAGTATTTTTTCAAATCAAGTTATGTACTTTTTTAGATATAATGCTATTGAACACTTAGTAGACTACAGAATAGTATAAACATAACTTTTTTTTTTGAGACAGGGTCTTGCTCTGTCACCCAGACTGGAGTAGAGTGGCACTATTTCTACTCACTGCAACCTCTGTCTCCTCAACTCAAGCAATCCTCCCACCTCAGCCTCCCCAGTAGCTGGGACTACAGGCATGCACCACCAAACCAGGCTGATTTTTGTAGGGTTTTTTTTTTTTTTTCTCAATAGAGACGAGGTCTCACCATGCTGCCCAAGCTGGTCTGGAACTCCGGGCTCAAGCTATCCATCCTCCTTGGCTCTCAAAGTGTTGGGACTACAGGTGTGAGCCACTGTGCCTAGCCAACATAATTTCTATATGCACTAGAAAACCAAAAAATTCATGTGACTTGCTTTATTGCTATATTTATTGCAGTGGTCTGGAACTGAATCTGCAATACCTCTGAGGTCTGTTATCACCGCAAGATACCATACATATCTACCACTCTCAAAAGATTGCTCAGGCCAGGCGCGGTGGCTCACGCCTATAATCCCAGCGCTTTGGGAGGCTGAGGTGGGCGAATCATGAGGTCAGGAGATCAAGACCATCCCGGCTAACACAGTGAAACCCCATCTCTACTAAACTACAAAAAATTAGCCAGGCATGGTGGCGGACGCCTGTAGTCCCAGCTACTCAGGAGGCTGAGGCAGGAGAATGGCATGAACCCAGGAGGCAGAGCTTGCAGTGAGACGAGGTCGCACCACCGCACTCCAGCCTCCCTCTAAAAAAAAAAAAAAAAAAAAAAAAAAAAATTCCTCAGCTGCTTTGTAATCCCCACTGCTCACTGCTGCCCTCAGCCCTATCTGAGGCAATCACTGACCTGCATTCCATCGCTATAGATCACTATGCATTTCCTAGACTTTACATAAGTGGAATTGCACAACATGTAGTTTTTTTTTTGTCTCACTTCTTTCACTTCATGTAATTATTTTGAGAGTCATCACTGTTGTTGCACGTTATCAATAATTCACTCCTTTGGATTGAGAGCCGAGTAGCATTCCAGTGTATGTATCTACCACCATTTGTTTACCTGTTTACCTGTGATGGGCATTTAGGTTGCTTCCAGTTTTTTAGCCCTCACTAAGAATGCTAAAAACATCTGTGTACAAGCTTTGCTATGGGCAAAGGCTTTCGGTTTTCTTAAGTAAATAAATAGGAGTAAAATTTGCTGGATTGTACACTAGGTACATGTCTAATTTTGAAGAACTTGCTGAATTGTTTTCTAAAGTGGCTGCACCACTTTCCATTCAAAACCAGCAGCGTACAAATTTACCAGTTTTTCCACATCCTTGCTGAGATTTGGTATGCTCAGTATTGTTGGTTTTAGTCATTCTCATAGGTGTGTAGTGCTATCTCATTCTGGCTTTAAGTTATATTTCCCTAAGGATTAATGATGTTGAGCGTCTTTTCACCTGCTTATTTGCTATCCATGTATCTTCTTTGGTGAAGTCTGTTCAAAGCTTTTGCTTATTTTTAATTGGATAGTTTTTACAAAAATAATTGAGTCATGAGAGCTCTTTACATATTTTAGAAACAAGTACTTTACCACATATATGATTTGCAGTACTTTCTTCCAACTTGTAGTTTATCTGTTCATTCTCTTAGCACTATCCTCAAAAAGCAGTTTAAGTTTTAAATGAAGTCCAATTTATTAATTTTTTCTTTTATGGATTGTTCATGGGGTATTGTCTCTAGAAAATCTTTTCCTAAGACAAGGTTAAAAAGATTTTCTCATGAATTAATGGCATTTGAGCGACCTGGATGAGACTGGAGACTATTATTCTAAGTGAAGTAACTCAGGAATGGAAAACCAAACATCGTATGTTCTGACTTATAAGTGGCAGCTAAGCTATGAGGATGCAAAGGCAGAAGAATGACACAATGGACTTTGAGGACTCAGGGATAAAAGACTACAAATAGGGTTCAGTGTATACTGCTTGGGTGATGGGTGCACCAAAATCTCACAAATCCCCACTAAAGAACTTACTCATGTAACCAAACACCACCTGTATGCCAATAATCTAAGGAAATAAAAAAAATAATAAAAATAAAATAAAAAGATTTTCTCCTGTGTTTTTTTCTAGAAGACTTTTTTAGCTTTAGGTTTTATATTTAGGGATACCATCCATTTTAAGGTAATTTTTGCATATGAGTGAGATGTAAACCAAAGTTCACTTCTTTTGCATATATAAATCCAATTATCCCACAATTTGTTGAAAAGATGATTTTTTTGCACTGAATTACTTTTGTATCCTTATTGAAGATCAGTTGTCCACATATGTAAACTGTTTCTTAACTTTCCAATTTGTTTCATTGATCTAATTCTCTACATTAAAAAAACTACTTTACTGTATATATTAAGGTATATGATATGATGTTCTGATACACTTATACATAGTGAAATGGTTATTATAGTCAAGCACATTAGCTTATTCATCATTTCACGGTTACCCCTTTGTGCATATGTGTGTGTATGTCTGTGAGTGGTAAGAGCAAATTTTCTAGTACACTATGCAATATTATTAATGATAGTCCTCATGTTGAACATTTGATCAATATCACAGTTTTGATTACTGTACTCTTATGAGTTTTAATATCAGGTATTGTCAGACTTCTGATATAGTTTGGCTCTATGTCCCCACCCAAATCTCACTTTGAATTGAAATCCCCATAATCTCCACGTGTCAAGGGCAGGACTGAGTGGAGGTCATTGGATCATGGGGGCAGTTTCCCCCATGCTGTTCTTGTGAATAATGAGTGAGTCTCACAAGATCTGAAGGTTTTATAAGTGTCTGGCATCTCCCCTGCTTGCACTCACTCCGTCCTGCTGCCCTGTGAAGAAGGTGCCTGCTTCTCCTTTGTCTTCCACCATGACTGTAAGTTTCCTGAGGCCTCCCCAGTAATGTGGAACTGTGAGTCAACTAAGCCTCTTTCCTTTATAAATTACCCAGTCTTGGGTATCTCTTCATAGCAATGTGAGAACTAATACGCCTTCTAACTTTATTCCAATTTTTCAAAGTTTGTTTTGTTTATTCTCTATCCTTGGATTTATGTATGGATTTTAAAGTCAACTTGTTAATTTCTACATAAAAAGCTGGTTTGGATTGTTATTGAGATCGTACTGAATTTAAAGCGATCTGGGGAGAACCAACATCTTAACAATATTGAGTCTTTTGACCCTGTATATGGTACACTTAACCCTTTATTTAGGTTTTTCATCTCTTTAAGCAATCTTTTGAAGTTTCAGTTGTAAATTTATTCACATTTTATATTTTTGGATGCTACTGAATAAAGTATTTTTAAAATTTATTTTTAAAAATAATGCAATTATTCATTGCAATTGTAAAAATGCAACTGACCTCTCTATATTGATTTTCTATCTTACAACACTGCTAACTTCACTTACTAGTTCCAAAAAATGCTTTTAAATTCCATTAGATATTCTACATATGTCATCATGTCACCTGTGAATAAAGATAGTTTGCTTCTTCTTTTCCAATCTGGATGCTTTTTAATTATAATTTATTGTTTGACTGCACTGGCTAGAATGTCCAGGAAAATGTTGGATAGAAGTGGTGAAAGAGGGCATCCTTATTTCCCTCTTGATCTTTGGGGAAAAGCTTTCTTTCATCACTAGGTGTCAGGTTAGCTGTAGGCTTTTTTGTAAATACTTTATATAAGATTGAGGAGGTTTTCTTCTATTCCTAGTTTTCTGAGTGTTTTCTAAAAATCAAGAACGAATGTGGATTTTACCAAAGGCTCTTTCTGCATTTACTGAGATGATTGTATACCTTCTGTTTCTCAGTATATTAATATGGAAAATTATGTTGATTGGTTTTTGAATGTTAAACTAGTTTTGCATTCTTGGGATAAAACCCACTTAGTCATGATGTAGTATCCTTTTTATATAATGCCAAATTCGATTTGCTAAAATTTTTTTCAGTATTTTCACACTTTTCTTCATGAGGAATATTTGTCTGTAGTCTTTCTTGGTTTTGTATTAGGGTAATGCTGGCGCAAAGAATGAATGAGTTGAGAAGTACAAACCCTTTTCAATTTCCTGGAAGAGCTGGTAAAATTTTTCCTTTATATGTGTGGTAGAATTTACCAATGAAGCTATAGATGCTTGCAGTTATCTTTGTGAGAAAGTTTTAAACTACAACTTAGATTTCATTAATAAACATAGAGCTATTCAAATCATTTATTTTTTTTCTTGTATAGGCTTTGGTATTTTGTACCTTTCAAATAATTTGTGAATTTCATTTAACTTGCTGCATTTATTGGCATAGAATTGTTTATAATATTCCTTTATAATCCTTTTAATATCTTGAGAATCTGTACTGAGGTCATCTCTTTCATTCTTGATATTGTTAATTTGTATCTTCTTTTTCCTCTGATTATGTGGCTATGGGTTTATCAATTTTATTGATCTCAAAGACCCCACTTTTGGTTTCACTGACTTTCTCTACTATTTTTCCATTTACTATTTCATTGTTTTTTGTTCTGGTCTTTATTATTTCATTTCTTCTGTCTGGGTTTAATTTATTTTTCCATTTAGTATTTCATTGTTTTTTGTTCTGGTCTTTATTATTTCATTTCTTCTGTCTGGGTTTAATTTGCTTTTTTTTTTTCTAGTTTTCAAGATAAAAATTAAGGTAACTGATTTGAGGCCCTGCTTCTTTTCTAATAGAGGTGTTTAACTTATACATTTTCTTAGAGGTACTGTTTCCTTGAATCATTTTTTCCTATTGTTCATGCCTCTCCTTCAAGGATTCCAATTACACTTATTTTAGGCTGCTTACATTTTTCCACAGCTCACAGATGATTTAATTTTTAATTATTTTTTCTTTTTTAGAGATGAGGGTCTCATTATGTAGCCCAGGCTAGCCTCAAACTCCTGGGCTCAAGCAATAATTCTGCTTCAACCTCCTAAGTAGCTGGGATTACGGATATGCACCACTGCACCTGGCTTTCACTGATGCCTTTAATATTTCTTTACTTCTATTTTTTTCTGTGTTCCATTTTGGATATTTTCCATTGCTATGTCTTCATGTTCACTAACCTTTCTCTTTTTTTGTATTAAGCAATGTGCTGTTAATTCCATTGAGTTACTTTTTCATCTCAGATGTAGTCTTCATCTCTGGAAGTTCAGCTCAAGCTTTAAAAAGTATGTTCCATATCTTTACTTAAACATCTGAACAGCATCTCAATATGTACCTTATTCTATTCTATAGAGTACAGTTATTAATAACTTTTAGTGCCCTTGTCTGATAATTTTAACATCTCTAGCAGTTCTGGTTTGACTTTGATTGAACAGTTTCTCCTCATTATGGGTCCTATGTTCCTGCTACTTTGCATTCCTGATAACTTCTGATTGGGTGCCAGACAGCAAGACTTTTACATTATTTGGTGCTGGACAAGTTTATATTTCTATAAATGTTATTGAGCTTTGTTGTAGAATGAAGTTACATTTCTTGGAAATACTCTTGAGAGAGGAGGTAAAAAGAGACCAGCTAGGCAGATAGTTAGGGCAGAGAGTCCTCGGCAGAACTTCCCTTCTACCAAAAAGCAGCCCAGGAAATCACTCCTCTTCTAACAGAAAGCAGCCTGGAAGACCCGGCTGCAAACAGATAAGGAAGCTGGAGTTTGCATCGGGGGATGCTTGCAGCTGCACAGACAGAAAGGGGTACCTGAGGCCAGGTGTGTCCACCATGGAGGCTCCACCTCCCCCTTTGAAGCACATACACAGTAGGAAAGCAACGTGGAGTAGCTCAGGCAAAAGACCTGCCTGTATAATAAAAGGGTGGGGTGGGGGATGCCAGAGATTCATGCTCTACGCAGATGGCACACCTGGGGTTTTTCACACCCTATGTAGGTAAGATAACACCTCACCTCCCCACTAGCTAGCTTATAAAAACCCTTGAATTTCACTGCTGAATGGCAACGCTTTTAATCCCTCTCTGCTGCAGAGAGCTGTTATCTTTCTTTTGCCTAATAAACTTCTGCTTCTGCTCTAACCTCACCCTTGGTGTGGCCGTGTCCTTGACTTCCTTGGCTGTGAGATCAAGAACTTTGGATCAGGCAATGAGGCCATTTCACTGTGATCCTTGTGGATCTTGCTTCTTGCTTTTAAGGTTCATTAGGTATGATCAGAGTGATTTATTTACTTTTATTTTTTTAGAGTCAGGGTCTTAGTGTTGCCTAGGCTGGAGTCAGCAGTGCGATCATAGCTCACCATAACCTCGAACTCTTGGGCTCAAGTGATCTCCTCAACTCAGCCTCCTGAGTAGCCAGGACCACAGGCATATGCCACGATGCCCAGCTAATTTTTAGAAGATTTTTGTAGAGACAGAGGTCTTGCTATGTTGTTCAGGCTGGTCTTGAACTCTTGTCCTCAAGCCATCCTCCTGGCTTGGCCTCCGAAAGTGTTGGGATTACAGGTATGAGCTACTGTGTCTAGCCCTAGAAAAGTTTTTATTACAGGGCTAATTATTCCCAATTACTGAGGCAAGATCCTTCTAGGTATTATATTCAGTGCTTGTCCGGCCTGGCTGGTGAGCACAGGCACTTTCCATGGCTCTGTATCAGCCCCAGGCACTGTTTCCTCTAATCCTCTCAGGTGGTTCTCTCCCCAGCTGCACACAGCTTCCTCACACACAGGCACTGATCGGCACTTGGCTGAGTGGCACAGGCAAACCCTCTGTGAATCGCTGCAGTTCTCTCTGTGTAGCTGTCTCCGCTCTCAGGCTCTGACCTGAGGACTCCAGCCTCCTGGACTCCTGGGACTCTAAGCTCTGTCTCCTTCCACTGTGGAGTCAGGCAAGCTTCCTCTGGGTTCCTCCTCCCTGTACCACGGATTAGAAACTTTCTCAAGGCAGTGAGCTGGGCAATTATAGGACTAACCTTGTTTGTTTCCAATCTCTTGGGGACTACTGTCCTTCACTATCTAACGTTCAGTGTCTTGTTTATCATATTTATCTTTTTCTTTTTCAGGCAGGAGGGCACACCCACATTCTGATACTTCATCTTGGCTGGAAGTGGAGGTTTCCTGGTGCTGTCTGTTTTAAAACTTTTTATTATGGAAACATTCGTACATCACTTATAATAAACCTGTTTGCATCTACTATTCAGGTTTAATCAAAATCAACTCATGGATAATATTGTTTCATCTCCTCTCCCACCCATTCGCCTGTCCCCAGAAAACCCCTGCATGATATTACTTCATCCATCCACGTCAGTATGTATCTTATTTTTCTTAGCACTATCATAATAAAAATATCATATCTAAAAGTAGTTATTCTTTAATATCATCAAATATCCAGTAAATGTTAAGTGCTCACATTTCCCAGATTGTCTTATAATTTTTCTTTTTTAGTTTGTTGGAATCAGTATTCAAATAATGTGCATACATTATCACTATCTGACAGATCTCTTAAGCCTCTTTTAATCTACAGCACAGGTTGGCAAACTACTGCCCATAGGCAGGCTGGCTGGCTGCCTGTTTTATAAATAAAAGTTTTGTTAGAACACAGCTGCCTATAGATTGCTTTAGGCAGGAAGGACCTTAAAGGCAGGGCCTACTCTTCTTTCTTCCTGGCTCTCCCACACGCAGCCCAGAGGCCCTCAATGCCTGCTTGGAGATTGGAAACATGAAGGTTTGGCTTAAGTGGGAGTTCTTAATATGTAGCAGCCTCCTCTTTCCTGCCTAGTCAAAGAAAATAGTTTAAATTGATTTCAGTTTGCACAGCTAATTTTTTATTTTAAAAAGTGTTTAACGACATGACTCTGAATCTGAGGGCTTCTGGTTGTTTTTTGCTCCTTCCCTCTTCAGCTTGGTTCAGTTACGCCCACATTACTGAGTGCCCACTCAGGACAGCTCATCCACAGGGCTGGGGCTCTCAGCCATGTGAAAGGGAATGGCATGGAATTCCTGGACCTCAGGGAGCCCTGGAGTGGTGGGCACATAAGTGAAGCAAAGTGAAAGGACACAAAGTGGTGGGGGGCACGGGGGAATGGGGAGGCTTTATCCATGCACAGACACCAAGAAAGACGCTGGGATGAATATGACTGGCTTTCCGGAGAGGAAGTGTCTTTCTTTCTCTCTTTCTCTCTCTCCCTTTCTTTCCTTCTTTTCCTTTTTTTTTTTTTTTTTTTTTGAGACAGAGTCCCACTCTGTTGCGGAGGCTGGAGTACAATGGCGCGATCTCGGCTCACTGCAACCTATGCCTCCTGGGTTCAAGCAATTCTCCTGCCTCAGCCTCTTGAGTAGCTGGAATTACAGGTATGCACCACCACACCCGGCTAATTTTTGTATTTTTAGTAGAGACAGGGTTTCACCATGTTGGTCAGGCTGGTCTCGAACTCCTGACCTCGTGATCTGCCTGCCTTGGCCTCCCGAAGTGCTGGGATTACAGGCATGAGCCACCAAGCCTGGCCAAAGTGTTTAATTTCAAGCAGCCACAATGGCACAGACTCTTGAATAAAACCAACAAAATAGGCCAGTGATGATACCTGGGGGTTACAAGCTTCCCCAATAGGAAGGAAATGAAGGAAATAAGATCTACTTAATTGATCAGCGTGACACAAGGAAACTCACTGCAAATGGTCTTAATGGGTCTGTTTAAGAGTATTTAAATACACTCATCTCTCTAAAGGAAGAATGTGTCTTCCTGAATGAGGCCAGGCGAGAGGGAGTATCTTAGAATTCTGATCTGGAGATGTTTATTTTTATTTTTTTTGCCATTTTTCCCCCAAATATGTCTGGTCTAACGGCAGAGCTCTCCCTAGTGGGAACAGGACACTTGGAAGGGCAGCCAGCGGTTTCCTTTCAGTATTTCTAGACCCACTGATGGTCCCAGCCCCGGCCAAGGGCCATCACACCTTGTGGTCGAGTGTTAACTCCTGCTTAGGATTCATGGTCCCTAGACCACCTTTTTGTTCCCATTCAAGGGTGTGGGATTTGCCCATGGCAGTCCTCTAATTGCACACACTTGAAAACGCCAGAGCCGTGAACTCTGCTCAATCAATGGCATGTGCTCAAGACTGGGCAAATCCAGCTTGATAAGCATGTGATGAATTATAAAATAAGGCACAACCAAATACAAGCTGCAGCAGAAGTCCACAAAGTTCCACAGGAGGGCAAGGAATTATCAGTGAATCCTTACCTCGTCATAGAAACTTCTTCCTCCAGACATCCACGTGGCTTGCTTTCTCACCTCAAATCTTTGCTCAGATCCCATTTTTTTTAAGTGAAGCCTTCCCTGACAACCCTAATTTAAAACTGTACACACTCATACCTGCTTCCTTCTCCCCGACTTAGTTATCTCCACAGCACTAATGGCTAACACACTATATAACTTATTTCCATCTGTCTCCATGTGGGCAATTTCTGTCTGGCTGCTCATCACTGCACCTCAGCAGCTATTAATAGATCACTCTACTGAGGGACTCATACGTGCTGGGTGTTGGGCAAACAGTGAACAAAACCTTGTATGGTCCTTGCTGTCGGGGAGTTCATGATCCATCGTGGAGGGAGAGCTGAATTTCAACAGGCAGGCAGTGTGTGCAGGGGGAGGAGCAGCAGGAGCAATGGGTAGAGGCAGAAGCACAGAGGTGGGTGTCAAGTCAGGGAAAGGGATGGTGAAGAGATGCCTCAGGTAATGAGGGGAGGGACGGAATACGACTAGATGCTGAAGGGCTGGAGTACCAGTTGGAGAAGTTTATTTTGCAGGTAATGGGGATGGAGTATGAAAAATTGGAGGAAATGGAGTTACCTGACTAGAATTTGTTTTGGAGAACCACTTCAGGGACATGCAAGGGGCTGATATGAAGATGAGATGGAGCAGAGACCCCTCTTAGGGGCTTGCCGGGCACCTGCCCCCAAGCATGGAAATAAAAGGAAATCTTAAGTTCCTTCAAAGGCATTTCCAGGTACCTAGCCAGCACAGGGAAGTAAATGAGCAACTGAAGCAAGAAGGGAAGAATAACTTAAAACAATAGCCAGGGAAGTTTAAGTCACAGAATAGACCAAAGTTCCCATAGAGACTAAAGATAACATTTTAACAGAAGTCCTTAAGTTGATTTCCAGAAACCAAGACACCAACAAATGAAAAGTGCTATCTGCTGGCATGCAGACCTCAGACAGGGGAAACTGAGGACTGAGTTTGGACCACCACTCTTTGTTCTAAATTTCCTACTGAGGGGCCTGGAGGAAGTCATGCCCAGAGACCAGAGCTAACATTCTTTTCTGCTGATCACAAATTTGCAGACAAAGCTTCGTCTCCTTAACCCATTGTAAATCAGAAAATCTTCAAATCTACCTATGACCTATGCCCTCCGCCCCACATCTGGTTCAAGATGTCCTGTCTTTTTAGGTCAAACCAATGTACAGCCTCCGTGTATTGATTTATATCTTTGCCTGTAACTTCTGCCCCCTGCCTTTATTTTATTATTATTATGTTTTCAAGATGGAGTCTCGCTCTGTCGCCAGGCTGGAGTGTAATGGTGCGGTCTCAGCTCACTACAACCTCCGCCTCCTGGGTTTAAGCGATTCTCCTGCCTCAGCCTTCTGAGTAGCTGGGATTACAGGTGTATGCCACCACACCCAGCTAATTTTTGTGTCTGTAGGAGAGACAGGGTTTCACCATGTTAGCCAGGCTGGTCTCGAACTCCTGACCTCAGGTGATCCACCAGCCTAGGTCTCCCAAAGTGCTAGGATTACAGGCATGAGCCACCACGCCCAGCCTCTTCCTGCCTGTAAAAACGCTTACCTATATGGCACTGGGGGATTCAGGGCTTAAACATGAGCTGCCCAATTCTCCTGGCTTCCAGCCCTGCAATAAATGTCTCACTTTCTCTTACTGCAATCTTGATGTCAGTTTTTGGCTTTGCTGCGCCAGAGAGCCAGACCCAAGTTTGATCTGGTAACACAGGAAGCAGGTGAACAGGCAAGGCCACCCTCTTCTGTTTGGAGGCAGATCAGTGTTCACTTGCCTCAGTTTACCAAGGTTGTGATCAGCCTCTGCTCCTCCTTTCTCTTACTGGCCTCCCTCTGCTGTACTGTGATTCCCATCATTGCAGTGTTTAACTTTTTATTTTGAAATAAATAAAAATACAAGAAGTTACAAATGAGGACCACGTACCTTCCACTCAGCTTCTGCCACCATGAGGATTTATGTCTGTTTAGACATCTCCCCTCTAAATTCCTACATTACTGACATCCTCCCAATACAGATCTTTCTGAGGACTTACAACAAAAATATTTCATTCTTTGAAACACTGGCTTTAGAGAAATCTTCACCCAAATAACTTTGACACCTTAAATAATCCATCATACACAATGGAACCACAGTCCTCTTACCTGTGAAAGCCAAGGGCAGGACCCAGCAGTGGGTGAGGTGAGTGAGCACTCACCACTGCCACCCTCTGTCCCACTGGGTGCAGTCGGGACCCCTGGACAGCGTGCAGGCAGCAGCGACCGGGCTCAGGAAGGTGGATCACAGTTGGAGGTGCCGATGCAGAAAGGAGACCACAGTTGGAAGTACCACAGAGCTGGAGGTGAGCAAGACACTTCCCTTCCTCCAGTCTCCCCAGTGTGGAGTCAATGCAGCTCCTAACCCAGAGTGGGCACTAATTCCAGGAAAAGCCCAGCAACTCGGGTACAGAAGCAGGAAAGGGGTCTCTACCGTTCTAAGAAAGTCTGGAAATCTCTAATTTATCCTTTTTTTTTTTCTTTTTCTTCTAAAATTTTTTCTTCTCTGTGCCCCAGACCTCAAGAAATTTTGTGGCCCTAGTGAGAAATGGCAGATAATTAAAGTCATCAGGCCAGGCAAACTTCCTTTCCAACCAGAGAGTCTGAGGTCCCCAGAGGGTGGGGAAACCTTCATGCTTTTTCTCTCTGGCTTCTCGCTGCTTAGCTCTGACGTGGTTCAGTCAAGTGCACCAGAGAGTAGGGTAAATCAAGCCTCAACCACCCAAGCTGGCTGGAGGGCTGAAAAGGTAGAGCCCAGGGACCCAGACACTACTGGGCAGGTTACAATGAGGAAGGGCTTCGGGAGAGCAACCCCTGAAAGTTGCTCATGAACTCTTGGGCTTACCCTTGAGCTCTACATGTATGGATCCGACCCTACACGGACCACACAGACTTTGAGTGCTGAAATGTGGGATAGATTACCACCAGAGTCCCAGGCTGGCCACTAGGTGGCGCTTGTGCGAGACAGATCCACATCTCACAGACTCACAGCAACCACAATCCACACAAGTCTTGCAGGAACTTGGAATTTGTGGTCTGAACCCATTTGGGGTGATTATCTTCTAAAATAAAGTTAATAATGTTCACTGTAAGATTTTAACAATAACCAGAATCTCAAAACATAGTATTTAAAATGTCTAGGATACAATTCAGCATACTGAAACCATACTCAGCATACAAAAAGCCAACAGCTACTCTGAGATGAAACAGATACTGGAATTATTTGACAAAGATTTTCAAGCAGTTGTTAAAAATATTGTACAAGTAAAGGAGGGTACTCTTAAAACATATAGAAAATTTTGCAAAGAAATGGAAGATATGAAGAAGAACTAAGTGGAAATATTAGAAATGAAAAAAATCAACTACGAAAATAGAAAACACACTGGCTGGGCTCACTACTGGGATGAAGATGATGGAGGAAGTAGTCAGTCAGTTCATAAATAAATTAATAGAAATGACTGAATCTGAGTAACAGACAAAGTTTGAAAACCTTGAACAGAACCATAGAGACCTTAGGTAATAACAAAAGGGCCGAGCTTCCTATCATCTGAGTCCCAGAAGGAAAGAAAAAAAGGGCAGAACATAGAAACATGGAAAGAAATAGCTGAAAGTCTGGTTTACCACTAGAAGGCAATCAGTTTAATCTAGTATAGCAACAGTTTAAAGCAAAAAACCCACTTGATCTTCATTTTAAAAATTCAGTATCTATTTATTATAAAACTCTCAGCAAACTTGGAATAGAAAGAAATTTTCTTCACCTGATAAAGACCATCTACTAAAACCTATAGCCAACATTCTACTTAATGGTGAAATACTGCTTGTTCTCAGAGATTAAGAACAACACAAGGATCTTCTTTCTTAACACCGCTATTTAACCTTTTGAATAGTCTTCGTCAGTGAAATAAGACAAGAAAACCAGAAAGGCCTAGAGACTGGAAAGGAAGAAATAAAACTGTCCTTACTCACAGATAACATGATCACCTATGTATAAAATCCCAAGGAACACACACACACACACACACACACACCCCTCCTAGAACAAACTGAGTTTAGCTTTAGCAAGATTGCAGGATGCAAGATCAACACACAAAAATCAGTTATATTTCTGTACATTGCCAATGAACAAGTAGAAACTGAAATAAAAAATACCACATACAATAGCTTACAACCCCGACCCCCAATACACATATAACAAAAGATGTATAGGATCTACATGCCAAAAACCATAAAATGTTGACGAAAGAACTTAATGGAGGCCCAAGCAAATGGAAATTATGGCACTCCTTCATGGACTGAAAGACATAACATAGGATTGAGTTGTAGATTTACTAAAATTGTAGACAAAATCTCAGCAAAACAGTTTAGAGTAGATAGAGGTAAGCAGATCCTAAAGTTCACATAGAAAGGCAAAAAAAAAAAAAGAATAGCTGAAACACTCTTGAAAAAGAAGAATAAATTTAGAAAAATCACACTATCTGATTTTAAGACTCATTACAAAGCTATAGAAATCAATATGGCACAGTTTTGATAAAAGAACAGACATAATGATCAATGGAACAGAACCACTGTCCAGAAATATATTCCTTACAAATACCCTCAGTTGGCTTTTTGTCAAATTGCAATGGCAATTCAATTTCAATGAAAGAAGGAGGATATTTTCTATAAATGATGTTGAAACAATTGGATATCCGTATGCATAAAACTGAATCTGGACCTAAATCTCACATATTATACAAAAATCATCTCAAATGGATCGTAGATCTAAATGTAAAACATGACAGTATAAAACTTTTAAAAGACCAACTACAAGAAAATCTTCATGACCTGGAGTTATGCAAAATTTCTCAGACATGTCACTCAAAGCATGATCCATACCAGAAAAAAGTCGTTGGAACGCATCAGAATTTAAAACTGTGCTCTGTAAAAGGCCCTGTTAAGAGACTGAAAAGTCAAGCACAGATTGGGAGAAGATATTCACAAATCCCATATCTGAACAAAAGATTTATACTCAGAATATGTAAAGAACTCTTAAATCTCAAGTAAACAATTCAATTTAGACATAGGCAAAAAGCCTGAACAGACATTTCACGAAAGAGAATAAAAAGATGGAAAATAAACAGCATGAAAATTTTCAACGTCATTAATTATTAGGGAAATGAAAATTAAAACCATGAAGAAATACCATCACACAGCTATCAAATGGTTAAAATGAAAAAACAAAAAAGGAAGAAATACCAAGTGTTGACAAGGATGTGGGGCAGCTGGAGCTCTCAGACACTGCTGGTAGGAATGCAAAATGGTGCAGCACTCTGGAAAACAGGTTGGCAGTTTCTTACAAAGTTAACATGTATTTAGCTTAGAAAAATTAAAACTAGGCCAGGCAGGGTGGCTTACACCTATAATCCCAGCACTTTGGGAGGCTGAGGTGGGCAGATCACAAGGTCAGGAGTTCAAGACCAGCTTGGCCAAATATGGTGAAATCCCGTCTCTACTAAAAATACAAAAATTAGCTGGGCATGGTGATGCGCGGCTGTAATCCCAGCTACTCAGGAGGCTAAGGCAGGAAAATTGATTGAACTGGGACCCAGGAGGTGGAGGTTGCAATGAGCCGAGATAGCGCCACTGCACTCCAGCCTGGGCTAGAGTGAGACTCTCTCACCAAAAAAAAAAAAAAAAAAAAGAAGAAAAAGAAAAATTAAAACTATATTCACAAAATCCCGTTCTTAAATGTTTCCAGAAGCTCTAGTCTAACTGCCAAAAACGGAAAACAACTGAAATGCCCCTGGACAGATGAGTGGAGAAATTCTGGTGTACCTGCAGAATGGAATACTACTCAGCAACAAAAAGGAACCGGCTACTGACACATGACTTGATGAGTCTCAAAATGATCTCCCTGCATGAAAAGGAGCCAGTTTCAGAAGATTAGGCTCTGTAGGACATTTATCTGACATTCTTGCAAAGAGACAAAACTAGTGATAGAAAACAGAGCACTGACTGCCAGTGGTTGGGGTAGGGGAGGGTCTGATTATAAAAGACATCAGGACAGAGAATCTGGAGGGGATGAAGTGCTTCTGTGTCCTGAATGTGGTAGTAATAACACAAATCCATACATGTGTTAAAGTTCATAGAACTAGACACAAAAAACTCAATTTTTCTGTATCTTAATGTGAAAAATATAAGTAAAAAAATAAAGAAAAGAGATGACAACTCTTGCTTCCTATTTAAGGCTGTCTAGACATTAATACTGATGTTAGTACTAATTACAATAATGGCCACCACAAGCATGGTCTTCTATACTTTTTTGAGCATCTGCTACATGCTGCTTCTTTACCACACATTTTATATCACAACTTCTAATATTCACAGTCACCTTGTAAGGTGGGTTAAGCTCAACATAGAAGAAATCTCAGGGTAAGGGAAGTAAAATAATTTGTCCTATATCTCATAGTTGATAAGTGGCTGAATCTGAACTCAAACTCGGATTTCACTGCCGACCTTATTCCAAGCCTGCTTCTCCACTCTGCTGCCCACTTAATGAAAATAATGGAAACTGACAGGGAGACATTATATAATATAAATAGCAGGAAGGGAGAATCATATTTTGATTTCCATAGATTGCAAAAACTCTCAGCATATTTTATTCTAAACTTGGAGTTGGTTTGAAATTCTAATAGGTTGGGGAAAATTTAAAAACTATGCTTTTGCCATTGCCATTTTTTGATAATCCTCCAGTAGGTGGTTCTTAATTTTCAATATGATTGAATAGTTCTCTCCACTTCTGCAAATGTACAATAATTCTTATTTTCCCTAAGTGACTTAAAGAATCATTGTGACTTACAATTCTTGACCAAGTATTTACTAACTCCACAAATTGCAGTTTATACATTTGAAGCAAAGAGTAAACATTACAAAGTTCTCTCCTCTCACACAGCTGACTGTCCTGAGAAGTTGTAACTGGTCCCTCCCACCTTTACATACCACTGCCACCATCAGAAAAAAAAAAGAAAGGTAAAGCCATTTTAGAGACATAGAAACTAAACTTTCATTTTAGTTCACTATGGTTATGGCTGAATACATATCTGAAAACATCATACATACGGAGGATGCACATTTCTCACGCAGCAAATGGTATCTACATGAAAAGCTGGAGGATGAAGGCTGTCTTCTTGCTTGTGAATTATTCCCAGTGACTTTCCTGGATAGTAGGTGCTTTTTCCACCAAAAACCCTGGCCTAGAGTATTTTCGTCTCTACTAACACAGAGATATGAAACTAAGGCCTCCCATAAAAGTATTTTCTTGAATGTTTTATAATTTCTGCTCCATTGAATATATTTTCTTAAATATAATAATTAGTGATAAAATTTTGACTCGACATCAGTAAGATGTAACACAAAGCAAAGCCCACTTAGTGCTTCATGCTATTTTACTGTCAAGAGTTGGGGGATCTATTTCATAACCCAAATAAAAATAAGAAAAACAAAAATAATTTTATCACCAACACTTTCACTTTTGAGAGTCCAAATACTGTCCAAGTACCACTGTCGTCAGTTATTGGAAATCTTATTTGGAAGGTGGTTATGCCCAGAATGGTGGTGTGGGGGACAAGGAGGTGGGCTTACCTTCCAGCAGGTCTCTGGCCAGACCAGGTTCTGCCCCCGTGGACCGAACAAAGTCTGACAGGACTGCGTCCATATCAAGAGTCATAGGATCATGTAGAAGTGCTGCCCAACACTCAGCCGAGGTGGGGTTTGGAAGCACACTAGAAACCATCCATCTGCAGGAAAGAAGAGAAAGGGCATTTTACCACGTGATGGAAATGGAGCTGCAAGTGACAACTACATGCAGAGACCTGAGCGAGAGAACCCTCGAGGGTGGAGCCATTTCCACCTGCTGTCATATTTTTTAGAATTGGTTTGGTCCAACTGCCTGATTCTTCATGCAAGACATTATATTATAGAATGCTAACTAAAATTTCATCCCTGTGTACATGCCATGTGAGAGAAGGGGTATTATGAGCCAAATGTTTGTGTTCCCTCCCAAAATTCATATGTTGATATCTAATCTCCAAGGTGATGGAGAAAGACAGTGCCATCTATGAAGCAGGAAATGGGCCCTCACTAGACACCAAATCTGCTGGTTCCCTGACCTTAGACTTCCCAGCCTTTAGTACTGTGTGGAATACATTTCTGTTGTTCATAAGCCTCCCAAGCTATTGTATTTTGACATAGCAGCCCAGATAGACTAAGGCAAGGGGTCATCACTATCTCCAGTGCTCCTGAAGTTACATTTTATTAATTCCAGTAACTGATGAGGAAAAAAGACTATTTTAAAATTTCAAACACCTAAGTATACCTAGAAAAATTCAACTGGAGTTGCTAGATTTCTAATCCTCTTCCGAATTGTATAGACTTGTAATACTTCCACAATGTGATGAATGTTACCCACTCTATTCCAATTATGCCTTTATCAGTGTGCCATCCTACCCCCTCAGCTCTCACCCCTTACTTGGCTATTAGGAAAGACTAATAGCCAAGGTTAATCCACAGTTGACGGAAATACCATACTTGCTGAAGATGGCTACTGAACTATCTACCATCCCTCTAAGAGCTGCCATCAATCCAACAACATTCTTAAGAATGTCAGATTTCCCAGGCAGCATGATCCCAGCCAGAGAAATACAACGGATATGCAGCAGGTTGACCCAGGCTGACTGTAGCAGCTGATTGCTGGGGAAAAGCAACTGTGACATTACAAGTGAGAGTAACTTACACTAGTGAATGGTGCTGGGGCCCCAGTGGGTGCTCAATCTTTGCCGGTGGAGTGTAAATGCATCCTTGTGTTTGTGTAGATAAGAGGTCTGCAAGTTATAGACTATGGGCCACATGTGGTCTGCCACCCATTTTTGTAAATGAAGTTTTATGGGAACACAGCCATACCCACTCATTTGCATAGCATCTGTGGCTGCTTTTGCACCTGGCTGAGTTGAGTAGTTAAAACAGAGATCCTTAAGGCCCACAAAACTGAAAAGATGTACTTCCTGGAACTTTATGGAAAAAGCTTGCAGACCCCATTACAGGCAATGGAAAATTTTATGCTAGGAAGTATGTAATTAATTTTACATATTGTGGGATGAGTTTGAATCCCATGCTATTGATGACTGTCCTCTGTTCTTTCTTTCACAGTAACTCACTGGGATGGGTGCTGCTTGGTGGAGTAGGTCCTGTGTCAGTGGCCCATGCTTTAGAGCCAGGCACATAGCCTGATTTGACCCTGGCCCTGCCCCTGTCCAGCTGTGACATGGGCTTCACCTCTCTGAGCCCTCCTGATTTTCTGTAGGAATGCAGGAAATGAGCTCACCTAACGTGCAAGACCCTGAGGACTGAGGGTCTCAGGCAGGGAGGTCTGTACCCTCAGAGACATTCACTGTGACCACCCCATCTTGCACACAGCTCCTATTGGGTATAATTTTTAGTTGATGCGGCTAGAAAATAAGAAATTATTTGACCTGATGTATATGGTACCAATTAGGAAATTGATTTCTTCCTTCTCTCCATGCACTGGGGCCTCGGCCGGGAGAGTCTCTTCTTTCGTCACTGCCACCTGGGGGACAGATCAGAGAACAAGAGCATGTGATCTCCTTACCCTCAGACTGAGGCCGAAGGCTTGGCTTTTTGTCACAGGAGGCTGGATCTTGGCCTTGGCCAATTGCCTGAGGCATGTACTCTGTCTTCCTGGGCCCTACAGGTCCCCACTTGCCAGCTGACCAGCATCTCCCATGCCCAGGCCTGGCCATCTCAGCTTTCCTCATTTTAGCAAGCACATCTATTTCAGTGAGGATCACTTGCACAGCACAGAGCTGTTTTTTTTCTTTTTTTTTTTTTGAGATAGAGTCTTGCTGTGTTGCCCAGGCTGGAGTGCAGTGGCGTGATCTCGGCTCACTGGAAGCTCCGCCTCCCAAGTTCATGCCATTCTCCCTGCCTCAGCCTCCCAAGTAGCTGAGACTACAGGCGCCCGCCACCATGCCCAGCTAACATTTTTTTGTGTATTTTTAGTAGAGACAGGGTTTCACCATGTTAGCCAGGATGGTCTCGATCTCCTGACCTCGTGATCCACTCACCTCAGCCTCCCAGAGTGCTGGGATTGCAGGCGTGAGCCACCACACCTGGCCTTCTAGATGTATTTCTTAAACCTCACACTGCCACCATCACCACACCCTCACATTCATGTCCCATGATGATATGGGAGAGGCTGGGCTGGTAGGGACACTTGACCCCAGCCACCTGGGCCATCCTCACCCACTGCCCCGTGCCATCCTCCCAAGCATGCACTGTGCCTCTCGACCTGCCTTGTGTGGTCTAAAGCACTCACTCAGCCGCTTTGAACAGCATGAGGCTCTGGGTGGCCGTGCCCTGGCCCTGCATTCCTGCTCTCCTCCGTGCAAACTAGCCCTTGGACAGAACATCTCTGAAGGTCTCATCAGCCACCCCGGGGAGAGTAATGTGTCCCAACAATGCATGGTGACTTTGCCTTAGGAGGGGCAGTGCCATGTGGGGACAGAGGGTTGGCCCTGGAATCAGTCCCTTGGGGCCAAAATGGTTCCACCACTTTGTGTGACCTTGGGCATGTTATATCACCTCTCTGTGCCTCAGTTTCCTCATCAATACAATTATAATTGTATCTAACAGTTATTATGAAATTTTAAGGAATTCTGCACAAAATGTACTGGCCCATAGTACATGCTCAATATACATTAATTATGAGCCAGTGAATGAACTCTCAACAGGGACCCTGAGACCACCCTTGCCTTCCCAGGGCTCCACTGAGCAAGAAAACTGCTGCCACCAGCTTGCTGAAGGCAGATATAAGGGGCCTACCTCTAGTGCCTTGGCTTGGAATCACAGAGGGTTAAACTGGTGGGGGCTCCTGCCTTCAATTCCGTCTTCTCTCCCGTATCCGAGGTTGCAGTGTTCATTGATTACTTAAGCAACCTTCATGGAGCTGCTAATCTGTTCAGGACATGACTGCAGGGACTCTGTGGGAACTATGAGCCCCCTGAGCTTTCCCAGGATCTCCCCAGTAAGCAGAAAGGGACAGACACACACATACAGGTCTCAGAGACCAACTGCTGGATTTGGAAGACACTTAGTGGAGGAAGTGGTCCAACCAGAGAGAGTAAAATTGGAAGACAGAGGTGTAGCAGGATAAAGACCAAACTACCTCAGGATCCATTTTTCATTAACTTCTGTTTTGGCCAGGTGCAGTGGATTACACCTGTAATCCCAGCACTTCGGGAGGCCAAGGCTGGTAGATCACCTGAGGTCTGGAGTTCGAGGGCAGCCTGGCCAAAACGGGGAAACCCCGTCTCTACTAATAATACAAAAAAAAAAGAAGAAGAAGAAGAGCCAGGTGTGGTGGCAGACACCTGTAATCCCAGCTACTTGGGAGGCTGAGGCAGGAGAATTGCTTGAACCCGAGAGGTGGAGGTTACAGTGAGCCAAGATCACGCCATTGCACTCCAGCCTGGGCAACAAGAGCGAAATTCCATCTCCAATGAATGAATGAATAAATAAATAAATAAATAAATAAATTAAATAAACTTCTGTTTCAATGAAGCTCAAATAAAACATTCCTGCATTATATTTGTCTGTAGATGTTACAACTCGACACTGGAAGGCAATAAAACGGGTGGATGGAGAATGAGACTGGGAGATGATGGCAGAGGCTTGTGGTCTGATCCCTGGGGACAGGTACAGGAAGACTATGGGTGAATGAGTGCCTGGAGGTTACTCTTCACTCTCAGGGCAGTGAAGAGGGTAGTGAATGCTTTTAACATCTCTTTCAACAGAGGGCCAGCTGCCTGAGAGCTGGGATCCACTTCATCCTCCTTTCTATCCTCCTGCCCACAGTGCCTGGCACACAGCAGGGCCAACTCTAAGGTGAGGCGAGGAGGCACCTGCCACTGCTGCAGAATCTAAGGGGGTGCAAAAACACTCAGGAATCGACATAAACAACATTTTAGTGCTATATCTGCAAAAATAAAAATTAGCGCAAAAATATCTTTGAGGAACAAAATATCAGCCTTTTAAATGAAGGCAAGGTTGGCATGACCATTTTTCCTTTGCCCCTGGCTCTGCAGGGCTGCCAGGCCCTGGCATGAGCTCAAAGCTGCTGCCTGGGAGGCAGGTGGTTTGGAGGCAGCCAAGTGAACACCCATCACAGCCAGAGAGCCTGACCTCAGAGAGGGCCAGCGAGGGGAGGGCCACGGGCAGGGGAACACAAGTGAGTGGGGAGTGGGAGCTCACCCTCATCAGGTCTGTTTGATGATAAAGCACACTGAACACAGGGATAAGGGAACAGAGGGGTGGATGAACAGATCTGGGGTCGAGCACAGGCTTGGGAGCTGATGGCCTGGCTGGGTGCAAAGCCCCTGCAACCCTGGAAAGGCCACTTCACTTCTTGAAGCCTTGGTTGTCACATCTGAGCAATGAGGGTGAGAACAACCCTGCCTCTTAGAATTGCAGTAAGGATACAGTGACATGACACTGAAAGAACATGCACTATTACTATTATTGACATAGATTAAAACAATAGGCAAATGTACTGTTCTGGTATTGAGAATCCACCCTTGACTACCCATACATTTATACATCCCTGTTAAGGGGGTGAATGGTTAAATATGAAAAAAGGTCAGGCATGCGTTCATCTTGTCCGGCCTGGCGAGGAAGCCCACCCTGGTGAGAAGATCAGATGCCTGGGTTCCCGTGGTGAAATGAATTGGATGTCTCAACTCACAGGTCAACATTCCAAGAGACTGTGTGGTCCATCCCTTGCCAGACGCCCTTGTGACCTTGGGCAAGCGTGGTGCACTAGGGGACAAAGGCTTCTGTGGATGCCACATTAGGGAAACACATCTTCCAGAGCGTCTTCATGGTTCAGATGAAAATTAAGAAAGCCCGGTGTCTTTCAGTGCGGGGGCATGAGTTCTGGGAAGGTTGGCTCTGCCAAACATTCAAATGCGTAGAGCACATTCTCATTTCCAAAGCTTGGCCACGTATATTACTTACATAACCTCCACAACACCAGCTAAAGATGAGTCTAAGAGTAATTTGGACTGTGATGAAGCAATTTCTCCAGGAAATTCAGTGTAAAAAGCCCTGGGTGAGGAGAGGAAAGGTGCTTCTTAGGAATAAGAAGAGAAGTTTGGCCAGACAGCGACAGATAGGGCTGTGTGAAAATCAAACAAAAGTGGCTATAGGAATGTCTGTGGGGCACATTGAAGTTCTTCACATTGTTGCAGGATCATTTCACTCTTTAGTTTTCCCCTTGTTGAAGCTGATACGCTCAAACACATTGTCTTGTAGGAACTGAGGAAGGCTCCAGCAGCAACAGTGGGCAGTGCCGGGACCCACCACTTGTACCTGAGGCTCGGAGAAGGCACACGTGTGGGCTTTGAGCCCATTTCACTTGTCCAGCAGGTGCCGCGGGCTGGACACCCAATGGGCTTAATGGGAGGGAGACATGCCTTCTGTTCAGGGGCCATGACTGGGTCTTATGCCAGCTCTCAGAGCATCTGGTGCCTTTAAGATAAAATATGTGCATAGATGCATGATTGGAAGCAAAACATTTCCTTAGTTGACACTCACTCATTGTACTTTTTCATAATTTTCTCCTAGTATGGAAAGATGGAAGAAAAGTCTCTCCTAAAATGTGTAACTTTGGGAATAGCAGTAAGTGTAGGATCTACTGGGGTTTTGTCTTATATGCATTGAAATTATATACTCATCAATGACATATCAAATTCTTTAACGGTTCTTAATACAAGTTAAACAGTAGTTTAACTGACAGGAGAAAGTGGGGCACTAGAAATTGTAAATGGCACCTCAACATTCCAGTCTCTCTACTCTTGAGCTTAGATTTTTAGGCTAACAAGGAGAACACAGAATTACCTGATGGTACATATTTTAAAAGTATTTTTCCAATAAAAATTTAAATATGTATAAAAGTAGACAGAAAAGGATATTAAAGCCAATGTACCCATCCCTCAGGCATGACAATCATCAACTCTTAGCCAACCATGCTTCTTCTCTATCTCCAACCCTTCTCCTGCTCACATAATTTTGAAGCAAATTCCAGATAACACGTTATTTCATCCACAACTACTTCCATCTCTCTCTAAGAGACTCTTTAAAACAAACCACAGTACCATAATCCCACCCAAAAATTAACAATAATTCTTCAGTGCAATATCCAGTATGCAAATTTCCAATGATATCAAATGTTGTAAGTTCACATATTTAGTTTTTCAGTTTGTTTGAATTAGAATTCAAGTAAGATCTCTTATTGTACTTGGTTGATATGTCTTTTTTAATCTACAGATTTTGCCTCCATCTTTTTTCCTCTGTTGAAAAATCTTATATATATATTTTTCTCTAGAGTTTTCTATCATCTGGCTTTTACTGATTGCTCGTATGGTGCCATGTCACATGCTCCTCTGTCCTCTCTATTTCATGTAAATCAGCACTGGGATATAAGACTCGATCAGATTCAGATTCAATTTGGGGCACATTTTGGTGCTGTCTTCTTCCATCAGTTGGCACTGAGTATCTGTCTCTGCCTGTGATGGTAGCAGCCACTGATGTTCATTGCCTAGACCCAGCAATTCAAGAGGGGTTGCATATACTGGCAGCATAATTCATTCATTCATTCTTTATTTATTAGCTGGAATTCTTAAAGGGAAACTTCTACTAATCTACTATTTGGTCACCCAGTGGTAGACATCTAATAGAAAAGGCAAGATAGATGCTTATTTATGACCTTTTAATTCATCATTTTACTTGGACGAGTTGGTTCACTAGCTTCCTTCCATGGGATCAATTTGTTACTTCTTTTTTTTGAAGTATTTTGCATTCATCAATTTAAACATATTTTATGCATTTCAATCTATCCAATATAGAGCAGTTGTTGTCTTTATTGATGCTTAAGTCCTGAATCAAGTTCCCTTGACACTAGTGTAGCTGATAGAGTCTTTTCTACATATTTTGTGTGACAAAATGTTTCAGGTCCCTTTTCTACATTTACTGTTCCGGATCTAGAATTCAACATTTCTCCAAAGAACTATGACTCTTTTTTATTGAGAATGGTTTTTCAAGACCACAATCTGGATGCTTGGTGTACCCATAACTAGTGGTTTAGTCATCGTTTACAGGACTTCTTGGAGAGTTAAGAAATATGTTTGTTTTAAAAATAAATTTTGAGTTCATTCTAATATTTCCAAATCAAATTGAAGACTTAGGAGTTTTTACTTAACCTAATCTCTTTTACAGATGAACCTCCTTCCCGCACCAAATCCTAGTTCCTAATAAAATCAGGAATGATAGCATATTACACAGTTACTCTTTCAATTTATACTGCTCAAATCAAAGCTATTGATTTCTGTGTGCTAAAATTATATCTTGCTATTTTACTAAGTTCTTACAATTTATAGCAAATTTGCATAGTTTTTTTAGTTTTCCAGATACACAACATATCAAATGCAAATATAGTTTGTGTTAACTCTTTTTTTTTGAGATGGAGTATCTCTCTATTGCCAAATCCTGTCTGATTTCCTTGATTAATGCATTCAATATAATATTACATATTATGAGAGGTTATGGGCATCTTTGCTTTGCTCCTAACTTTAGTGGGAATAACTTTGGTGTTTCCACACTGAAAAAGATGCGGGGTGTTGGGTCTTGGGCTAAACACACACATACACACACACACACAAATTTTTTTAAATTTAATTTAAAGTTCCAGGATACATGTGCAGGATGTGCAGGTTTGTTACATAGGTAAATGTGTGCCATGGTGGTTTGTTGCACCTATCAGCCCATCACCTGGGTATTAAGCCCTAAATGCATTATTTATCCTGATGCTCACCATCCCCCACATCCCCCCGACAGGCCGCAGGGTGTGTTGTTCCCCTCCCTGTGTCCATGTGTTCTCATTGTTTGCTCTCACTTATAAGTGAGAACATGTGGTGTTTCGTTTTCTGTTCCTGTGTTAGTTTGCTGAGGATAATGGCTTTCAGTTCCAACCATGTCCCTGCAAAGGACATGATCTGTTTCCTTTTTATGGCTGCATAGTATTCCATGGTGTATATGCACCACATTTTCTTTAAAAAAATTTTATTTTTCCATAAGTTATTGGGGTACAGGTGGTGTTTGGTTACATGAGTAAGTTCTTTAGTTGCGATTTGTGAGATTTTGGTGCACCCATCACCTGAGCAGTATACACAGAATGCTATTTGTAGTCTTTTATCCTTTGCTCCCCTCCCATCCTTCCCCCCAAGTCCCCAAAGTCCATTGTATCATTCTTATGCCTTTGCGTCCTCATAGCTTAGCTCCCACATATCAGTGAGAACATAGGATGTTTGGTTTTCCATTCCTGAGTTACTTCACTTAGAATAATAGTCTCCAGTCTCATCCAGGTCACTGCAAATGATGTTAATTCATTTCTTTTTATGGCAGACTAGTATTCCATTGTATAAATATACTATAGTTTGCTTATGCACTCATTGATTGATGGCATTTGGGTTGGTTCCATGATTTTGCAATTGTGAATTGTGCTGCTACAAACATGCATGTGCAAGTATCTTTTTCGTATAACGATTTCTTTTCCTCTGGGTAGATACCAAATAGTGGGATTGCTGGATCAAATGGTAGCTCTACTTTTAGTTCTTTAAGGAGTCTCCACACTGTTTTCCATAGTGGCTGCACTAGTTTACATTCCCACCAGCAGTGTGGAAGTGCTCCCTGTTCACCACATCCATGCCAACATCTACTGTTTGTTGATTTTTTTTTTTATTATGGCCATTCTTGCAGGAGTAAGGTGGTATCACATTGTGGTTTTGATTTCCATTTCCCTGATCATTAGAGATGTTGAGCATTTTTTCATAGGTTTGTTGGACATTTCTATATCTTCTTTTGAGAATTTTCTATTCATATCCTTAGCCCAATTTTGATGGGATTTTTTTTCTTACTGATTTGAGTTTGTTGTAGATTCTGGATATTAGTCCTTTGTCAGATGTATAGATTGTGAAGATTTTCTCCCACTCTGTGGGTTGTCTGTTTACTCTGCTGGCTGTTCCTTTTACCATGCAAAAGCTCTTTAGTTTAATTGAGTACCAGCTATTTATCTTTGTTTTTATTGCATTTGCTTTTGGGTTCTTGCTCATGAAATCATTGCCTAAGCCAATGTCTACAAGGGGTTTTCCAATGTTATCTTCTAGAACTTTTATAGTTTCAGGTCTTAGATATAAGTCATTAATCCCTCTTGAGTTGATTTTTGTATAAGGTGAGAGATGAGGATCCTGTTTCATTCTCCTACATGTGGCTAGCCAATTATCCCAGCATCGTTTGTTCAAAAGGGCATCCTTTCCCTACTTTATGTTTTTGTTTGCTTTGTCAAAGATCAGTTGGCTGTAAGTATTTGGGTGTATTTCTGGGTTCTCTATTGTTTTCCATTGCTCTATGTGCCTATTTTTATACCACTACCACGCTGTTCTGGTGACTACGGCCTTATAGTATAGTTTGAAATCAGGTAGTGTGATGCCTCCAAATTTGTTCTTTTTGCTTAGTCTTACTTTGGCTATGCAGGCTCTTTTTTTGGTTCCATATGAATTTTAGAATTGCTGTTTCTAATTCTGTGAAGAATGATGGTGGTATTTTGATGGGGATTGCACTGAATTTGTAGACTGCTTTTGGCAGTATGGTCATTTTCTCAATATTGATTCTACCCATCCATGAACATGGGATGTGTTTCCAATTGTTTGTGTCATCTATGATTTCTTTCACCAGTGTTCTATAGTTTTCCTTGTAGAGGTCTTTCGTCTCCTTGATTAGGTATATTCCTAAGTATTTGATTTTATTTTTACAGCTGTTATAAAAAAGGTTGAGTTATTGATTTGATTCTCCGCTTTGTCTTTCCTGGTGTATAGAAGAGCTACCAATTTGTGTACATTAATCTTGTATCCAGAAACTTTGCTGAATTCTTTCATCAGTTCTAGGAGCTTTCTGGAGGAGTCTTTAGGGTTTTCAAGGTAAACAATCATATTATCAGCAAACAGTGACAGTCTGACTTCCTCTTCACCGATGTGGATGCCCTTTATTTCTCTTGTCTGATTGCTCTGGCTAGGACTTCCAGTACTATGTTGAAGAGGAGTGGTGAGAGTGGGCATCCTTGTCTTGTTCCAGTTCTCAGAGGGAAGCTTTCAACTTTTCCTATTCAGTATTATGTTGGCTATGGGTTTGTCACAGATGGCTTTTATTACATTGAGATATGTCCCCTGTATGTCGATTTTCTGTTTGTGTGGTATATTGCGTTTATTGACTTGCGTATGTTAAATCATCCTTTCATCCCTGGTATGAAACCCACTTGATCATGGTGGATTATTTTTTTGATATGTTGTTAGATTCTGTTAGCCAGTATTTTGTTAAGGATTTTAGCATCTATGTTCAGCAAGGATATCAGTCTGTAGTTTTCTTTTTTGGTTATGTCCTTTCCTGGTTTTGCTATTAAGGTGAGGCTGGCTTCATAGAATGAATTAGGGAGGCTTTCTTCTTTCTCTGTCTTGTGGAATAGAGTCGAATTCTGCTGTGAATCCATCTGGTCCTGGACTTCTTTTGTTGGTAATTTTTAAATTAAGATTTCAATCACACTGCTTGTTATTGGTCTGTTCAGGGTATCTAATTCTTCCTGATTTAAGCTAGGAGGATTGTATTTTTCCAGGAATTTATCCATGTCTTCCAGGTTTTCTAGTTTATGTGTGTAAAGGTGTTCATAGTAGCCTTGAATAATCCTTTGTATTTCTGTGGTGTCACATCTTTTGTATTTCTGTGGTGTAATATCTCCCGTTTGTTTCTTAATGAGGTTATTTAGATTTTCTCTCTTCTTTTCTTAGTTAATCTTGCTAGTTGTCTATCAGTTTTATTTATTTTTTCAAAAAACCAGCTTTTGTTTCATTTATCTTTTGTATTTTTTTTTGTTTCAATTTCATCTAGTTCTGCTCTGATCTTGGTTATTTCCTTTCTACTGCTGGGTTTGGGTTTGGTTTGTTCTTGTTTCTATAGCTCCTTGAGGTGTGACTTTAGAATGTCAGTTTCTGCCCTTTCAGTCTTTTTGATAGGTGTTTAGGGCTATGAACTTTCCTACTAGTATCCCCTTTGCTGTATCCCAGAGGTTTGACAGGTTGTGTCATTATTGTCGTTGAGTTTGAATAATTTTTAAATTTCCATCGTGATTACATTTTTGACCCAATGATCATTCAGGAACAGGTTATTTAATTTCCACGTATTTGCATGGTTTTGAAGGTTGCTTTTGGAATTGATTTCCAGTTTGATTCCACTGTGGTCTGAGAGAGTACTTGATATATTTTAATTTTCTTAGATTTACTGAGGCTCGTTTTGTGGCCTATCATATGGTCTATCTTGGAGAAACTTCCATGTGCTGTTGAATAGAATGTGTATTCCGTGATTGTTGGATGAAATGTTCTGTACATATCTGTTAAGTCCATTTGTTCCAAGGTATAGTTTAAATCCATTGTTTCTTTGACTTTCTATCTTGATGACCTGTCTAGTACTGTCAGTGTAGTACTGAAGTCCCCCACTATTATTGTGTTGCTGTCTATCTCATTTCTTAGGTCTATTAGTAATTGTTGTATAAACTTGGGAGCTCCAGTATTAGGTGCCTGTATGTTTAGGATTGTGATATTTTCCTGTTGGACAAGGCCTTTTAACATTATATAATGGTCCCGCTGTGTCTCTTTTAACTGCTGTTGCTTTAAAGATTGTTTTGTCTGATATAAGAATAGCTACTGCTGCTTGCTTTTGGTGTCCATTTGCATGAAATGCCTTTTTCCACCCTTTTACTTTAAGTTTATGTGAGTCCTTATGTATTAGGTGAGTCTACTGAAGGCAGCAGGTAGTTCACTGGTGAGTTCTTATTTATTTTGCAGTTCTGTATATTTTAAGTGGAGCATTTAGGCCATTTACATTCAATGTTATTATTCAGATGTCAGGTACCATTGCATTCATTGTGCTATTTGTTGCCTGTGTACCTTGGTTTTTTCATTTTTTGTTTTTGCTTTTTAACTTGTATTTTTGTTTTATAGGTCCTGTGTGATTTATGCTTTACAAAGTTTTGTTTTGATATGTTTCTAGGATTTGTTTCAAGATTTAGAGCTCCTTTTAGCAGTTCTTCTAGTGGTGGCTTGGTAGTGGTCAATTCTCTCTGTATTTTCTGAAAGGCTGTATATATCTATCATATATGATAGAAATTTGCTGCATACAAAATTCTTAGCTGAAAATGGTTTCGTTTGAGGATACTGAAGATAGGGCCCCAGTCCTTTCTAGCTTGTAGGGTTTCTGCTGAGAAATCTGCTGTTAGTCTGATAGGTTTTCCTTTATAGGTTACCTGGTGCTTCTGTCTCACAGCTCTTAAGATTCTTTCCTTCATCTGAACTTTAGATAATCTGATGACAATGTGCCTAAGTGATGATCTTTTTGAGATGAATTTCCCAGGTGTTCTTTGTGCTTCTTGTATTTGAATGTCTAGGTCTCTGGGAAGGCCAGGGAAGTTTTCCTCCATTATTCCCCCCAAATATATTTTTCCAAGCTTTTAGAAATCTCTTATTCCTCAGGAACACTGATTATTCTTAGGTTTGGTTGTTTAACATAGTCCCAGCCTTCTTGGAGGCTTTGTTCATATTTTCTTATTATTTTTTCTTTGTCTTTGTTGGATTGGGTTAATTCAAAGACCTTGTCTTTGAGCTCTGAATTTCTTTCTTATACTTGTTCAATTCTATTGCTGAGACTTTCCAAAGCATTTTGCATTTCTATAAGTGTGTCCAGTGTTTCCTGCAGTTTTGATAGTTTTTTCTTTAAGCTATCTATTTCCTTGAATATTTCTCCCTTCACTTCTTGTATTGTTTTTTGGATTTCCTCACATTAGGCTTTGCCTTTCTCTGGTGCCTCTCCCTGATTAGCTTAATAACTAACCTCCTGAATTATTTTTCAGGTAAATCAGGGATTTCTTCTTGGTTTGGATCCATTGCTGGTGAACTAGTGTGATTTTTTGGGGGGTGTTAAAGAGCCTTGTTTGGTCATCTTAGCAGGGTTGGTTTTCTGGTTTCTTCTCATTTGGGTAAGCTCTGTCAGAGGGAAGGTCTACGGCTGAAGGCTGTTGTTCAGATTCTTTTGTCTCATGGCGTGTTCCCTTGATGTAATACTCTCCTGGTTTTCCTATAATTGTGGCTTCCTGCCAGCCGAACTGCAGCAATTGCTGTCTCTCTTCTGGGTCTAGCCACCCAGCAAGTCTACCTGGCTCCAGACTGGTACTGGGTATCGTCTGTACAGAGTCCTGTGATGTAAACCATCTATGGGTGTCTTAGCTGTGGACACCAGCACCTGTTCTCCTGGAGCTGGTGGTGGGGTCAAATGGACTCTGCAAGGATTCTTAGCTTTGGTGGTTTAATATCCTATTTTTGTGCTGGTTGGTCACCTGCCAGGAGATGGCACTTTCCAGGGAGCATCAGCTGTGGTAGCATGGAGAAGAACCAGTGGTGGGTGGGGCCCCAGAACTCCCAAGATAACATGCCATTTGTATTCAGCTACCAGGGTGGATAGGGAAGGCCCATCAGGTGGGGGCAGGGTTGGGTATGTCTTAGTTCAGACTGTCCTTGGGTGCGTCTTGCTGAGGCTGCTGTGGGGGATGGGGGGTGAGGTTCCCAGGTCAATGGAGTTGTGTACCTACGAGGATTATGGTTGCCTCTGCTGAGTCATGCAGGCTGTCAGGGAAGTGAGGGAAAGCCGGCAGTCGCAGGCCTCACCCAGCTCCCATGCAGTCCGAAGGGCCGGTCTCCTCCCACTGTGCCTCCCGTAACAGCCCCAAGTCTGTTTCCAGGCAGTGGGTGAGCAGAGCTGAGAACTTCCCCCAGGTTACCTGCTTCCCAGCTGGAAAGAAAGGGGCTTGGTTCTACCCCCGCCTGTGGAGAGTCTGCAGGACAGATTCGCACCCTCCCCTGAGTTCTGGCAAAGAGGCTTCTCACCCAGTTCAAATTGTTACAAAGTTCAGCTGGAGACTTCCTTCTCTCTGTGGTGTTTTTCCCTACTCCTCTGGCTTCCCTCCCAAAGGATGCCTGCGGTGCCAGGCAGGAATGGCCTGCTTGGGGACCCAGGGAGCTCCCAGGGCCTTTCCCACTGCTTCCTCTACCCCTGTATTTCACTCAGTTCTCTAAACTGACTCAGCTCCAGTTAAGGTCGGAAACTTCTCCTGCAAACAGACCTTCAATTTCTCCATTGCGGGTGTGTGTTCGGGAGAGCAGGATCTCCCTTTTCCACTTCCGCAGGTGGGCACTCACAGTATTTGAGGTGTTTCCTGGGTCCTGCAGGAGCAGTCTGCTTCCTTCAGAGGGTCTGTGGGTCCTCTCAGGATTGCTGGTTTGTTCTTGCAGTCGATCTGGAGCTAAAAATTCACGATGCAAGCCTCGGAATGCTGCTGTGTCCATCTGAGTCAGAGCCATGAAGATCCCATATTTTCTTTATCCAGTCTATCACTGATGGGCATTTGGGTTGATTCCATGTCTTTGCTATTGTGAATACTGCTGAAATGAACACACACATGCATGTATCTTTATAACAGAATGATTTGTATTCCTTTGGGTATATAAAGTAATGGGATTTCCAAGTCAAATGGTATTTCTGGTTCTACGTCTTTGAGGAATCACCACACTGTTTTCCACAATGGTTGAACTAATTTACATTCCCACTAACAGTGTAAATACATTCTTATTTCTCCACAGCCTTGCCAGCATCTGTTGTTTCTTGACTTTTTAATAATTGTCATTCTGACTATAGCATGAGATGGTATCTCATTGCAGTTTTGCTTTGCATTTCTGTAATGACCAGTGATGTTCAGCTCTATTTCGTATGTTTGTTAGCCACCTAAATGTCTTCTTTTGAGGAGTGTCTGTTCATATCCTTTGCCCACTTTTTAATGGGTTTGTTTCTTTCTTGTAAATTTGTTCCTTGTAGATTCTGGATATTAGACCTTTGTCAGATGGATAGATTATAAAAATCTTCTCCCGGCCGGGCGCGGTGGCTCACGCCTGTAATCTCAGCACTTTGGGAGGCTGAGGCGGGTGGATCACAAGGTCAGGAGATCAAGACCATCCTGGCTAACAAGGTGAAACCCCGTCTCTACTAAAAATACAAAAAAAAAATTAGCCGGGTGTGGTGGCGGGCGCCTGTAGTCCCAGCTACTTGGGAGGCTGAGACAGGAGAATGGCATGAACCCGGGAGGCGGAGCTTGCAGTGAGCTGAGATCGTGCCACTGCACTCCAGCCTGGGGGACAGAGCGAGACTCTGTCTCAAAAAAAAAAAAAAAAAAAAAAAACTCCCATTCTGTAGGTTGTCTGTTCACTCTGATAATACCTTCTTTTGCTGTGCAGAAGCTCTTTAGTTTAATTAGATCCCAATCTTTGCTTTTATTGCAATTGCTTTTGATGTTTTTGTCATGAAATCTTTGCCCATGCCTATGTCCTAAATGGCATTGCCTAGATTTTCTTCTAGGGTTTTTATAGTTTTGGTTTTACATTTAAATCTTTAAGCCATCGAGTTAATTTTTGTATAAGGTGTAAGGAAGGGATCCAGTTTCAATTTTCTGCATATGGCTAGCCAGTTTTCCCAGCAACATTTATTAAATAGGGAATCCTTTCCTCATTGCTTGTTTTTGTCAAAAATCAGATGGTTGCAGATATGTGGTCTTATTTCCAAGATCTCTATTCTGTTCCATTGGTCTATGTGTCTGTTTTTTGTAGCAGTACCATGCTGTTTTGGTTTCTGTAGTCTTGTAGTATAGTTTGAAGTTGGGTAGTGACACACACACATTTAAAAAGTATCCATGAACCTCTTCTACTGAGTGGTTTTATTATGGATAGATGTTGACTTTCATACTATTTTTTTCATAAAATCTACTACTATGATGAATTATATTAATGTGCTTCCTAATACTGAACCTAACTCATGTTTCTGGAATAAATCTCCTTTAATCATTCATTGATGTTTCTTTTTATGTGCTTTTTGATTTGGTTTTGCTAATTTTTATTTAAAACTCTTTTTTAAATGATTCCCATAATACTTGTTTATTTTTTTCTAACTTTTACTTTAGGTTCGGGGGACACGCACAGGTTTGTTATATAGGTAAAGTGCATGTCATGGGGGTTTGGTGTACAGATTATTTTGCCACCCAGGTAGTAAGGATAGGACCTGTTAGGTAGTATTTTTATCCTCATCCTCTTCCCACCCTCCATCCTCAAGTAGGTCCCAGTGTCTGTTGTTCCTTTCTTTGAGTCCATGTGTACTTAATGCTTAGCTCCTGCTTTTAAGTAAGAACATATGGCATTTGGATTTCTGTAAAATTCTTAAATTAATATTAATAAACTAGATTGAGCTATGGTTTTTACTTTTATGTGTAATCTTTGTCAGGCTTTATAGTTAATATTATATACATAAAACAAAATGGAAAGTTTCACTTTATTTTCAATGCTCTGGATTAACCTAAGTAGCACCAGGGCCATTTGATATCTGAAGGTTGGTAGATTTGACCCACGAATCAATCTTCCTGGTCCTTCTTTTTCAGGGAGCTCTTTTACACCTTCCTCTAATTTTTTCCTGTGGAAATTGCTCTGCCCAGTCTTTCTATCTCTATATGGTTTAATTTTGTTAGGTCATATTTTCCTAGAGATTTATCCATCTTAACTTGGTTTTCAAATTTATTTGAATGCAGTTAAAAAGATTCTTCCCATGGGCCTAAATCCCCTATATATCTCACTAAGGAAAATAAATGTTACTTGCTGAGTGCCCACAATTACATTGATCGTGCTTACTGCTTTAAGGGTGAGTTAACTCTCCTACAGGCAACAATTCCACAGGGACAGTGGTTTAGTTCCATTTTACTAAAGCCCAGAGTGCCCAGTGGCAGAGTAAGGATTCCCACATAGACTCACTTTGATCCAAAAGTCACCATTATTCCATCACACAATACTATCCCTTTACAATGGAACGGGGTGTCTTCAAAAGGTGTCAGGTCAAAACATCTGGTGCCTTTGAAATATATTATGTGCACAGATGCATGATTGGAAGCAAAACATTTCCTTTGTTGACACTCACTCAGTTGTACCTTCTCATAGTTTTCTCCCAGTATGGAAAGATGGAAGAAAAGTCTCTTCTAAAATTTACATATTTGGGAATAGCAGTAAGTGTAGGACCTACTGAAGCCTTCTCCTGTGTGCACTGAAATGATATACTCATCAATGGCATATAGAATTTTTCCAGGGTTCCTCCTATGACAGCAAGTGTACAGCTGTCATTACAGTCATGGGCTTATGATCCCAAAAAGGTTACAGACTGTTCATAAAAACTACAGATGCTCAATTTATGATGGGGTTATACACCAATAAACTTATCTTAAGTTGAAAATACATTAAGTTGAAATGAATTTAATATTCCAATAAATCCACCTTAAAGTTGAAATAAGTCGAACCATCATTAAGTCCAGATGCTCCTTGACTTACGATGGGGTAACCTCCCAAGAAATCTATCCTAAAGTTAGAAAATCCTAAGTCCAACCATTCTAAATTTGGGCTAGTTTGTAGACAATTCCTAAAGAATCCACAAGGAATAATAATCAATAGTTTTGAAGAAAAGACTTAATCACGAAAGTGAACTTTGTAAGGCCACGAAACATGGTGACACTTGTTCTGACTTGTAGAAAACTACAATCTTGCAACAGTGTAATGTGCCCACACCCTGAAAAGATCACCTTACAAGAGAACCTCCATGTCACAGAGATTATCTCATCCCTGAAAATGCGCAGCAGAGCTTGCCTGACAATTCTAAACCTTCAGCATTGGAATGCTTGCAAGTCCGCTTTGCTTTGAAAGATTTATGTTTTTATTCTTCAGGCTCACAAATCTAGCTGTTACACTGGCATAAAATATGTGCCTGAATCAGACCAATGTGCCATTGACAAGGGTTTAAAAAAAATCCAAAAACCTTACAAATCAGGTTGCTACTTTTCCTATTGATTCCAATCATTAAATCAGTTCTTCTGGGTAAAGGCACCTTATTTTCAAGGAAAAGACAGCCTAATGGGTCAGCCTCTTTTCCCGGCCTGCCATTGTCATTGTGACAAGTGGTGGGGCACACTTTGCGTATTGAGCTGTCACCCCAACCTACTTGCTTCCTTCTTCTGTCTGTGAAGGCTGCCCTGGAGGACAGGGTTCATGTTTTATTTGTCTTAACATCACCACAAGCTGGAATATACAGGATAATAAGTATGCTGAATAAATGAACAAAAGGAAACTAAAAACACTAAACCTACCTTCATGCTCCATTCTGATGGGCAGACATGAAAATACCCAAAATTCCACCTAGATTGGAATCAGTACTCTAATACTGCTTACAAGTAAACCCATTGGAATATAAGAAAGGAACAGTTCTCTGTGCCTGGCAGATGAAGACAGCTGAAGGTAAGATAAATTTTTTAGGAGGATTAAGGAAAAGTCCAAAGAGGGCATTCTGGGCTGGATGAGCAACATGGGTGGTGGCCGGGCACAGATACCCCAGTGTCTCCAGGAGAGCCGGTGGCCAAAAGGCTGGGGGTGAAGGTGAGGGCCAGCCCTGGGGCTGCCAGGGTGAGTAGCTTACCTATGTTATGAGGCCAGTGGGAGGCTGATAAGAGTTTCAGAAGACAGAACTGACAGGAATTACATACTTTAGGAAAATAAATGAAGATACAAAAAATTGACATCCAGAGCCTAGAAGGCAACGGGCAGGTGCTAGCCCAGCTTCTTAGATGTTGTCCACTGCATACGCTTGCACCTACTGCAGACTGAATCTTGGTTTATCAGGGAGCAGTTGAGACCCTGGATTTCAGAAAAGAAAGACAAAATTCCTAGCACCCAGGGATGAAATGCAATTGGTAAAAGCCCATTATTCCCTGACCTGTGATTCACCAATCTGCATGTGCCATGCTGGACGACGATCCAGTCTACCTGATGGAAATGGTTGGGTTTCCAACTGGTTGGGTTTAGAGGAAAGCACTTGCTTACCTGATGGAAAGAGACAGGCTTAAATGGAATAGTCCTTTCTCGTGATGCCTTTCCCCTTCTTTCTGCCTTGAGTGAGGAAATAACATCTGCAAGTCCACCCACCATTCTGGGAGTATAAAACATGATGCAAGAGGACAAAACCCAAGAAAAGTTGGGTGGAGTAGGAAGCTATTTCCGATGGTATCATGGAACACTTGCACCAGCCGTAGACAGTCCACCCCTGGACTTCTTATTATAATTCTCATCTAAGTATCTACTTTTTCAAGCCAGTTAAGTCAAATGTCTGGTTACTTGTAGCTGAATGTATTCCTAATTGAGAGATAAAGGTAAAATGACTCAGATGTCTGAACTAGAAAAGAGGCAATAGAAAAAAAAAAAACCCAAGGCAAATACCATTTATAAACATAGATTTACAACTTAAAGATTAGCAAATGAGTCCAAAACACAGAAAAAGAGATAAAGAGACAAATTAGAGCCTTGGAGCCGCTGCAGCCATCTTGGGTGCTTGGTTGTGGGGGTTATTAGGGTGGAAGGAGTTGAGTCTGTGGGGTTCTGGAGATGCCATTACCAACCCTGGAGTGCCTCATTCTCGTACATGTGAGAGAAGTGAATTCTCCTCTTGTTAAATCTGCCATAATGTCTCCTCTCTGTTACTAACAGCCAAACATGATTCTCATGCCAATACACTATCTTAACAAATTTGAGGAGAAAAACCATATGGTCATCTTAAAAGATGCCAAAAAGCCCAGTTATTCATTATACCAAGTTGAAACAAACCAGGAATAGAAGGAACCTTTTTTCTACTTATTAAATGATATTGATTCTAATTTTTTAGGACTTATCAGACCTAATAATGAAAACTTTAGAAGCATTTCCATCAAGGTTTAGAACAAACTCATGACTAAGTATTATAACAAATGAGAACATTTTAAATGGCTGGAACAAGATCAACATCCAAAAATCAACACTTTTCCTACATGTCAACATTAGCCAAGTTAGAATTTTAAAAACAACACAAAAAAATCTATTTCATAATAGCCAACCAACCCCCACCAAATCTCCTGTAAGTTAATTAGGAAAAACACACAAAAAGAAGGAAACCTAAATAATAAATCTTTAATGAGGTATAGAAAGAGAACTTCAATAAATGGATGGGAAGACTATATTGTTAAGATGCCAGTTCCTCTCTAATATGTATAATAAATTGAATGCAATCAATACAGAATTTTTTGTGGAAGCTGACAAACAGTTTCTAAAACTTAGAAGAATAAGCCAGTAATTCCAAGACAATTTTGAAGAAAATAAGTTGCATGTTTGTTCTCCCACACTTCACACATAAAGATATTGTGACTAAAGTGATGGATACACAGGGACAGACAGAGACACATGGACCCGTGGAGGAGAACAGAAAATGCAGAGATGTGTGAGGGTAATGGGGGAAGAGAGAGAATTTGGTAGATGATAATGGCAGATGCCCTTAACTTCCCATCCAATACCCATTCCCCTTCCTTATTGCCAACAGACCTTTGCTTTTGCTCATGGCTACAATGTGCTCAGCCCCATGTAGTAAATCCACGGGCTTAATACATGGGCTGATGATTGGGCTAAGTGAATCAAGACAATTCTGACTTCTGCTTTACCAGTTTTTCCTGCAGCTAAAAGTATCCATGTGGCCAGTTCTTTCTCCTCCATGAGCTGCCAAAATGCAATAGGAAATCTGCTAGGCTACTTTTGGCAAATGTTTTGCCTTCCTAAGAGGTATGCATAGAATCCTCCCACCTTGAAGTGATGTGATACGAGAAGCTGTGCTGGCCTGTGACCATGAGGGACGGGTCAAGAGAACCTGAAAGATGCTGCCATGACATCACTGAGCAGTCAACCCAATGGTGCACTGGCTCCCAACTCTGTCTTGTGAAATTAAACATCTCCGACGAAGCTGAAATCATCTCTAACTGACAGAATGACACACGTGGGGAATACTAAATTTCTAAAAATCCTGTGGGAAAAGGACCACATTATAAAATTTATAAAATAAGTTGGAAACCTAATTGGAAAAAATAAAGCAAGATTCCCTACATCATATCACTGACCAACAAATTTCACAGGAATTAAATACACATAGACAAGAAGTAAAACTGTAAGTGTGCCAGAGAAAAGTATAGGTGAATACATTTATGACCTTGTGGTAATAAAGTGTGCTGGAGACCCTGCCTGATGTTGACCATGGCCCTTGCCTTTGTGTTTCTAGGTCACATTTCTTGGCCTCCCAAGGCCAAGCAAGGTGTGGCCACGTGACTTAAGTTCCATCAAAATAGAATATGGCATGGAAGGAACCTGAGCCATTTCCAGGCCTGGCCCCAGTCTCCCACTGCATCCCCACTTCTCCCTTATCTCTTATTTGCCAGCTCAGCTCATTAGAGAGGATTCAGCAGGGAGTCAGTGACCCCAGGGGATAGTAGAGCTGCTGGATGGGAGAAATGTGGGTCCCTACATGATGGTGTGGTCTCTATCAGGCTGGCACATGGCAAGAAATAAAGCTGCCTTGTGTTAAAGTGCTGAGATTTGTGGGGATGTTCATTTTAGCATTTAGCCAGCCCTAACTAATAAATAAAGCCTTTTTAAGAGCTAAAAAGTGAAGGTCCATCCAATATGGTTTGGCTGTGTCCCCACCCAAAATGTCATCCTGAATTGTAATCCCCATAATCCCCATGTGTCAAGGGTGGGATCAGGTGGAGGTAATTGGATCATGGGAGTGGTTTCCCCCATGCTGTTCTCATGATAATGAGTGAGTTCTCACGAGATATGATGGTTTTTATAAGTGCCTGGCATTTCCCCTGCTTGTATTTCTCCTTCCCGCTGTCCTGTAAAGAAGGTATCTTGCTTCCCCTTCACCTTCCACCATGATTGTAAGTTTCCTAAGGACTCCCCAACCATGCTGAACAGTGAGTCAATTAAATCTCTTTCCTTTGTAAATTACCCAGTCTCAGGCAGTTCTTTATAGCAGTATCAAAACAGACTAATAGAGTAAATTGGTACCACAGAGAGTGGGGCGCTGCTATAAAGATACCCAAGAATGTGGAAGTGACTTTAGAACTGGGTACAGGCAGAGGCTGGAACAGTTTGGAGGGCTCAGAAGACAGGAAGATGTGGGAAACTTTGGAACTTCCTAGACTTGCTGAGTGGCTTTGATCAAAATGCTGACAGTGAGATGGATAATCAAGTCCAGGCTGAGGTGGTCTCAGATGAAGATGAGGAACTCGTTGGGAACTGGAGCAAAGGTGACCCTTTTTATGCTTTAGCAAAGAGACTGGTGGCATTTTGCCCCTACCCTAGGGATCTGTGGAACTCTAAACTTGAGAGAGATGATTTAGGGTATCTGGTGGAAGAAATTTCTAAGCAGCAAAGCGTTCAAGAGATGACTTGGTGCTCTTAAAAGCATTTAGTTTTATTCATTCACAAAGATATGGTTTGGAATTGGAACTTATGTTTAAAAGGAAGCAGAGCATAAAAGTTCAGAAAATTTGCAGCCTGACAATGCGATAGAAAAGAAAAACCAATTTTTTGAGGAGTAATTCAAGCTGGCTGTAGAAATGTACGTAAGTAATGAGGAGCCAAATGTTAATCACCAAGACAATGGGGAAAATGTCTCCAGGGCATGTCAGAGGTCTTCACAGCAGCCCCTCCCATCACAAGCCAGGAGGCCTAGGAGGAAAAAAGCGGTTTTGTGGGTCGGGCCCAGGGCCTTGCTGCTTTGTGCAGTCTTAGGACTTGGTGCTCTGTGTCCCAGCTGTGGCTAAAACGGGCCAATGTACAGCTCAGGTTGTTGCTTCAGAGGGTGCAAGCCCCAAGCCTTGGCAGCTTTCATGTGGTGTTTGGCCTGCAGCTGCACAGAAGTCAAGAATTGAGGTTAACCTCTGCCTAGATTTCAGAGGATCTATGGAAATGCTTGGATGTCCAGGCAAAAGTTTGCTGCAGGGGCAAAGCCCTCATGAAGAACCTCTGCTAGGGCAGTGCAGAGGGGAAATGTGGGGTCACAGCCCCCATACAGAGTCCCCACTGAGGTACTGCTTAGTGGAGCTGTGAGAAGAGAGCCACTATGCTTCAGATCCCAGAATGGTAGATCCACCAACAGCTTGTACTGTGCACCTAGAAAAGTTGCAGACACTCAACACAAGGCTGTGAAAGCAGCCAGGAGTGGGTCTATACCCTGCAATACCACAGGGATGGAGCTGCCCAAGGCTATAGGAGCTCACCTGTTCCATCAGCATGACCTGGATGTGAGACATGGAGTCAGAGGAGATCATTTTGGAACTTTAAGGTTTAACATTGCCCTACTGGATTTTGGACTTGCATGGGGCCTGCAGCCCCTTTGTTTTGGCTAATTTCTCCAATTTGGAATGGCTGTATTCACCCAATGCTTGTACCCCCATTGTATCTAGGAAGTAACTAATTTGCTTTTGACTTTACAGGTTCATAGGCAGAAGGGACTTGCCTTGTCTCAGATGAAATTTTGGACTCGGACTTCTGGGTTAATGCTGGAATAAGTTAAGACTTTGGGGGACTGTTGGAAAGGCATGATTATGTCTTGAAATGTGAGAACATGAGATTTGATTTGGAAGGGGCCAGATGTGGAATTCTATGATTTGGCTATGTCCCCACCCAAAATCTTATCTTGAATTGTAATCCCCATGTGTCAAGGATGGGACCAGGTGGAGGTCATTGGATCATGGGGGTGGTTTCTCCCATGCTGTTCTCATGATAGTGAGTGAGTTCTCCTGATAGTGAATGAGTTCTCATGAGATATGATGGTTCTCTAAGTGCCTGGCATTTCCACTGCTTGCATTTCTCCTTCCTGCTGCCCTGTAAAGAAATGTGCTTTGCTTCCCCTTCACGTTCAGCCATGATTGTAAGTTTCCTGAGGACTCCTCAGCCATGCTGAACTGTGAGCCAATTAAACCTCTTTCCTTTATAAATTACCCAATCTTGGGCAGCTCTTTATTGCAGTGTGAAAACAGACTAATACACCATCAAAATAAAGTTGATAAAACTGATAATAGCAAAAACCAAAGACAATAAACAAAGTTCTGTATGAGAAAAAAATCATAGATATTTTAAAGTTATATAACAGAATAAGAAATTCTGGAAAAAACATAAAAACAAGGGATTGATATTCAAAGGACGAATTAAAAAATTTACATATTATATGAATATGTAATTTACAGAAAACTCAAATGACTAGTCAACAAATGAAAAGAGAATCAACCTTAGTCGTAATGATGAAAATACAAATTAGACAAGATAATCACTAACCACCCTCACCCAAGCCCTCATGCATCAAATTGGCAAGGGAAAAAAAGCCTGAAAACATCAAGTCCTGGTGAAGTGAAATTGGTAGTTTTTAACACTGCTAGTAGGGGAATATTGGGCTAGTGGTGAGGTCAGCAGGGGGCATTTTTTTAGGATCTAAAATTGTTTTTAATATAGAATACACATTTTAATATAGAATACATATATAGAATTGTAACTGTACAATTCTGCCTCTCAGTATCTTGCTGAGAGAACACTCTGCTTATGTGTACAAAGAGGCATGTCTAAGGATGTTCCCTACAGCATAGCTGGAAATGTAAAAAAAGTTTGTCCATAGGAGACTGGCTGAATCAAGCCTATTATATCAGTACCTGGACTACATTACAGGTGTCAACATGAAAGTGTCTCTAAGACACATCAGAATATTAATGTGTTATAGCATGGTTAAACAATACTAACAGGAAAAAGGTCTCATGGGTAGAAAACTGTCCAGAAGGAAAACTGGCTATGGTCATGAGGGCTCTTAGGAGCTCAGGACCCGGGAGGGAAGGAGCAGGACACTCATCTCTACTTTAAGGCCTCCCAAACTCTTTGCCCCCTGCTCACATAATAAACCATACTTCAAGCATCATTTCCTACTGAAGCTATTAAATAAGATACAAGAAATGACAGGGGTCTGGGCTCCAGCATGGAAGCAGATGCAAGCAAGAGAAGAGTAGAAAGGTGCACTTTGTTTAGCAGCTGAAGTGATGTGGGCTGGAGAATCCATGCAGGCTGTGCTGGCACAAACCCCGGGGAAAGGCAGGGCTAGTTTTGAGTTGAGGTTTTGCCATTCTCTTCAAGTGTGGTCTTTAGGAAGTCACTAAACCCCTGTGAATCCACTTCCCCATCAATACATGCGGAAGATACCATATCTTTCTTAGAACTTTGTTAAGTTTAAATAAACCTAAATAAAAACATACTATTGGTCTGCCTGCCTGTCTGTCCACCTATCATCTATCTTCAATCTATATTCTATCTCTCCCTTTCTTGTTCCACACACCTACCTACCTACCTATGTATCTTTTGATATATATTTTTTCCTGTCCGTATGTATCTATCTTTCTTATTAATTTTCTCATTGTCTGTCTGCCTTCCTCTTTCCTGATTTTCTGTCTCCCCTTCTGTTGGTCATGTGTCTGCTAAGTAGATGTCTAACTATCCATGTTTCTTTCTTTCTGCCATCCTGTCTATTTCTACCTGTCTCCATCCATCCATCCATCCATCCATCCATCCATCCATCCACCCATGCACCCACCCACCCACCCAGCCACCCACCTATGCATGTTTCTGGGTGTCTATTTGTCAGTATGTCTGTATGTCTTTGTGTTATATATCTGTCTATATGACTACCTGTCTGTCTCTCTATGCTGGAAACTCTGTTTTTCTGTCTGTCCATCTGTAACCTCAATGTTTTTCCTTCTTGTCTGTATGTCTTTCAACCTATCTTGTTTGTCTGCATATCTACCCATATGCCTATGAATGTATTTATCTGATTATCCAAAACCTGCCTGAATGTCTGTCTATATATCCCCCTCCCTCCTTTCCTTTCTCCCTCTATACCTTTCTGTCTGACTGTGTTTCACTGTCTAATAATGACTGTCTAATTTCTCTTTGACAGTCTAATTTCTATTGACCACTGTTGACCTACCTTCATGGTGCTTGACACAGAGCAGAGCCTCACTCAAGGCTAGTTTACTTCCCCCTTTTCAGTTCCTTTCACTCCTTCATTGCTCCATTCCTACACTCAGCTGCCATTAACTGGGCCATTGCTCTGTGTTATGTGCTAGGGATACAACCTAAAATTAGGCAGGGTCTCTACCTTCTAAGAGTATTTGGGCTGCTGGCCTAAAAAACAAATTAATGAGGCAGTTATATGATGCTTAGAGCTATGAGAGACAAGATGGTGTCAGGCACAAGGGAAGGGCACCCATGCTAGACTGGAGTGGAGGAGAGAGTGAGAGAGGCTCTGAGGAAGTGACTTCTCATCTGAAAACCACAGAGGACTGGGGATTTTGCAAAATAGAGGGCTGAGCTCCATGTAATTGGGGAAGGGGTATGGACAGTGGTGCAAAGCCAGGAAAAGGGAACGGGGTCCATGTAGACCTGGAGAACAACAGAGCCAGGACACAGTCAAAAATTCTAACTAAGCAATTCACAAAATTCAGACAAGAGAGACCAAAATTGACCTAAATAAATAGAGAGATGTATTGTTTTTATGGATTTTAAGATATACCACAGTTAAGATGTCAAGTATAGTCACACTGATCTATAAATTCAATGCAATCCCAGTCAACACTCCAGCAGGTTTCTTTGTAGGCACAGACAAGCTGATTCTAAATTTATATAGAAAGACAAAGAAACTAGATTAGCCAAAACAACACTGAAAAAGAAAAAAGTTAGAGGACTCACACACTTGATTTTAAGATGTGTTATAAACCTCCTGTGGCCAAGACAGTATAGTATTGGGATAGTAAAGGATAGACACGTTTATTACCAAAACAAAAGACAACTGATTTTTGACAAAGGCACAAAGACAATTCAATGGAGAAAAGATAGACTTTTCCAAAAAATGATGCTGGAGCAAATGGACTTCAGTAAAGTAAACTCAATCTACATCTTAACACCATATATAAAAATTAACTCTGAATGGATCATAGACTAGGTGTGCCTGTATGTTTAGGTGTCCATGTGTGAGCATGTGCATGCATGTGCTGTGTGTGTGCGTGTCCATGAGTGTGCATGTGTTTAATAGTGTGTATGTGTGTTTGTGACTTCTGTGTGCATGTTTATGTTGAGTGTGTGTGAATATATGTGCATGTTTGCATGCACATGTGTGTGTGAATGTATGTGCACATTCGCATAACTGTGTGTGACTGTGCATGTTAAAAAGGGACACAGGGAAGGGTGTCTAAGGGACATTTGGTTAGAAATTCCAGTGGGCTGGTTGCTTATACTTGGAAGTTTCCAGACCACTTAGAGTTCCACTTAGAGTAAGTGAAACCAAGAGAGTCGATGGCAGTGGCTCTTTCCATTAAGAAAAAAGAATTAAGATTTCACAAATACAGGAGAATTTCAGCTTTTGGGCTTTCTCATCGGCCCATATTAGTGGACTACTTACACATGTCAGCGACTGGTAAAATTCAGTGTTTCATTTTAGTGTCTATCTTTTCAAATAGAATAAACAACTTTCCCAAATAAAAAAATAAACATAAAGGAAATAAATATCTGTCATCATGTATGGCTCTGAACTTTTAAAATAGATAACAGTGAGATAGGTGGATTCTGAAGAACCCACCCAACTTTCTATAATACCCTGTCAACTTTATGACCTAATAGATTAATCTACTAATTGTTTTCTTCTTTAGTTCCCTGGGTTTTCATTTTTAGTCACTAGAAACACTTATACAAATACAAATCCACGCAGGCATTCCAAAAATTCCTGGGGACAATTTATGTGTAGTCTCTGGTTCTCACTGCCTCAGTTTTGAAATGAGGATAGCAGTTCCTATTTTAATATGGTTGTGGTGGTGATTACATAGCATAGTGCCTGGCACACAGCAAGTACCAAAAAAAGGATAGGTACCTCATAAATATATACATCTACTATACACCCATAGAAATAAAAAAATTAAAAAGATAGGTATGATTATGATTATTGTGGTCATTATTTATGTATTTATTTGCAACATATTCTTAGACTAATAACCTTGGAAACCTAATAAAACCGTCTGGAGTTCTATTCCTTCAGAAGATTTGCTTTTGGTACTTTTTATATCAAAATAACATATAATTTTTAAAAGGTTGGTTCTGAATTGAAACTGATGACTATGAAGTCCAAGTTTATAGGATCAGCTGTTTGAGTCAGAAAGAAACTGCATTCTTAAGCAGAAAATTTATTTGTCCACACTCCCCTGAGGAAAGAATGCTAAAGCCAATTTCATTCAAACACTAAGCATTGGCTCAAGACCAAATAAGAAGCATTGCAGCCCTGGATGATGTAGCCACAGTAAGTTGGAAGCAATTGATTTCAACAAAGAAAACGATTTTGCTACTGGCCAAGGATGGGGAATCTTTCTGACCTGCACATTGTCTCCACAAATAACGTGCCTCTAGTTAAGCCTCCCTAATCAATGGCCAAGGATGCAATTACAGTTGCAGAGAAGTGGAACTCAAATGGAGTGGGAATAAAGAAAGGAAGATTAATAAATAATAGGAAAGGGGGAGTAGAGAAGCAGGAGAAAGGAGATGGGAGAAGCCGGCAAAGATGAAACACAGCTCTGCTGAGAAGCATATATCCAAGAACAATCAACACTATAAATTTCATGGATGCTGCATCAGTTACCTATTGCTGTGAAACGACAACTCCCAGATTTAGGGACTTAAAATAACACATATTCATAATCTCACCATTTCTGTGGGGCAGGAGTCAGAGTGCACCTTAGCTCAGGGTCTCTCACAAGGCTGCAACCAAAATGTGAGTTGAGGCTGCAGTCTCGTCTGAAGGCTCAAATGAGGAAGCATTCTCTTCCAAGCTTACTCATGTGATCATTCACAGAATTGTTTCTGAGGGTTGTTGAACTAAGAAGCTCAGTTCTTTGCCACGTGGGCCTTTCCATAGGTGAGATCACAACATCAGAGTTGTTTCATCAGAGCAACCATGTGAGAAGAGTCAGAGAGAGCCTGAGCAAGACAGAAGTCACAGTGTTTGTATCCTGGTCTTGGAAGTGACATCTGTCACTTCTGCTGTATTTTGTTTATTAACAGCAAGTCACCATGTCCAGCCCACACCCAAGGGCAGGGGACAACACAAAGATGCGATGTCAAGAGGCAGGAATGGTTGGGAGCTGTGTCAGAAGCTGCCTCCCACACATGGCCTTGCAGTATCTACACCGGAGCTCAAGTGCATTGTGCAGGCCAAAAAGCAGCACCTTCACCCGGTGCTACGTGATCACTCACAACTTGTCAATCACCATATTTTAGCTGATTGTTATGGAAACGTTGATTCCAAACTTGAAAAAGGGAAAAATGATGATTTCTGGAATCTGTGATATTCTACTAGAATGCAAATAAGTCTGACTGATCCCATTTGGAAGCTCTTGAGCAGTGTGACAAATATTTATCTAATCATTCACAATTGGTTAAATAAAGAGGTTTATAGCCCTGTGAGATTAGCCTGCAGAATTGATAGCTTATGACTTTTACTGCCTAGTAAACAAGTTAACTCCAAATTTGGCATTTTTTTCATTGCTTTGTAGAGGTTTGCCTTAACTTAGCATCTTATTTCCACATTTGTTTCCCAACAGAACTTAAAAATCCCAGTTACTGGCTGGGTGCGGTGGCTCACGCCTGTCATCCCAGCACTTTGGGAGACCAAGGCGGGTGGATCATGAGGTCAGGAGATCAAGACTATCCTGGCTAACATGGTGAAACCCTGTCTCTACTGAAAAAAACAAAAAACAAAAAACAAAAAAATTAGCCGGGCGTGGTGGTGGGCGCCTGTAGTCCCAGCTACTCGGGAGGCTGAGGCAGGAGAATGGTGTGAACCCGGGAGGTGGAGCTTGCAGTGAGCCGAGATCGCACCACTGCACTCCAGCCTGGGTGACAGAGCGAGACTCCATCTCAAAAAAAGATCTCAGTTACCAAATGCTTGTGGAGCCAGATCATTTGTCTTTTCGCTGGTTCCCTTACTGATGAGTTAAATAAAGCTTTGGAACATGGCAACAGATGACTTTGCCTGAGAATTGAGCTTTCGCATGCTCTAGGAGTAAACCAGAACCAAGATGTACATAGGGAATTCAGCAAAGTGCTGAATAGACACTGGGTTCCTGGCCTTCTCTTGACTGGCTGACCCACCTTCACACACTTATGGGACACAATCTCTGTGTGGATCGCAAGCCCCCAGGGGATTTAAGAACTGCCCTCAGGGTGTGTCTTCAAGCCTTTTGTGAATTTATACTTATGCCATCTCACGGGGGACTGTGTCTCTTTCCATGGCTCAGCACCAGGGCTTTGAAGAGTAAGCCCCAAAACCAAGTTCTGAGTATGAGGGTTTCCTGGCTGGTGATGCTGTTGAACCCACACTGGGGAACACATACTTCCGGGCTGCTGCTGTGCAGGAGAAGGGAACAGGAAGAGGGAGACGCAGGGAGGGGCCTGGCCCAGCGCCGTGGAGGAGGAGGGGTCCTTTTCCCCTGAGTGTGGCCAAGCACCTGCAAGCCTCCTGGGAGTGGGCCTCTCTGCAGGGGCTTTGCCTTGGCTTCCAGCCACCTCCATTTGGTTCTCCAGCACACAGGCCATGAGTGTGGAGCTCACTCAAGACTAGAGAGCTCAGGTTTCCAAGTGGACAGACATTCTGCAGGATGTGCTTTGGGAAACTGAAAAAAAGCAGCCCTGATATTTCCATCCACACACTCAGGTGAAACTCAGTGATTTCCTTGGTGTTGATGCAGAACCAGAGGTTTGCTTTCACCTGCACTTCACTCCTCCCATAACCTTTGGGTTTGCTCCTGGGAAAGCAGAAAAGCCACAGTCCCATCTCCAAGGAGGAGATCCAGAGGACGAGGAGACAAGCAAGGATTCCTGGCATGTAAACAGCTGGTAAGAAGGAAAAAGGAGATGTGGAAAGGCTTCAGGGAAGCCTGGGGCTGGAGCCTACCAGAAGAGTCCTCCGGTCCTGGCAAACCCCAGGCTGGCTGGGTTGATATCGCCCCAGAAAGCAGGGGAACCCCACAGGGCCATCCCTTCAAGCTCAGCCCGACAAGAAGCCGACAGAAAGCATGTCATCTGGATGCAGGACACAGAGCGGTCTTCTCTGTGAGCACCAGCTCTCATCTGCTTTTAAGAGTTGTGGGGAAGAAAATGAGGCAAGTAACCTTTTCAGAGGAAGTATTTTTAAGATACTAACATGTTTTCCAACAGCAATTTTTTTGAAGACTCAGTCTAATTCATATTCGTGTACAGCTTCTAAAATAACCTATATTTTCACAAACTGTTTTCTTGGTAAAATTTTCAAAACATTCTCAAGGAAGATGCATTCTGTGGCAATGGTATGCCAATAAAACTAAAAGGACTTGATTTAAATAGAAAAAAAAAACCACACATAATCTTCAGATAAAAAGCCCAATTGGTTACTGACTGAAAGGCAAACCTGACAACAGACCAGGGAGGTTCAGGCCTAGCGAGGGGAGGCAGTTAAGGCTGACCGAGAGCAGGAGGAGGAAGCCGATGGGGGAGTGCACATCGGGACAGTGTTCGCTGATGAATACTTCCTGCCATAGTGGTTTCATTCCCTATGCAACCTTTTAACTGCAGGGACACAGAGCGTGGGGCCTCTGCACTGTCACTCAGATTTATTAGCATTTTTGCTAAAGGTCTTATAAGAGATCTCAGGAATAAAAGCAGCATCCAGTGGCTCTAGCCCATGTTTCCTGTGTCTGATAATAATTAACAGCTACTGCTTAGCAAGGACAGCCAAAGGCTGTACCCTCTGCCATATGCCTCCTGCGATGGTCACTCCCAGTCTCCTAATTGTAATTATAAGGACACTGAAGGTTTGTGAGGAGAAATGTTTGCTTGCAGTCACCAGGCTGTTGTATGACAGAGACAAGATGCATACCTAGATGCCTATCTGAATGGTCTAACTTCAGAGTCCTCCTCTTGACCACCTCAGTATATGCTTCCCTTGTGTGATGACCCCACAACCACAGAAAATGTGAAACATGAAGGACTATGTGACAAAGAAAGTCTGAGGTCCCAATAAACTAATGGGTTAAAAATCATAACACAACCATTAAGGGATGCTAAGATCACTGGATGAAAATCAGCCAGGGAAGAGAATGTTCACAGGGCTTCAAAGTTTGCCCCATTGCTTACTAGTAAAAGACAAAGAATGTAAAAAGTGACTTTACAGGCTGGACATGGTGGCTCACACCTGTAATCGCAGCACTTTGGGAGGCCAAGGCAGGTGGATCACCTGAAGTCAAGAGATCGAGACCATCCTAGGCAACATGGTGAAATCCCATCTCTACTAAAAATACAAAAATTAGCTGGGCGTGGTGGCAGGCGCCTGTAGTCCCAGCTACTCGCGAGGCTGAGACAGGAGAATCGCTTGAATCCGGTAGGTGGAGGTTGCAGTGAGCCGAGGTCGTGCCACTGCACTCCAGCCTGGCGACAGAGCGAGACTCCATCTCAAAAAAAAAAAAAAAAAAGTAACTTTATAAAGAGAACTCTTGTAGAAACGACCTTAGCCCAGTGAACAAACTTATCACCATGAGCCACGGTGTGCCCACTGATGTGCTGGAAAGAGAAATGGAGGAAATGTCTATCTTAATCTAAGTACGAGGAAATAATCAGACAGGTCCAGATTGTGCAGCACTCCATAAAACAAGTGGCTCAGACTCTTCAAAGACGTCAACATCACGAAAGAGAAAAACGAAAGCAGGCCTTTAGTTCTGATAAAAAGAGGCATAACTGAATTCAGTGAGTGATACTTAATTGAACACTAGGCAGGGAAAAACAGCTATGATGAATATTTGGGGGACAATCAGGGGTATCTGGGTAGGGACAACATATTTGGATAATATCACTTTATCAATATTGTATTTCACAGTGGTAATAGTGCTGTACTTTTGTAGAAGGTAGCTGTGTACTTAGGAGATGATGCCAAAGTGTGTCATGATGTCAGCAACTTACTTTCAAATGATTCAGACAAAAAGAATCAAACACACACAAACACATATTTACCACCTGTGTGTGTCTGTTTGTGTATAAACAATTGGTAAATCTGGGTGAAGAATTACGGGTGTTCACTTTTCTATTCCTTCAAGTTTGCTGTAGAATTAAAGCTTATAAAATAAAAAGTAGGCAAGAAGGTATATAAAAATTTTGTTCCAAGAGTCATAAAGCAAAAGAATGGCTATGCTCTCAGTCAGATTAAAATTGTATTATTGGATAAGAAGTAACAGGAAACAGTAAAAGTAAAAATAATTAGTGTGTTAAGATAATGGCACTATTTTTCTTTTGCTTATAATATTTAAAAAATCAATAATGGTTGCAACAGATGACAAATTTTGCACTGGTATAAATCAAGTCACTTGTCAATCACTACAGTTGTTTTTTTTTTCCTTTTAAAGAATAATGCCTATTATTCCAATCTCAAATTCTAATGCAGTATGAAATACATTTCATGACTCTTTCTCAATGAACCTTACACTTTATCTGGGCTTTAGATCTGATTTCCAGGGAGTCCACAGAACCACTACCAGCTCTATTGTCAGAGGCGGTGACTGCACTTGCCCCTTTGGCCTGCCATTAAGGCCCCACGAACACAGGACTTACTTTTCAGACACCTGATTCTGGAGGTGTGTGGCAGTCAGGCATGCAGGCCAACACTGCGCCGTCCCTGCTGGAAATGGCCCATTGTTGCCCCAGTGGAAGGTGAGACCACAGCGCCTGAGAACACTGGAAAAGACAGTGAGAATAAAAGAGAATGTTCACACTTCATGGGAAGTGAGAATTAACAATTTCAATTTTAGGATTAATTTTTTATATTTTAAAAATTAAATATTAATGTTTCAAATTTTTAAATGATTTTAAATATTTAACATGCATTTGAAATTGGCTGGTGAATCCCACACCCCCGAATCCCACTCCCAACACACGATCCCACCCTTTAATTTTTAAATGAATGTCCCATCAGGAGACAGATGAGGATCAATGGGAAAAGTCTCATCTGGTGGACTTAACAGACGTGGCGGTGAGCTCAGAGCCCCTAGAAGCTGATGTGCCAGGGGAGGGGACTGTGCTTCTCAGCGGGGCTCGAACACTGAACTCTGACTTCTGAGATTCTGGTAGAGAGGTTCTGGGGGTGTGATCTGCAGGGAACCTCAAAGTGAGGGGGCTGTTCATATTCCACACAGTGGAACCAGGTACACCCCATCTCGACTGGGCATCCCCTAGGTCAGCAGATGTCTGTATATTTTTACCTTTTTAGGCCATTTATTTTATCTAATAACTTATACATAAAATTTAATTTTTACTCAGTCAAATAACATACACAACCTCTAATTTCCACATAGGATAAGGTCCCTAGTTCAATCTAATTCCCATCTCTTCCTCTGATACCTGCTATATTTTGTTGAAATCATTTAAAATGTTGATTTGAAATTGCTTTTGATTTTTGGGTTCTACTTTCTTAGGAATCATAATTCTTAACAACTGCTTTAAGCTTCAGTTCTATATTATTACTTGTAACACAACTGTGTTTTGGTGTTTGCTAATTGATCATGAATAATTTGCATATCTCTCATTGGTCCTTTATTAATTTTTAATTTTACTAGAAGGCTTGAGTAGTACTTTCAAAATGATTTTGTAGGCAATAAATTTTCTGACTTCTAATGCAAAAGAACAGAATCAATAGCCAAGACAATCTTGAAAAAGAAGAATAAAGTTGGAAGTCTCACACATCTTGATTTTAAAACATACTATGAATCTATGGTAATCAAAGCATGTGGTGTGGGCAAAAAGACAGATTTATAGTCCACACAAGGTAGACCAGAAATAAATCCTCAAATATATGGTTAAATCGTTTTCCACAAGGGTGCCACACATGGCCTTGCATAAATGGCCAAAGGTTTTCCACAAGACCATTCCATGTGGAAAGGACAATCTTTCCAATAAATGGTGCTGGGAAAACCGCATATCCACATGCAAAATAATGAAGTTAGACTCTTACCTAACATTGTATGCAAAAATTAACTAAAAATGGATCAAAGACCTAAATGTAAGAGCTAAACCTATAAAACTCACACAGGAAAATACTGAGGAAAAGCTTTATGAAACTGGATTTGACAATTATTTCTTGGGTATGACACCACGAAAAGAACAGGCAACAAAAGGAAAAATAGATAAAATGGACTTCATCAAAATTAAAAACTTTTGTGTACCAAAGGACATTATCAACAAAGTGAAAAGGCAACCAACAGAATGACAGAAAATATTTGCAAATCATATATCTGATAAGGGATTAATATCCATAACATATACAGAACCCCTGTAACTCAACAAGAAGAACCTGAAAAAATGGAAAGATATCCCATGCTCATGGATTAGAAGAATTAATATTGTTAAAATGTCTATATTAACCAAAGTGATTTACAGATTCAATGCAATTCCCGTCAAAATACCAATGACATTCTTCACAGAAATAGAAAAAAGCCTGAAATTCATATGAAACCACAAAAGACCTTGAACAGCTGAAGTGATCCTGAGCAAAAAGAACAAAGCTAAAGGCATCATGGTTGTGTTTTCAAATGATACTACCAATCTATAGTAACCAAAAGAGCATGGTACTGGCATAGAAACAGACACATCAACCAATGGAACAGAACAGAGAACCCACAAATAAATCCACACACTTAACAGCCAACTCAGTTTCAACAAAGTTGGCAAGAACACACACCAGGGAAAACACAGTCTCTTTAATAAATGGTGCTGAGAAAACCAAATATCCATATGCAGAAGAATGAAACTAGATCCTCATCTCATCATATACAGAAATCAACTCTAAAATGGATTAAAGGCTTAAATATAAGACCTAAAATTATGGAACTACCAGAAGAAAACATTGGGGAAACACTTCAGGACATTGGTTTGGGCAAAGATTTTTGCATAAGATTTCAAAAAGGCAACAATAGAAAAATGGGTTTATATCAAGCTAAAAAGCTTCTGCACAGGAAGCAAAACAACTAAGTGAAGAGACAACCCAGAGAAAGGGGGAAAATATCTGCAAACTTCCATCTGACAAGGGATTAATAACCAGATTATATAAGGAGCTCAAACAACTCAATAGCAAAAAAACAAATAATCTGATTAGAAAATCAGCAAATGACCTGAATAGATGTTTCTCAAAAGAAGACATACAAACAGAAAACAGGCATATGAAAAAATGCTCAATATCACTAATCACCAGGGAAATGCAAATTAAAACCACAATGAGATATCATCTCACTCTAGTTAGAATTGGCTTTTATAAAAAAGACAAAAAATAACAGATGCTGGTAAGGATGTGGAGAAAGGGAATGTAAATTAGTACCATCATTATGGAAAACAGTATGGAGGTTCCTCAAGAAACTAAAAATAGAAGGACCACATATCCAGGAATCCCACGGCTGAGTATATATTAAAAGGAAAGGAAATCAGTATATTGAAGAAATATCTGCACTCCCATGTTTATTGTAGCACTGTCTGCAATAGCTGAAACGTGGAATCAACCTAAGTGTCCATCAATGGATGAATGGATAAAGAAAGTGTGGAATATATACAGAACGGAATATTACTCAACCATAAAAATAATGGAATCCCGTCATTTGCAGCATCATGGATGGAACTGGATATCATCATGTTAAGTGAAATAAGCAAGGCACAGAGAGACAAATATCACATGTTCTTACTCAAATGTGGGAGCAAAAAAAAGTGGGTCTCAAAGAGGTAGAGAGTAGAACAGTGTTTACCAGGGGCTGGGAAGGGAAGTGGGGAGGAAGAGAAGTTGACTAATGGGCACCAACATGCAGTTGGATAGAAGAAATTCATTCTTGTATTTGATACCATAGTAGGAAAATGATAGTTAACAATAAACTACTTCCTGGGTCCCTTTCTTTGTTCACATTTTTTCCCTCAGGAATTTTCAAAACTCCTGTTTTCTCCTGGCTCCACTCAAGACCCAGCTCAAATGCCATGTTTGTCACGAAGCTTACCTAAGAACAGCCTTTGACCCAGGGGTCCTGTCTCCCATGCTGGACTTGGTCCCCTGCCCACCTCTGGGGTGTTCACTCCACGGACGTGCAGTCCCCTGGCTGAAAGAATGAAGGATGCCCACCCCCACCACTAACAACCCTCACACACTTGCACTGGGACAGACACTTTTCCTGGCTTTATCTCTTGGTGGATGGCTTTATCTCTTAGTCTTCCTAAAAGCTTCAAGAGAAGAGTGAGTTTCTAGGAAATGGGCTTTAATTCACACAGTGATCACTCGGTCTGTCTCTCAGGAAGGTGCAGGAGAGATGCTCAGGCCAGGTGTTCATCTCTGCCTCAGGCCTGCTAGTAAGTGGTTTTGTTTATGGTTCCCTAATGGAATAAAAACTTACAGCATGTCCTGGACGAATTTTCAGGAAATTTAAATTCTGGAGAAGTCTGTAACAACTTCTGGAAATAAAGAGGAGAGTCTCTTTTTTTTTTGTACTGTAAGATACTGTAAGTCCAAAATATGTCCGTAATGAATTATGTAAAGATACAGAAGGCTGAAGTGCTTCTTGAAAATGCCACTACCTCTAGAGGGAAATGCAAGAAAATAGCCATTGGGTAAAATAAGTTCAGATCCACAACAAAACAAAAGGGAGGGGGGTAAGGCTATCAGCTAAACTAAGGGTGGGATGAATGCTTCCTGCACATTTTAATCCTGGGGAGAACAGTAGTTTCTAAAACAAAACAGGCATTTTAGACCTGTATTCTGGCTCTGAAATGCAGAATGTGGCTGGATTGGATGTGGTGATGCCAGGCAGACACACCCTTCTCAAAGCCCCCAGGGCTGACAGCGGGCCCAGGGAGTGTGCTAACGCTGTGGACACACCGCGTGTCTGGGGCGCTCCAGGTGAGAGCAGAGACCCAGGTCTGTCAGGTGCAAGTGAAAGCCCAAAGAGGCTGTTCTAGCTGAATCCTCCTCTCCATCCAGCCCCTTGGTGTCACTGAAGGCCAGCACACACGGGAAACCCATCAGCCGGGCTTCCCCAGGTCTGGGATCAGTACTAGTCATGTCCCCTACTTGCCTATGGTCTAAAAAGCCACCACACCTGCTTTGTCCCTGCATCACCACGGGACTTGGGCTGTTCCAATGGTCCTGGTGAAGATGAAAAGGGACCTCTGAAGATGCTCCAGGGACCCGAAGGATTCACTGCTCTAAGCTGACACTATTGTAAAGTAAAAATACAAGGCACTGAGAAGGGCTCAAGATGAAGGCAGGACTACGGGACCAGAGATGCTTCCAGGACTGACTGCTGGGAAACAGCAGGTACAAAATGAGCAGCAGCTACCCAGCAGGGTGCCATGTGACCTTAGTGACCCCGGAGTGGCGCTCAGAAGCCAGGACACTGCCCTCACAGAGCCAGTGGAGGGGGCCCACGCAGCGCAGGTGTGTGAAGGGTCAACAGGCACTGGCATGCTCTCTGGCATCCCTCGGCTGGGGGCCTCCTCCCTCAGGCTACCTGGATCCTGGGCTCTTACCGCTCTCCTTGTCCCCCACTCCTACCTAGGTTTTGCTGTCTTTTTTCATTCAGTTCTCCCTCTCCCTGTCATCACACCCCTCCACCCTTCACAAGCCCAGATCCCCTCAACCCCCCTTCCCCCGGGAAACCTTTGCTCATCATTCAACCAAAAAACTTTTTGTAACACCAGTTTACTTTATTATTATCTACTCTCAGCAAGTCTCAAGAATTTTTAAGGATACATTGTTACAATAGTTACCATGTTATAATAGTCCCCATATATCCCTTGAACTTATTTATCCTGCCTAAATGAAATTTGTATCCTTTGACCAACATCTCAACCCACCCCACCTCCCCCAGCACCTGGCCAACACCATTCTGCTCTCTGCTTCCGTGAGTTCACCTTTTTTGGATTCCACACATAAGTGAGATCATGCAGTATTTGTCTTTCTGTGCCTGGCTTATTTCACTTAACATGATGCCCTCCAGGTTCATTCTTGCCATATGTGACAGGATTTCATTCTTTTTATGACTGAATATTATCCATTGTGTATCTATACACGTTTTACATTTTCTTTTTTTTTTTTTTTTTTTTTGAGACAGAGTCTTGCTCTGTCACCCAGGTTGGAGTGCAGTGGCGCGATCTCGGCTCACTGCAAGCTCCGCCTGCCGGGTTCACGTCATTCTCCTGCCTCAGCCTCCTGAGTAGCTGGGACTACAGGCACCCACCACCACGCCTGGCTAATTTTTTGTATTTTTAGTAGAGACGGGGTTTCACCGTGTTAGCCAGGATGGTCTCGATCCCCTGACCTCGTGATCCGCCCACCTCGGCCTCCCAAAGTGCTGGGGTTACAGGCGTGAGCCACCGCCCCGGCCACGTTTTACATTTTCTTTATCCATTCATCTTTGGATGAGCACAGGGTGGTTCCATGTCTTGGCTATTGTGGATAGTGCTGCAGTGAACATAGGAGTGCAGGTAACTCTTTGATGTACTGATTTCATTTCCTTTGACTATATACCAGCAGTGGGATGGCTGGATTACATGGTAGTTCTAGTTTTATTTTACTGAGGAACCGCCACACTTTTTCCGTAATGGCTGCACTAATTTACATACCCACCAACACTGTACTAGTGTTCTCTTTTCTCCACACTTTCACCAACACGTATCTCTTCTCTTGTGGGTAACAGTCATCCAAACAGACATGAAGTGATTGATATTTCACTGTAGTCAGCTAGCAAAACTTTAGTTTATTATTCATTTGCATAAAATCCAGATCCTGCACAAACCAGCAACATTTTAATGAGCACTTACTATGCTAGGAGGTGTAGGCCACGAGGCAGAAATAAAGTTGAGTGGTTTTGCCGTCAAGAGCCCTGTAATCTGAAACAGGAGACAGACCTGGAGACTGACACCCGCAGCTCAGCCCGCTCCCTGGTGAACGCCTGAGATGCAGAGCAGCCCCCGTCCAAGGGAAGTCACGGCTTGCCTTGTCATCTGCCTCCGGGGAAAGGGAACTCTTCAGAGAGAAGGAGATACTTGGCTTGGGCCTTAAACTCTAAATAAGAGTTCCCAGAAGGGTAAGGAGGGCAGAGGTCTCTGGTGTTTGCTGAGGGCCTATTCTGTGCCAGGCCTTCACTAGGCAGGCATTGCTAACTTCTCTCAGGTAAATTCTCTCACACACACCTGAGGAAGAGGGGCTCAGGCACACACAGGCCTGTCCTTCTACTGCCCCACGGAGGAGAATTCTCCGCAGATTTTCTCCAGTGCAGACATGGGTTGGGGGTGGGTGGCCTGCACACGAAGGAGTCCCCTGAGCAGGGGGTTGGGGAAGGATTTGGTGTAGCTGCGGGTGTGAGTGACAGGGCACAGGGTTGAGGGGGGCACAAGGGGCTGGGGGTGGACAGGCAGAATGGGCTGTCCCTGCAGCACCATTACAGAGAACTCCTCTCCACAGAGGGGCAGCCGCTGGCGTGTTGAGGCCAGCAAGGGCTCAGGCCAGAAGCGCATTTTGAGCGTGCCTGCTGGCAGCATGCTGGGGACTGCCAGTCTGGCAAGTCACAGGCAGCACCTAAATCTGCTGAAGGGAGAGGGTCTCTGCAGCTCTCCTGCAGTTCCCTCTGATCTGAAATCTTGGTGCCTTCCCTGCACTAGGGCAGAATCTGGGCCCATCGCCTTCTCACCATCTAGATGATGCCTGTGTGCCTCTGCACCCGGGCCCCGTGTCCTCCATGGACTGTGCCTGCTCCACTTCCTCCCACACCTGCCTGCATCCCTCACCAACATATCACACATATTCCACTCCATCCCAGTGTGCGAGCCGGCCCTTCAGCTCCAGAGAGACCTCAAAGGGCCTGTGTCCCAGTGCTCAGAGGCACGCGTCCTGGTGAGAGGTCAGACCCAACGGCTGCTGGTCCACCACCCAGATGACTCAGAGGGACTCAGAGGGAGTTAGCGGAGTTCCCATGAGCAGCAGCCTCTGTCACCCAGATGGGGGTGGGTGCCCACTTGGAGGGCCTGGGGCCAGGTGTCTGCAGCCTTTCAGAGCAAATGCAGCCAGGAGAGGAAAATAGAGGAGGAGTGGGGAGTCCAAGCATCTTGTTGCTCAGCAAAAGCTGCCTTTGTGCCCAGGCATCAAGGTCAGGGAGAGGAGACTGCTGCTCTGTCACCTGTCCTGGGTGTGGGGTGGCCTCTGCTAACTTCTTCCCTGGGGGAACTATAACTCTAAAATGTGTTCAAGTTTCCCAAGAGAAAGAGGGTGCTGGCTGCTCACCTCTGCTTCCTGACCTCACTGTTAACCCAACTTCTCAGAACCAAGATAAATCATCCCTTTTTTAGCTTCTACTTGCTTTCAATTGCCTAAGCACAACCAACATTGCATTTGACCTGCACACCAATCCCAGGGCCCAGTGACATGTCCAGGTGACCTGGGATTTCCCGAGTGGACTCCTCCCCTCTACCTGCCTCCTTCCCCAGGCGGCCCCTCCTCACCCTCAGGTTTAATGCTGCTACCTCCTTAGAAAGGCCCTCCTTGGCTGCCCTTTATGAATGATGTTTCTCAACCTTTGCTGTCACTCACTCACCCACATTACTTTCTGTGGCGTTAGCAATCACCCTGTTAATCTGTTTACTCGCATGCTGTCTGCTGAATCTTGCTAGGCTGCTATCCCATTCGGGTTGTGACCAGGGTCCTCCTGAAGCCTGGCCTCCAGGGGGCCACAAAGACCCAGCGTCTGTGGTTTTAGGCTCAGGGGCCACAGAAGACAAGGGTTTCAGAAGAATGAGACTTAGAGCTACTTGGGGTTCAGGAGGTGAAATTGAAAAGATTCTTCTACCTGACCCTGAAGCAGAAGAGGACATTTCTGAGTGTCTCCTCGTACCAGGCATGCGCCATATTCTCTATCATTACATTTTCACAACAACCCTGCGCTGCAGGGGCTAGCTAGCATCACACCTGCTTAAAGACCACCTGTCCTGAGCCCAGAGGAGTGAGACAACCTGCCCAGGGTCACACAACCAGTCACCTGCAACCTGAACAGCAAAGCCAATGCGCTGTGTTAGCATTGCGCCATTTCTCGAAATGTGCTGAGATGTGAACAATGCTTTATCCCAGCTTGAAGACACTGGTCACCTTATCTCCACAGCCCCTGAAGCCCCAGAGGCATCTCCGCCATCTAAAAAGTCATTCCCTGATAATCGAGCCCATGGTCCTGCTACTGCTCATCAGGCAGCTTCACTGACTCCCACCAGGACAGCAGCCAAGCATTGTTCCTTCCTCAAACTACACACATTCTTTCCTAACCCTTCCCTCCCCTCCAAGGATATTTTCTATTTCAAAATCGTTAAAATTATGCTAGTGACAATTCCATCTTTTATTAAATATAATTTTTTTCAAACCAGGAATGGAAACAGTCCCTTATTCTCTGGTTATTTGTTCAAATTTTCACATCAAAGCTAAGCAGCTGAAACACATTTTACTCTAATACCCTGGCATTTATCCAACTTGGTCCCTTTTATTTATGTTCCTTCCCTGGTATCATGACCTGTTGATACTTCTGCAGAGACCAGCAAGAGGGGTCCCAGAGAGTCATCCCTCCACCCCAGCTCTTCTCCTTCCAGTTGACCCAACCCATGTGGCACTGACAAGCCTGAACAGTGGTTCTCAAAGTGAGGCCCCTGGCCCCCAGCATCAGCACTGCTGGAGATTTGTTAAAAATGCAAGTTCTCAGGCTCCACCTAGACCTGCTGAGTTGGAAGTGGGGGCACTGCCCAGCAAGCTGTGTTTGCACCAGCCCTCTGGGGTGGAGAACCACTCATCTAAAGGCTACCGAGGCCTGGGCCCCAGCCTCTGCTAATAGCTTCATCTTCTCTCTTTCTTCTTAAGCAGTCTCAGGAGCACATTTGTTCTCATTTCTCAGGAGACCCGCCTTTCACAGTTATCCCTTTGCTGCTCTCATACCTGCAAGCTCCTCCTCTCTAATCCTTTTTACTCCCAGCTTGTTTCAAACACACCCGGGGGCCTCTTGTTGTGAAGGCATCTGCCCTCCTGTCCCACAGAATCAGTTCCCGCCTCCCTTCTCCTGGTGTGTTGCTTTGGCAGTGTACTTACTCTTTCTGAGCATCACATTGCCCTTCTTAAAAATAAGAGTAATGGCACCTATTTAACAGGATGGTGATAAGGACTTACTGAGATAACATTCGTAGAGGGATGTGCTAGGAGGGTTAATTCCAGCAGGTCTGAAATTGGCCTGAGCTGCTTTGCTGAAGTACGAGACATTCTGCATCAAACTATGAAAGGCAGTGATTAATACTTTTTTTTTTTTTTTTTTTTTTGAGATGGAGTCTCGCTTTGCCACCCAGGCTGGAGTGCAGTGGTGCGATCTCAGCTCACTGCAAGCTCCACCTCCTGAGTTCATGCCATTCTCCTGCCTCAGCCTCCCGAGTAGCTGGGACTACAGGCGCCCGCCACCACGCCCGGCTAATTTTTTGTACTTTTAGTAGAGATGGGGTTTCACCGTGTTAGCCAGGATGGTCTCAATCTCCTGACCTCGTGATCCGCCCGCCTCGGCCTCCCAAAGTGCTGGGATTACTGGCGTGAGCCATCGCACCCGGCCAATACTGTTGTTTTTACCCGTGGGTCCGAGGTGAGTTTCAGGGTAGGTTCTGCCTGTTTGTCCTCATTGTTTATGGATGACTGTGAGACTGATGTTTTGCACGTGTTTGGGGAGGGGGCTCTGATGTTAGAGCTGCTCATGTAGCAATAATGTGCTTATGTGACCAGAAGGCTGCAAAAAGCCCCACTGTGACTCCACTGGGCTGCGTGGATCTGAGGTGTTCCTTCCTTGCATGGGTACGTGGTTCCGAGAGAAAAAACACATCTGGCTCAGGCCTGCAGAGGGAAGACCATTGGAGGCAGCCCGTATCGGCCTCAGTGTGTCCACACTGCTTGCTCTGAGGCAGCCTTTGGATGCAAGGCAGGTCCTTGCCTTCATGCTTGTTGCTCTATCACATCCCTTCTTGTCAATAAACCACAGACTTGTGAGCACTGTCCTTCTGGGCCCTGTGAGTCTTCTTTAGCAATCGAATCTGTCTGACTGCGCTGTTAGTGGAAGTGACGTTACAGTTATGTTTCCCTCTGCATTGTTAACAAAGAAAATTCCCTGTTGAACCGCTCACAATAATTGCTGTCCACTTCTTTCTTCATCACTTACTGCGTTCTCTGCACTCTCCTATCCCCTGCCTACATCTGGATTCCATCCCTACCACCTGACTGAAACCACAGCCACAGAAGTCACCCCCTGCTAATGACGGAATCACTGACCTTCTAGCTCTTAGTTAACACAGTGGTCATGCTGCCATTGTGAACTCTTCCTTATACATGGCACCATCATCCTTCATCTCCCCACGACTTCAGTTTGTCTCACTGATTCCTTTTCCAACAAACTATGGGTATTCTCCCAACTTTGTGCTTGGCTTGGCTCTTTCTGTTGGATAACTGATTTATACTCACTAAATATTCATAACACCTGTGTTCGGGTGACTCCCAAGTGGCCCTCTCTAGTCTTGTTCTCTTTTCCACCCTTTGCCCTGCTCTCTGATGGGATGTGCACTTACACGTCTCACAGGTACCTCAGATTTCTTAGAACCAAACCTGCCTTCCTTGCAAAACTTACCTGTTCTTCAAGTCAGTCAAGACTGAAAAATTGAATTCTCCCTTGACTTCGCCCTCTCCATCTCAATGAGTTCTGAACTTCAGATCTCTTTCTCTGTGAATCAGTCTTTCTCTTTTCCTCTGTCTCTTTCTCTGTATCTCTCACTCCTCACCTCTTCTCCCCAATTCAGGCAATCATAAAATCATGATATTCATAGAGAATGGCCTTTTTCTGCTTTCCTTGTCCCTTGTATAGATGCCACTATCACAGGCCACCTGATATCATTCAGTGGTGTAAGAATATGTCTTGAGGATTTTCCTCTGAGCCCCCAAACCTTTCTAACTCAAAGGTGTGATGAGAAAAAGATACCTGCATCATAGTCTCAAAGTATCTCCTGCAAGATATTTACTAATGACAAATGGAAAAATGGTAACTTTGCACTAGAGAAACCTGACAGATAGCACCTTAGTCAAGGGACCAAGGTCAACATGCCAGTATAAGACATATCAATAGCATGTGCACCAGCACAGAAACAAGCAGAGCACATCAGCCGTCTCCTTCCCTGTAGTGCACAGCCTCACCCTGATCTAGTTGTGAGAAAATATTAGACAAACCCAAATGGAAGGTCATTCTACCAAATAACTGACCAGTTCTCTTCAAAAGTATAAGGGTAATGACAAGGAAAGACTTAGGAACTGTCGCAGATTAAAAGCGACTAATGAGACATAATAACCAAATGCAGGGTAGGACCTAGATTGGATTCTAGAACAGAAAGAGGACATTAGTGAGAAAAGTAGTGAAATTTTTGTAATGATGTTGGTAGAATAGTTAACACGGTTGTGTCAATGTTAATTCTCTGGTTTTGATAATAGTACTGTGGTTTCGTAAAGTGTTAACATTTGGAAAAACTCGGTGAAAGGTAAATGGGAACTCTAAACTTTTTACAATTTTTTCCTAACTTAAAAAATTATTATTTAAAGTTATTATAATTTAAAAAAATATTTAAAATAAAAAGCTTAAAAAGATGACACAAATGATCAATATCTGGAATGAAAAAGGAATATTGGCCCTGGAGGCATCAAAAGGATAATAAGGTAATATTATGAACAATTCTACATATATAAATTTAGCAACTTAGATGAAATGGACCAATTCCTTGAGAAGCCCAAACTACCTTAATTAATCTAATATGAAACCGGTCATTTGGATAGTCCTACAACTATGGAAAATTAAATTCAGAATTTAAAAGCCTCCTCCAAAGAAATGTCCAGGCCTAGATGGTTTCACTGGAGAATTCTACCAAACATTTAAATATGAATTAACACCTATTCTACTGTCTCTTCCAGAAAACAGAAGAAATGAAAACACTTTCCGACACTTCTACGAAGCCACAATTACTCTCATACCAAAACCAGACAAACCCAGTGTAAACAAATAAAACTATAGACCAATATCCCTCATGAATATAGATGCAAAAATCTTTAACAAAATATTACTGATGGGATTCATCAATATTGAAAAGTAATTATATACCATTATTAAGTGGGGTTCATTTCAGAAATGTAAGTCTGGTTTGATCTTCAAAAATCAGTCAATGTAATCCACCATATTAACAGACTAAAAAGAAAAATCACATGATCACATCAGTTGATGAAGGAAAAAAATTCATAAAATTCAACATCCCCTTCATGAAATAAGAATAGAATACTTTCAACTTAACAAAGAGCATTCACAAAAAACCTACAGCTAACATCATATTTAATGGTGAAAGAATGGTTTTCCCCTAAGATTGGGAACAAGCAAGGATGTCTGCTCTCATCACTCTTATTCAGCATAGTGCTGGATATTCTTGCCAGTGCAATCAGGTAAGAGAAGGAAATGAATGGCATGTATATTAGAAGAAAAGGAGTAAAACTTATTTGCAGATGACAAGATGTCTAATGCAGAAAACCTCAAGGACTCTGAAAACTTTTAGAACTAAGAAGTGACTACGGCAAGGTCACATGACACAAGGTCAACATAAAAATCAGTTGTATCTCTCTGTAATATCAGTGAACGTGTGGACACTAACATTAAAAATGTAATTCTATTTATAATCATTCAATAAAAATAGTTATAAATCTAACAAAATATGCATAGGACTTGTATGCTGAACACCATAAAACATTAAAGATATAAAAATCTACTAATTAAATAAATGTAGAAACATACTGTGTCCACAGATTGAAAAACTCAATACGCTAATGATGCCAATACTTCCCAAATTGATGTATAAATTGACAGACAATTCCTGTCAAAATTCAGCAAGATTTTTAATAGATATGGACAAAGTTATTGTAATATTTATATGGAGAGGTAGAAGAATTAGAATAGTTAAAATAATTTTGAAAAAGAAGGATAAAGTGGGAAGAATCAATCTAGCCAATTTTAAGGTTTACCATATGACTACAGTAATGAAGACGGCAGTACTGGTGAAGGAATAGAAATATAGATTGAAGGAACAGAATAGAGAACCCGGAACTGATTTTTGACAGAGGTGAAAAAGCAACTTGACAGAGGAAAGATGGTCTTGGCAACAAATGGTGCTGGAACAAGGGACAGGCATAGGCACAAAAAACAAGAAAGAAAGAAAGAAAGAAAGAGACTTGACCTAAGTCTCATACCTTGTATACAGTAAAAATTAACTTAAAATGGATCACAAACTTGAATGTAAAATATAAGACTACAAAACTTTTTGAAAATAAACATACGAGAAAATCTTAGGGATTTAGGGTTAGGAAAGAAGTCGTTACTAGGCTTCATACCAAAAGCATGATCCATAAAAGTAAAAATTGATAAACTTGAACTTTTTGTTCTGTGAAAGAGAGTAAAAAGACCAGCTACTGATTGGGAGAAAATATTTGCAAACCATGAATCTGACAAAGGACTACTATCTAGAATATATAAAGAATTCTCAAAACTCAACAGTTAAATCCATTAGAAAATTGGCAAAAAAACCACAAAGAGACATTTCACTGAAGAGAAGGTATATATGACAAATAAGCACATAAAAATGTTCAACAACCTTAGCCATCAAGGAAATGCAAATTAAAACACAATGAGTTATCATTACACATCTATCAGAACAGCAAAAATAAAAAACAGTGACAACACCAATAGTTGACAAGGACGCAGAGAAACGGATCACTCACATGCTGTTTGTGGGAACGAAAATGACACAGCCACTCTGGAAAGCAGTTTCTCCTAAAACTAAACATAAAACTACCATGCAACCCAGCAACTGGATTCCTGAGCACTTATCCTAGAGAAATGGAGTCTTCACATTCACCCAAACACCTTTATAAGGATGTTCATAGCAGCTTTCTTCATAATAGCCTGGAACCAGAAATGATCCAGAACCCTCAAGGAGTGAATGACTAAACAAAATGTGGAATGCCCATACCATGAAATACTACTCAGTAAGGAAAAGGAATGAACTCTTGATAACCACAACAACTTGGATGAATATCCAGGGAATTATTCCAAGTAAAAAAAAAATCCCCAAATTACATATTATATGATTCCATTGATATAACATTATTACAATACAAAATTGTAGAAATGGAGACAGATTAATGGTTGCCAGAGGTTAAGAATGAGGTTGGGTAAGTGACTGTGGATATAAAGAGCAGCACTGGGGAACCTTGTGGGATGGAAATGTTCTACATATTGACTACATCAACATTAATGTCCTGGTTGTGATATTGGACCATAGTTTTGCACAATGCTACCATTGGGAGAAAACAGGTAAAGGGGACACTGGAACTCTATTATTTCTTACAACTGCAGATCAATATACAATCATCTCAAAATAAAATGTTTAATTAAAAACATACTTTGCCCACTCCTGGAGACCCTTTACAGCTCTTCCTTAAATACTGATTTTTCCTTAAGTACTGCCTGTATCAGGGCACTACTGTCACTGAACATTTTGAGGCACTTTTTTTTTTTTATCTTACCAAGTCTCTGCCTAGCTTTATTGGGCTTTCACATCTTGACCTGTGCCGACCTATTTCTCAAATATACCTATTTGAGTTACATAAGTTCTGAATTTTTGTTACAGTCACTCATGGCAGTTTAATCTGGACAAATCATGGACTCTGCCAATTTCTGTTTCCTCATCCACTTCCTTGCTGTTCACAGAGCTACTTTAATTAAAGATATCTCTTTAATTAAAGGTACTGTGAAAATTCAGACATATAATGTCCCCAGTGTTCCCCCTCAAAAACATTGTCCAGAAAGAAAATGAAGTCAGACACTATGCTGACTTCTAGCCAAGGCCATTGCAAGCTGACGGTTCACAAGATGCACTCTTTTCTTCTGGAGATCTGTCCTGGAATATTCTGTAACATTGACATGACTGCCATAATTTGCAGAAGCAAAGTTCTATTCTTCCTCTTAAAACTCCGAAACAGTGTTTATTTTATGAAAATTCTCAGGGTGTGATCAAAGAAAACCCCCCTGGATACGCCGTGGATTTCATACAGTACTTTTGCCCAGCTGTGTTGGCATCTGCTGGTGCTCATCAGAAATTAACGTTCTCAGGCCCCACTCAGACCTACTGAACCAGAACCCACATTTCAACTGTATCGCCAGAGATGCTTACACACAGCAAAATTTGAGAAGTGCTGCTCTATAATGGATATAATGTAATCCCTGGCTCACAGGGTTGATGTGAGAATTAGCAGAATACCCGGTACTTACTCTTTCCTTTTCCATCACAGTCAGCCTAGTGTCAGGAAATTACTTCCCTCTAGCCCTTCCTTGCACTGGCCAAGAAATGAAGACAACCTTTCAGACACGATCGGCCCACAGGATGGAGAAGCTCAAGGCCCTGATGAGTTGGGACCCATTTATCCTGTTCTAGTTTCCTGCAGCTGCAGAAACTCACATGAAGTTGCTGGTTAAGTGACAGCTTTTGCTTCCCACTTGAACAGCTGTTTTTTATTTGCTTCTTTGCTTTTATCTTGTAGTCTATACTCACTGTCCCATTTCCGTCAGTACTGACTTTCATCTTGTTAGATTCAGTGCACCACAATTCCTGCCTAGGACAAGCCATCTGGACTCCTTTTGGCTCTAGTTGCCCGGCCTAACCTCCAGGCAGAATCACACACTCACAGCTCTGCGTACTCACAGGACCGGATCCACACCCCAGGGACCTCACTATCTTAAGGAGCATCCCATCTCATTCACCTGCTATCTCCTCACTGGGAAGTTCCTGGAGATCAAGAACTGACACATGCATATTTGCAACCCTACGACTTAGTGCTGAATAAAACTTAACCAAATAAATGACAATTTGATCTGTGGGCCACGAATGTTCTCACTGTGCAAGAGTAGGTGTCAGGGCACCTCAGCCTGCCCATCAGCTGCCTGTTTTTTATAAATTAAGTTTTACTGGAACACAAGCACAACTGTTCATTTATGTAATGTCTATTGGCTGAGTTGGCTGGTTGTAAACAGAGACCATAGAGCCTGCAAAACTTGCAATATTTACTGTTGATCCTTCATGAAAAACTTTGCTAACCCTTATTCTACAGCATTTAGAAAATGGCTAGATGGGAAGGAAGACACAGCCTCACAGCAGTCTGCCAGAGACCCCTTTCTAGGCTTAACTAAAGGACTGACAGACAAATGTGTTCTCTGTATATAGTCATTGACAATGGTGACTCCTATCTCATTAAAATGACATTCAGGCTACACTTTTCCCATCTTTACCATAGGACTGTCATGAGGAATTTACAAGAGCAGAGTGTTATAGCTTGAAGGGACTTTTGAAGTCACTTAGATCCCAAACTTTCATTTTACAAATGGAAAATCTGGTCTTGAAAGTGAAGTGACTTCTCTAAAGAGAATAACAGGTAAGTGAGGGTTTAGAGATTTGAACTCAACTCTTCTAATTCCAAATAAACTTTTTTTCACAATTACACTATGCTACCTCTTTAATCAAACGTACTCCAAAAATTCAGATGTATAATGTCCCCGGTGTTCCCCCTCAAAAACATTACCCAGAAAGAAAATGAAGTCAGACCCTATGCTGACTTCTAGCCAAGGCCACTGCAAGCTGACGGTTCACAAGATGCACTCTTTTCTTCTGGAAATCTGTCCCGGAATATTCGGTAACATTGACATGACTGCCATAATTTGCAGAAGCAAAGTTCTTTTCCTCCTCTTAAAACTCCCAAACAGTGTTTAGTTTACGAAAATTCTCAGGGTGTGATCAAAGAAAAGCCCCCTGGATGCGCCGTGGATTTCACACAGTACTTCTGCCACACATCTGCAATCAGCGCCTGGTCCCTGAGGTATCTCTGTTGCCTCTATCTTCTATTTGTCCGTATACATGGGATGAGGAAAGGGTCCAATAATTTTCTTCCCAATTTATATGAAATGATGCTAATAACTTATTAAACATTGTTTCTCCTTGGATTCTATGTATGAGCACCAGGTCTAGTTTACCATGTAGTGCACACTTGTCTTATCCTGAGAGTTGCTACCACGGTATGCCATGTGTCTTGCATGTCAAGATTCTATTCAGATCTATTCAAGATATTATGGAATGTGTTTTCTACTTTTGAAATATAATTTCAAAGAACTGTGGCTTGTGTTTAAAAATGGTAAGTTCTAATTAAATGACAGCACATGTATAAACTGGAACATAGATACTGAAATTACATTTTTGAAGTTTTATATTTCTTGGGGAAACACTTAGGAAGTGAAAAAAATCAAGAGAAAACCATATATATTAAAAAACCTCAAGAATGTAAAACTGCATATGTAAAAGACTAAAGGAAAAGATGCTAAACTGTTTTCATATAGCCATATCTGCCACTCTATTTCTTTATCATTCTGGGTTTCCTGCATTATTTAAGAAGACCTCTCTCAATTGAGATTATATGGATCACATTCTACTCTTTTTCCTACTATTTACATAATTGGATTTTTTTGCTCTACATTTAGGTTCAAAACCCATCTGGAATTTATTCATGTGCGTGCCTCAGTGTTGGCATCCAATTTTATTCCCTTCCAACATCATTGATTACAACAAGATACTTATTAAATATGCCATCTTTTCCAAGTGAGTTAAAATATATCTATACTTTGATCTGTTTGCAAAATCTCTTCTTTCAGTGATTTTAATTTTTTTCATTTTTGGCACCAATACTATATTTTTTGATGAGTGTAGCTATGTGACACCTTTATAGATGACACAAGACCCCTCTTACTATTCTTCTTGAAGAATTTCTTGCTGACATTGCTGGACAGCTTGGGCTCAGTTAAAACAAAAACCTAGAGTACTGACCAAAATTGCATTACAAATACATGTTAATTTCAAAATAACTGATGGCTTCAAATTCAGCTTCCCCATCCAGGAGTACAGTATAATTCTTCATTTATCTAGATTTTTAAGTCCTTTAATAAAAAGTCATACTTGTCATACTTCTTGCTTTTGGTATGAATTCCTATGGTAAAACATAAATATAATATATACAAAGTAAAAAAGAGATTGGGAGAAACTCCCAACCCATCTGACCAAAAGTTAGAGTTCCTAATATATAAAGAGCCTGCACCATAGAGAATTAAAAGGGAGAACAGCCTTAGGAGACAATGGGCAGGAGCCACTTCTGTAAAAGAGAGGCTGGGGACAGCTGACAGCCTGTGAAAGCACACACCACCTGCCCCGCACAAGCAGTCAAGCAAATGTGAGATGACACAAGACACTTTTGCTTTTTAATCCAATGAGACTGTAAAACTTAAAAAGAGTTTCTAACATCCGGTGGTGGTAAAGATGTGGGGAAACAGCACTTCATACATTAATGGTGAGAGCATGAATCGAAAAAAGATGAATCAGCAGATTTAAAAAGTTAAATTGCACATGCCCTTTGCATCACAGTGTTAGGATTTTATTCCACAGAAATTAAGAGTTTTAATAAAGAAGAAGACATGTGTAAGAGGCTTTCCCCTCCTCAGCATTATTTGGGATGGCAAAAGCGTGACCACCATCCATAGGGGAGAGGCGGGAGGAATTTGGACGCAGCCGCACTATATTGTAATGAGCATACACTTTCGCACTGTCATATCTTTCTTCCTTAAGTCATGTTTCCTTTGCAGCCCTCCTCTTTAAGACTGATTTATATTCAGAATCAAAGAGGCCACTGATCAGCCCTGAGCCTTAGTGCTGACTTTTCTTAACCTCCTTAGCAAGAATATCCTCTAGAAATCCAGGTTTATTGGAGGAAAAGGAAGCAATTAACCAATTTTCTAAATTCCAATAGCTCCATTAGCATTTCAAGGGTCTTTTGAGGGAGACCCAGACAGAGAATTTTACTATCTGTCACGGACAAGGGGACTTCAAGACTCGATGACTAAGAAATGGAAAGCCCCACTTCAAGGGACTCTGACGGGGAGGAAGCTGGGGAAGGAGGCAGTGAGAGATACAGGTGGCCTGGGCTGTTTCTGGGCCCAAGGCCCCAGTGGAGGGGAATGTCAGAGAAGATGCGAAAGTGACAGCAGTCGAGGAGTAGATTACACTCTGCTCCTCTTTGGGATTGTGGGAGGAGACTAGACAGAATCCGAGCGGAATGCCACAGCATACACGGTAATGCAAAAGACTTGCAGGACAGAGAGGGAGAGAGAACACAGGCCACTCCCAGGTCGTGCCCAGGAAGAGCTGTGTGCGCTCCTGCAGAGGGCTGAACAGGCCAGACCTCCTAGCTATGCCTGCTAGAGCAAGGATGCTATGGCCTAGGACCACAGGATGAATCCCCAAGACTCAGGGCTGGAAAAGCAGGACTGGCAGACTCAGAAGCAGAGAGCTGAGGGACCCAGGGGCATGAGCACTCACAGGAAAGGGCAGGAGCTCCATGAGATACAGACGTCCACAAAGGTGCCAGCGGGGCACCACAGGTGTGGACAAACCCAGCAGCATTCTCTGGACACCAGCCTGCACACACGTGGGGCACCTGGGAACCTGCATAGGGACAGCTATGAGATCCCCGGATACACTTGTGGCTCCAGTGTCCTTACTAAAGTGCCCCCTCACTCCCAAGAGTTTTACATTTGCACAACAGATGATGTGGCCAAGGAACCAGGAGGAGATGGGGTCCTGAAGAACCGGGCATTCACCAAAGAGGATTTACAGCCGCAGAGCATGGGATGACACTGATGGAAAGGCTGAGGGCGGGAAGAGACAGAACACAGAGCACAGGAGGACACATCAGTTAGAGGAAAATAAAGCTCCATTTGCTTTGCATATCTGTGTGTGGTGGTTCTATATGCAGGCCTGCTGCCCATGAAAGAGGACTGTGCAGCTGCCTTAAAAAATGTTTTTGTATGTGTGTATATGCAAATATATGTGTATATATATATATACACACACATATATTATACACACACATAAGTGTGTGTGTATCTGGGAATGCTTCCATAGTTTATTGTTAACTAAAGAAAACAAGTTGCAGAGGAATATATGGTCTAAGTCCTTTTGTTAAGACAAAACAAACAAAACAAAATAAAACCCTATAAATAGTCATGTTTGTGTAAGTACAGAAAAAGTTATGGAAGTATAAACTGCATCCTGGGAGATAGAACAGAAGTGGGAAAAGAATACGACAAATACAGAGTCACTGGTCACCACGAGTGTGCACTGATTTTGTAATAGAAATAAGGAATAAAAATGTTATCAGTCACAGCCATGAGTGGTAGGATTCTAATTGTCACTTTTGTCTTTGTTTCTTATGTGTTTTCTGCACTTTCCCTAATAGACATCTGTCTTTTTTGTAATCAGAAAAACGTAGATATTAAACAAACACAAAGGCACTGAAGCCTTCAACTCCATTTGCTATTTATCACAGAAAGGGCTTTTTCTAGTCAGGCCACAATCAATTCAGTTGAATGAACATGAACTGAAACGCACACCTGCACGTGCTCCTGGGGTGAGTGTTCTGAAGGACAGGCACCCACCACTGGGCCACCAGGACATGAATTTCACCCAGCCGCACGGCCATGGGAATACCTGCCAGAAAAGTTCTCAGACATCCAGAATGGCCTCCAGCCCTGCATAGAGGTGCAGAGGGGGACAGCAAGATCTCAGGGCAGGGGGCACCAGAGGGAGACCTGGGAGGACAAGGCCAACAGCTGGGCAGTAAGAAATAAGAAGAATGTGTGTTCTTCTGCTGCCGGGTGGAATGATCTGTGAATGTCTGTTAGGTCCACTTGGCCTACACTGCTGTTCACACCCACGCTTCCTTTTTGATTTTCTGCCTGGGAGAGCTATCCATTATTGAAAGTGGAATACTGAAATCCACTATTATTGTATTGCTGTTTCTCCCTTTGCTGTCCATAGAAGCAGTCCCAGTCAATTTCTACAGCTTTACCTCCTGCAATAGCCAAGCATCTGGGGCCCCCAGGCCACAAACTTGGGGTAGGGGAGTCTTTCTTTCTAACTGCCCAGCTACCTTGTCCTCCCAAGTATTCCCATGGCCGTGCGGCTGGGTGAAATTCAAGTCCCGGTGGCCCAGTGGTGGGTGCCTGTCCTTCAGAACACTCACCTGAGGAGCACGTGCAGGTGTGTATTTCGGTTCATGTTCATTCAGCTGAATTGATTGTGGCCTGACTAGGAAAAAAAAAACAAAACCCTTTCTATGGTGAATAGCAAATAGAGTTGAAGTCTTCAACACCTTTGTGCTCATTTAATATGTATGTTTTTCTGGTTACAAAACTGACAGATGTCTATTAGGGAAAGTTCAGAAAACACATAAGAAACAAAGATGAAAATAACAATGATCTAGAATCCTATCACTTAAAGGCTGTAACCGATAACATTTTTATTCCTTATTTCTATTACAAAATCAGGGCACACTCATGGTGATCAATGAATCTGTATTTGTCATATTCTTTTCCCAGTTCTGTTCTGTCTCCCAGGATGCAGTTTACACTTCCATAACTGGAAGCCCACATAAAACATGTTTTCCTTCCTTTCTTTCTCCCTCTCTCTTGCCTTACCTTACTTTATATCACCACTCTCCAGAATTCTGCAAGCTTCACTTGCTATAAATCACCTTGAAGACACCTGACTCTCCAGGAGGATTAAATTCTAAATTATGCAATGATATCTGTAATACCTACAGAGTTTTTGGAAAATGGAAAAATACAAACCAGGAATGACAAAGGCATCACCTCCCTAACATCTCTTAGAGCAAGATACTTTGCAAAACTGCACTGCTTTTAAGTTAGAGAGTTGATTCCATGTTTTATACTGAGGTTCAAAGAACATATGAAAAGAATGCATATTTGAGATTATTGGAAATCAAGGAGAAGAAATGCCTTTGATGTTTGTGTCATCTCAGATTAAGATACATCAACTGCATTACTTAAAGTGGCTTTCCCTATGTATAAATGCTGAGTGGCTGGAAGGCCATGGCCACTTACCAGGACAATGGCCTGAAAGGTGATTTTTCCTGCTTCCTTGGCAGACGGCGGTTATTGTGTTTTTGTGTTTCTGTCTCACTTGAGCGTCTACATGGTGCAGCAATATGAAAGCTCAACTATGGCCCAGAGCACTTCTGGGCTAGTGGGAGGCTTCCCCTCACACAAGAGTGACCCTCCTGAGTGATCAGCTACCTCTGCTTAGGGCGGTGCAGAGGGTCAGTAGTTAACTGCTCAAAGGGAAACTGAAAGAGCAGGACTTTGGGGATGTAATCAAAATGCAACTTATTTACTTATTGTTTTAAATCTCTTTCTGGCCCCTTTAAAATGCATTTAGTTGAGAGAATTCCAAAGGGTCCTTCCTGGGGAAGGTGCTGTGCCTGGCATCTGTCTTCTGCTAACTGCTCTGGGGTAGTGGTGTGGAGGTGGGGGAAGGAGCATTTTGGACTGAAGGGACTGCTTCGTGTCCTGTCTCGGGCTTGGGGTCCGGCCACCGGAGGAGGCTCAGCTGCTCTCCTGGGAGCCTCTTTGGAGATTTCCACGGTGGGGTCACTCACGTGCAGCATTCCTACCGCAGGCAGCTGCACGCCTCCTCTTAACAGTCACTTTCTGCAGTGTCAGCGTACTAGGCATCTGAAGTCCTCCTCTAGCTTCTTGCTACTCGGGTCCCTCTCTCCTTCCACGCTGCCCCAGTGACAGGGCCCAACACCACCCCTGCCAGCTCCCACAGGCACGGCCCATCCGGGGGCCATAATGGTCCTCACGCACTCTGACAACCGTAAGGAATGCATCCTGGTCCCTTTCCTCACTCATGAGATGCCCAGATCCAAGCATTGGCACCTTTATCTTCAACACTCTCTTGATCCTCAGCCTAAAGGCTCCAGGTGAGGGGTAGGTCACCTTCCCCAAGCCCCAGAAACAGAAGGACATTGAGTTGACAGTGGCATTCTAACAGCTTTTTCAAAAATTTCTCTTCACAGAATCCTTTCTCCTCCCTACATCTGATTCCTTCTTTATATTCTTGATCAGTTCAAGGTGTTCAAAAATGAGGGAAATGATCCTAGCTCATTCCTTCCTAACTGGGGCTTCTGGCCTGGCATCTCATTTTAGATGTGTCGTCTGTTACACTTCCATATTGCTGTCAAACTTCAATTCTGACATTCTGTTGCATGTGGCTTTATAGAGGTCATATTTGACAAAAAAAAACATTGTGGAGTATTTGAGAGAGTATTTATGTCCATAGTAAATGTGCTGAGTCCATGGGAGAGCCATATGAGAAAATCTGTCTTCTTACTTCACAGTATACATGAAAATCAACTCCAAGTTGATGGTGTTTCTGAATGTAGAGGGTAAAACAATAAATCCTCTAGAAAGCAACATGGAGGAGCATCTGCATGAACTTGGGATGGGCAAAGAGTTCTGAAACAAGATGCCAAAACTACTATTAAAATGGTAAAGTACGCTGGGCATGGTGGCTCACACCTGTGATCCCAGCACTTTGGGAGGCTGGGGCGAGCAGATCACTTAAGGTGGGGAGTTTGAGACAAGCTTGGGCAACATGGTGAAACCTTGTCTCATCTAAAAATACAAAAATTAGCCAAGTGTGGTGGTGCATGCCTGCAGTCCCAGCTACTCGGGAGGCTGAGGCAGAAGAATCGCTTAAACCCAGGAGGCAGAGGTTGCAATAAGCTGAGATCGTGCCACTACACTCCAGCCAGGACAACAGGGAGAGACTCTGTCTCAATAACGACAACAACAAAAAACCCTAACAGATAAAGTAGATACATTAAGAACTTCTCTGCACTAGCAAACAACCTAGAGAAGGTGAAAAGCAACCTACACAGAGAGAAAACATCATTGCAATCCATAGACTCAGTAAAGGACTGGTACCCTGAATAAACACTTCAGAAGTTAATAAGAAATAAACAGTCAATTCAATAGCAGAATGGAAATATATTTGTACATACACTTCACAAGATGACATCTGAATGGCCAAAAATCAATGAAAAGTTGCTCAACCTTATTAGTCATCAGTGAAATTAAATTAAAATGAAAATTAGATACCCACCAGAATGTCTAAATTACAAAAATTGAAAATACCGAGTGTTGGCAAAGATGTGACGCAACCAGGGCCCTCCCACGGAGCTGGTGTGAGTGTAATTAGTAAGGCAACTTGGAAAAACCGCTTGGCAGAATCTACCACAGCTCATCCTACACAACCCCTGTAAGCCAGTACTTTCAGCACTCGGTACCTACACAACCAAAATGTGTACACCTGTGCACCAAAAAATACGGGAAATATCGCCATAGGACTAAGAACTAGAAGCAGCCCAAATGATAACCAATGGATCCACTGGACAATTGGAATATATGGATAAACTACAGTATACTCACACATGGACAAATAGTACATGAATAGCATAGTATGAATGAATGAACTGGTGGTACACACAGCAAACATTATTTCATTCCATTCATCACACTGAGTTTAAAAATAGGCAAAACTGCAGGTGAGAGGTCAGGAGAATGCAAAGACTGAATAAAGGAGAAAGAATAGGGAGAAGGCTCAAGGGGGCAGATGCCTGCATCTCATGTTCTAGTTTTTGAGCTGGGCAGTGATTATTTAATAAAAAGGCATATTTACATTTTTTTTATAATTCATGAAGTTGTACATTTGATGTGCATTTTTCTGTATGTACATTATTCTTCAATAAAAACAATGAGCCGCAAAAATCTATGGGCCATAAAACAGCCCTTATGCAAAGCTAATAAGCTTGTGAAGGACTTTTCCAACTTCTGTCAGCACACATTTTTGAAAAACAGCATTACTGGCATTCAGCTGGACATTTGCTGGTGTGCTATTGATCAGTTCATTTAGTTTAAGTATTTTTACTAACATGAGCAAACCACAGTCTGCCGCTTTCTCCAATTTCTTCTCAACACAGCCACAAGAATCTTTAAAAGATGTAAATTGGCCAGGCGTGGTGGCTCACGCCTATAATCCCAGCACTTTGGGAGGCCGAGGCAGGCGGATCACCTGAGTTCAGGAGTTTCAGACCAGGCTGGCCAACATGGTGAAACCCCGTCTCTACTAAAAATACAAAAATTAGCCGGGTGTGGTGGTGGGCACCTGTAGTGCCCGCTACCTAGGGTGCTGAGGTAGGAGAATTGCTTGAACCTGGGAGGCTGAGGTTGAAGTGAGCTGAGCGCACCACTGCACTCCAGACTGGGCAACAGTGAGACTCTGTCTCAAAAAAACAAAACAAAACAAAAGATGTAAATTATGTCACATCCTACCTTGCTTGAAACCCAATAGCTTCCCACTGCACTGGAGTGAGACCAAACTTCTTTCCAAGCCTTCAACTGTCCTGCCTCACTTCGCTGTTCCACCTCTGCAGCTTCAGATGGCGCCTGGCTGTCCAGAACCAGCACTGCAGGCTGAGCCTTCTGTGTGCCCCACACACAGCCTGCTGCTTCCTTGGCCTCTGTGCCCTGGCACTGACTTCACCTGGAAGAGCTTCCACAGTGCTTCCCTTCCCCCCTCCTTTTAGTTCAAGTGTCTGCTTCAATTTCACCACTGCTAAGAAGCCTTCTCTGACTTCCTTGCTGAACTACATTCCCCATTATTTTACTGCAGTACCAATCACTTCTTTTGTAGCACTACCATTGTCTGTAATAACACTACATACATCATCTGTCCATTCATTGATCCATCCATCCAGTCATATATGCCATTCTGTTCCCTGGAGAATTTAAGTTCTGGGAACTTGCTTGTTTTGTCTTTTCTATCCTTGGGACCTTAGTACACAGTTCAGGGGATGCTGCAGCCACTCAGTGAAAACAAGTTGAAGAAATAAATGAAAATTATAAAGTCAACTGGCCATTCAACACATTCCTCTGCTTTATCTCTGAGCATTTCATCCTTTTCCTAACTCCAAAGTGACCCTTTCTTGAAGGGTACACTGCTATTTCCATTCAAGAAAATTCTATCGAGTCCTTCCTACAGGTGCTAGGCTGCACACTGTTCTGAGGGTACAATAAGAACGGGTGCTGCCCACAGTGCAGTGGTGCAGTGAGACGCAAATAGAGAGAGCTGTGGCTCATGCTGGTTTGTAAGGAAGTTAGATAGTTATAAAAACTATAAAAACGAATATATACATATTAAAATGTTTATAATTTATAATATAAATATGAAAACGATTTTTTGGCAGAAACCCAAAGAAACAGATAATAGCATGAGAAATATGTGTTTTTTATATATATAAAATAATTTACAATTATATTATTTAAACATATTTTATATATAATAGTATATAAAATACATATAACATAATACACATGTATTATATATAAAATATACAAATATATTTTTATATATTTATATACATTATATAATACATACTACATATTATGTATTATATGTAATATTGATTAATATATTACATACTGATTAATTACATATTATATATTATTACATATGTTATTTCAATAATGGAATTTGTATTAACACTTTTGCTCTGTGTTCTAAAAGGAGATCATCTTGTTGAGATACATTAGCATTCAAAGATGGAGGAGCAAATGACGTGTGAGTGGGCACAGCCTCCACAGAGAGCAACAGGACAGCGGGGAGCATGAGCCTTCAGACCATGGGCACACATGGACCAGCGATGGCTCCCGTGAGAATGTGCAGTGGGGAGAGACAACACATGTTCTGATACCTTTGTTACCGCATCTCAAAGGCACGCTGGAGGCAAACTGATGAGAATCCAACAGTGGGGAATGCTGCATGGAACCTGGCCTATCAATTATAGTGAGATACTTTGCAGATTAAAAGTTATCAAAAGATGAAGACTTCCCAGGGCTAGGTACCTGGACTACACTATGCAGAATCTGTGCATATGGACAAAGGGAGGAGGCTGCATGGGGAAGTCCCTGGCTGAGGTTGCCCAGAGGACTTCACCGTGAAGATGAGCCACAAAGCCTGTGGCCTGTGAGGCCGTCACACATCCTGCTCGGTAATGTGGCATAAAAGGCCTTCTTTAACTCTGCCTACTTTATTTAAAATTTTATTTTGAAATAATTTCAGATATATAGAAAACTTGCAAAAATAGTATACAGAATTCCTACATACCTCACAACTAGAGCCCCTCGAAGGTTAAAGTTTTACATTTATCATTCTCTCCACATACGAGTCTGTTCTACAGATACTATTCAGGTTTCATCCATTGTCCCAACAATGTCCTTTGTAACAAAATGGTTGTTTTCTGTCCAAGATCCCACATTGCATTTCGTTTTCATGTTTCTAATCTAGTTTTTGAAAATCTGAAACAGTTTCTCAGTCTATCACCTTATTTTCTTTTAAAAAATTTTTATTATACTCTAAGTTCTGGGATACATGTGCAGAAGGTGCAGGTTTGTTACATAGGTATACACGTGCCATGGTGGTTTGCTGCACCCATCAACCCGTCACCTACATTAGGTATTTCTCCTAATGTTATCCCTCCCCTCGGCCCCCAATTCCCAACAGGCCCCAGTGTGTGATGTTCCCCTCCCTGCGTCCATGTGTTCTCATTGTTCAACTCCCACTTATGAGTGAGAACATGCAATATTTGGTTTTCTGTTCCTGTGTTAGTTTGCTGAAAATGATGGTTTCCAGCTTCATCCATGTCCCTACAAAGGACATGAACTCATCCTTTTTCATGGCTGCATAGTATTCCATGGTGTATATGTGCCACATTTTCTTTATCCAATCTATCATTGATAGGCATTTGGGTTGGTCCCAAGTCTTTGCTATTGTGAACAGTGCTGCAATAAACATACATGTGCATGTGTCTTTATAGTAGAATGATTTATATACCTTTGGGTGTATACCCAGTAATGGGATTGCTGGGTCAAATGGTATTTCTAGTTCTAGATCCTTGAGGAATTGCCACACTGTCTTCCACAATGGTTGAACTAATTTACATTCCCACCAACAGTGTAAAAGCATTCCTATTTCTCCAAATCCTCTCCAGCATCTGTTGTTTCCTGACTTTTTAATGATCACCATTCTAACTGGTGTGAGATGGTATCCTTGCGCAGGGCTCAGTCTATCATTCTGCAACCCTGATACCCTACTTAGGGTAGAATGTCCCCAGTCTGGGTCTGCCCTGTGAGGCCTCATGATTAGACTCTGTTGTGTATTGCTGGCAGGAACACTGTGGAAGTGATGCTCTGTCCCCTGTGAACCATATCAGGGACAAATCATGTCTACTTGGTCCATGTTGATGATGCTTATGTTGATCTCTTGGCTAAGGTGATGTGCATCAGGTCCCACCCCTAAATAGTTACTATTTTTGTGTTTGTATCTTGCAGAGATATACTCTTTGTAAATATTCTGTTTCTCATTGAATTTCTCCCCCATTGGTTTTAGCATGCAATGAAATTTCTGTTTGCAACAATTAAAACTTGGTGGTCATCAAATGGTGACTTTCTATTTCCTTCCTTTCTCCTACATTTATTAGCTGACACTCCACTATAAGAAAGCACTTTCCCTTCTCCCCCACTTATTTCTCTATTCATCCATTTCTTTCTTTTAATACAAACATATGCATTTTTCTTAAGAATCATCACCTATTTAATAAATAATCACCTGTTACTATAATTAGTAGTTTGAGGCTCAAATTGTCCCAGTGCTCATCACACAAGCCCCATCACTCTTTGGCCACTTGTTTTTTCCTGAAGTGCTAGTTCTGCAAACACATCATGCTTCTCTGCAGCTCTTCTGATGGCACCACCCACTTATTGGCTGGATAATTCCCAGCACTTGTTAAACAGCCCCCTTAGAAGCTTTCCCCAACTTCTCATGTTCCCGTCCCAAATCTTGCTGCTACCACATGACTCCATTGTTATCACGGACTGTGCACTGTGCTTGTTTGTTTAGGCTTATAAGCAGTTGGTTTGTGATTCACATTTCTTTATTATCCTTCTAAGGCACCTCCCTGGTCCACATGAGGAACTCAATACATGTATGCTGAATAAGTGATTAGGAAAAAAAAAAAAAACTGTGTAAACCCTCTGACTTTATATAACCTGCTATTCTACAGGCTTCTATTAGATAGAGTCTCATCACTTTGTTGTTGGGATCTATATCTTTGGTCATTTTTTCCCATTGTTTTACATTACTGAGAAATGCATTATTGGTTCACATTCATGAAAGTTCTGGCATTATGTTTTATTTTTATTTTAGAGACAGAGTCTTATTCTGTTGCCCAGGCTGGAGTGCGGTAGTGCAATCACAATTCACTGCAGCCTTGAACTCCTGCACTCAAGCGATCCTCAGTCTCCCAAAGTGCTGGGATCACAGGCGTGCACCACCATTGCTCGCCCATGCATTATGTTTGAAATCCCTCCTTCATTGTTGGCTACAACATACTCCCTTATTTTCTCAAGAACTTGGACATGTAATGCACATCTGAAAGTAAACATGCCAAAACTCAGCTGCAGAGAGGCTGGTATTTCCTTGCAAATCAAACTCTCCTGTAATCTTCCACATCTCTGATCAGGGCAACCTCAAGCTTCCATTTGTTCAGACCAAAGATGCAGGAGTCAACTTTAACATTTTTGACACCTGCATCTGGCCGATCAGCAAGTCCTGTTGGGTTCTAAATATAATTTGAAGAGACAGCCCTCCTCTTGGCACTGTTCCTCTGCCACCATCCTTGCCCAGCACTGTCATTCCTCCCTTGCAATACTGCAGCTCTCTCCTTGCCAGCGTCCCTGCCCTGCCACGCTGACTTCTGGTTTTCAAACACCAGCCACGGTGATCTTGTTAAACTGAACTGGATTAAGTCCCTCTGCCCAGGCCTCTCCAATGACATCACATCTTACTCTGAAGAAAAGCCAAGTCCTACCACATCTTACAATGCTCTGAATGATGTGATATCCTGTTCCTCTCTGATATAAACTACTTCCTCTCCCTTTCTCCCCACCAGCACACTCCCTCTGGCTACTCCCTGAAAGTGTCCCCTCACCCCTCTGACCATACACACTCCAGCCTCAGGCCTCGACCATCCTCCCCGTCTGGGGATAGCCCATGTCCCCTTCCTCAAGTTTCCTGGTGCTTCAATATATGACACATATATACTATATTTTTTCCCTTTTAAGCTTAAACGCTAATATAATTTGTATTGACAAAATAATTAAGAAATTCAGCTGCTCTCTGTAAAGGCTTAATAAAAATGTAAATTGTAATATAATGGAGAATTAATTGAAACACTCCAAAGCAGAGAAAGAATCGTGGAAGAGTTTAAAATTGCTCACAAGACTAACAGGGAGCCCGGTGAATTGGCCATATTGTATAGAGTGTTTATGTAGCTTCCATCTGTGCCACATCCAATAGTTGTTATTTACAGTCATGTGCAGATAGATCATGATGTTCCAGTCAATGGTCTGCATATACAATGGTGGTCCTATCAGATTATAATGAAAAATTCTCATCACCTAGTGACATCATAGCTGTTGATAACATCATGGCACAGTAACTTCATTTTTTTTTTTTTTTTGAGACGGAGTCTCGCTGTCGCCCAGGCTGGAGTGCAGTGGCGCGCTCTCAGCTCACTGCAGGCTCTGCCCCCCGGGGTTCACACCATTCTCCTGCCTCAGCCTCCCGAGTAGCTGGGACTACAGGCGCCCGCCACCTCGCCCGGCTAATTTTTTGTATTTTTAGTAGAGATGGGGTTTCACTGTGTTAGCCAGGATGCTCTCGATCTCCTGACCTCGTGATCTGCCCGCCTCGGCCTCCCAAAGTGCTGGGATTACAGGCGTGAGCCACCGCACCTGGACAGTAACTTAATTTTTAAAAATAAATTTAGTGCAGCCTAAGGGCACAGTGTTTCTAAAGTCTACAGCAGTGTAATGTCCTGGCCTTCACATTCACCACCCTGGCCTTCACATTCACCGCTCACTCACTGACTCACCCAGAGCAGCTCCCAGTCCTGCAAGCTCCATCCATGGTAAGTGCCCTAGACAGGTATACCATTTTTATCTTTTACGCTGTATTTTTACTATACCTTTTCTAAGTTTAGAAACACACATACTTACCATTGTGTTATAGTTGCCTGTAGTATTCAGTACAGCAACATTCTGTACAGGTTTGTAGCTTGGGAGCAACAGGCTATACCACATAGCCTAGGCATGTAGTAGGCTATGCCATCTAGGTTTGTACAAGTACACTCTACGATGTTCACACAATGACAAAATCACCTAAACGTATTTCTCAGATTGTATCCCTGTGGTCAAGCAACACATGACTGTACCTCTATGTAATCAGTGTGTATGCTGCATGCACACATCTATGTATCTATATCTCTGGATACGCAGTGTGTGTGTACATGAATGCTTGTTGCTTTTGAGGTCAGCAGGGTGCAATATTTCAGTACAAGGCAGCAGATGGTTTACAACTGGGGAGAAGGCATTAGAACAGTATCATGAGGTTTGTGTGAAGGCCATGCTGATGCTGCTTCAAATGTCCACACTGTAAACACACAGAGCCTTTGGGCCACCACTTGTCTCCTGTGCAGTCATAGTAGGTGGCTTAGGTGATTAATTTCCGCCAGAGATGCTGCCTTTCCTTCGTCAATGCAGGTTTTGCTTTCTCCTCCCTTACAGTGGTCTTCAGCCACAGTTAGCCTTTTCAAGCATTTTTAAGGAATGAGTTGAAAATCAAGTAAAAAAGACAAAGCCCTATCACTCATTTCCTCCTCCATCTTTTGAGAAAGACATTAAGAACTCTGTCTAATAGAAAACAATGTAATCATTTCTAAATCAACGTGATCAACAGTTGGTTTCCTTTTTCTGCCCATAAAATTAAAATTTTACCTTAAATAAATGAAGACCATTGAAAAACCATGAAAGTGTATCCCACAGAGAAGACCAGGGATGCCTGCTCCTCACAGCCTGGCTGTGTCACGGGACTGAAGGCAAATGTGCTGCACAGCAGCCTCCGCATCGGACCCAGGCTCCTAGGCCAGGGACTGCATCTTTTTCACTGAATTCCCGATGCCCAGTGCAGCATCTGGCTCGAAGCCGGTGCTCAATAAAACTCTGCTGCCTGCCTGCCTGAGGGAATGGATAAATAACTGAAGGAGAAGAGGCGGGGTCTGCTTGTGTGAACTTAGACTAAGGGAAGATCTGCCAGGACTGTGCCATGAAGTCACAGTGGCACACAGTCTGTGGCACAGCCTCATCAGCCCTTGCAGGTTCTGGTTATTGAGCCAGACATACCATAGGGAGTGAAGGGCCCCCGATCCCTCTGAGGTCAAGGGAATCTCTGGCAGGGACTGGGAGAGGGTGTAGGATGAGCTCTGATTGGTATGGACACAGTCAGTCCCTCCTCACCTCAGCCACGCAGGAATGGCCCTGAAGTTTCCAAGCCTGCCACAGCTCCCATCTAGAGAAAACCAAGCTGTCCAGGTCCACACAGGTATATATTCTATGGCCATTACACAAGACTTCTTGGTAGATATTCATGGATCTCTCAGAAAATGGGCAGCTTCTCACAGAACAGACATGGGTGCCCACTGACTCCAAACACTCTCACTGGCTGGAAATCGCAGGTTTGCAAACACACTCCTGAATGCACTGCCAGTTTCAATGCATAGCCACGTGGCATGGAGTGACAGTTTGCATGGAATGGTGGCCCTGTCAGGGAGACAAGGTTCATCACAGAAAGAGGCCTGGGGATGCTGGTTTGAAGATGGATGGAATGCAGGCAGGACCACTGCGGCCCAGGGAGTGACCAGAGTCAGCAGAGTTGCCACCACCCGGGGCCCGGGAGGAACTGCTGCTAATGAGCCAGGCTGGGCTGCAGGATGTTTGGGTTGAAAGGTCCCTAGCACAGTGGTCCTTGTCCACTTCGTGGTCTTACAGTTGGCAAAACAGGCCTAGACAATATAAGATTACATCCCAGAGACAGCGATACACGCAGAGGCCATGGGATTTCCAATTGGCTGTCAAAAAGGAAAGTTCTGAGTCCCTGGCCTGTCTGATTGCCTGAGCAGCTGTGACCCAAATCCCCTTAGCCCCCTGATAGCAGTGTGGATAGGAAGAGAGCAGGGAAGATGTTGCTGGCTGGAGCCCTCAGGAGTGCCTCAGCGTTGCTGGAAAGATGACCAGCAGTCCTTCCTACTAGCTAGGACAGTGATTCCACCATGAGGACCATGGGGCAGAAGTCAGGAGAGTGGAAGATAGGATGCAGGAGGGCAAGGAGGTGAAGGAGGCAAGGACATGGAGCCCAGCCAGAAAGGAGGGGAGCTCCTGCAGAGCCTGAGAACTCAGGATGGCTGCGTGGCAAGGGATTGAAGCTTTTGGGAGGAGGCCCGGAGGCCTGCCAGCCAACTATTCAGCTGATGGCACGGCTCTGGAGGTGCTGCCCCACCTCAACACACAATCTGCCCTTGCTTGTGGTGCCAGTGCTACATGGGGCACAATTGCCCTGCCGCCTTCTGAAAGTATATGTACCACTCCCCACCCCCTCACCCCTGCCCTACCCTCTCCCTTTGCCCATGAAATTTGGCCACTTCATCTCGGAGGCCAGCCTTGCCGAGAGAAGGAAACGCAAGTCATACATCCTTCTGGACTTTCCCTTGACACTCAAGCCCTCAACTTTTTCAATGATATAATTAAGATCATATGATATGTTCTTGGGTGATTTGTTTTTCCTATGCCATAGATATTTCTCTGTGTCACCAGAGAGAGCTAGTTCATTTCCCCCGACTTGCTGCATTGCTTTCCCTTGTGTACATGTACTGTGATTCCTTTAACCATTTTTGTTTCATGGGCTTTGTCTTCCTATTACAAAACAAAAGTAAAATTGGGACACTTGTCTGACTCTCTCAGCCTGCAGAGGCAGAAGTTGCTGTAGAAAAAAAATCCTGCAAGTGGAGTTGCTGGGTCAAAATGGAATTGCAAAATTTAGACAGAGACCGCCATATTGTCCTTCAAGGACCATATACCAAGTAACGCATCACCAGTCACTAGCCAGGTGAGTGCCGTCTCCCCACACCCTCGCCAAGACTGGACATCTTTCTTATTTTGTTTGCCAACATAGTAAGTAAAACGTGGTACCTCAGAGTTTTGTTGTTGTTGTTAATTGGCTCTCCTCTGATTACTCACGGAGCTGGTTAACTTTTCACATGTTTATTGGCTATTTATATTTCTTCTTTGGTGAACTGCCTATGTATATATTTCCTGGTTAATTTTACTTGCTCATTTTTCTTATTGATCTGAGGCACTCTGTGTATTAAGGGCATTATATTATCACTGGTGGCTTGTCTTTTCATATTAAAAAATGATTTTCCCTACAGAAGTTGAAAATTTAATGAAATAAAATCTGTGCTGTTTCTCTTCTATGGCTTGCGGGGTTTTGGGTTTGCTTAGAAAATTCTTCCCGTAAAATAAATACTATTCTCTGATATCTCCTTGTAATAGTTCTTGGGGTTATTTTTCTCCTAAACGTTCACACTTTAATACATCTGGAAGTAACATTTGCAAATGGTAAAGGGTTTCCCTAGTGAATTGCTTTCACATGGATGACCAAGTGTTGCTACACAGTTACATGATCTGTCCTTCATCACTGATTTGAAATACCACATTTATCATACACAATATGCCTTTGATGCAATCCTAAGGAGATAGGAATGGGTGATAGAAGCTGGAGTGGGGCTTCAAGGAACTGGGATTGTTTCTGCTACTCACAGAATGGGGGCATACATAGAAGCTGAGCCATGCAGTTGCTCTCACACACCTGAGATCGCATCTTTCACAGTCAGAATACAAGGGCAGGAGTGCTGGGGTCCTGAAACCAATGTGAAAGGACCATCCAGCCTTTACCTGAAGGCATGTTCCCTGGATTATGGTTGTTCGAAGGCTGACTCACACACAGTGGAAAAACTAGACATGATGTTTTAGGGAAAAGAGCTTAAGGGTAGGTCCTCCTGCTGAAGCCAGCTACAATTAAGTCAAGAGGGGGCAGGGGTTGGGGGCACGAAAGCAAAGAAATGCCACTTATCTGAAATCTCCAAGAGGAATGTGGATGGCAACTGGCACCTGCAGCTGATAAGGAACCACCAGATTCCAAGCCTCTGTGCTATGAGCGATTGCGGGGCAGAGGGATCGGAAGCCTCATGTAGCAGAGACCTGGGACTGCTCCAGACACAAAATGAGCCCAGAGATCCCCCATGACTACAGGTAGGAAGCAGGCTGAGAAAGCTGCCACCTTGCAAGGATGCCACGGTCTCTTTAGTGCCCTATGCTCCAAAGAGGGGCCAAGGCCAGGAGAGTAGGAAACGGTGAAGCCCCTGCCCTGCTGGGAAACTGAACGACCAAGGGTGATGGGACCTCACAGCCTCTGCCCAGTGGAATTTCAGGGTTTCTATGGCCATTGACAGTCACCTGTCTCCAGTTATTCCGTTCCTGTTCTACTACTGCATGTTGTTGTGTGGGTGTGACTGTATGGTTGTGTGGTATCAGCTAACTTGTTCTTTTATTTAGCCCATGGGTCTCCAGACTCAAAGAAGCTATATCTGCATCTTACAAAGAGACCACTGGGCATCACGCAGAAGCCCGTGACTTTGAGGCTGATGAGACTTTAGGATGTCTCCCACTACCTTTGATATTTGTGTACCAAAAAGACTGAATCAAATATTCGGTGACCAAAAGGGTAGACTGTGGTTGGCATTAAAACTGTTCACTAATATCCACTTTTCTTCTGCTTCTGGGCTCTCAGAAGAATTGCAGCTCCTGGCCTCCCCAAAGATACACGTGGATCTGTAACTTGCTTTGACCAATGAAATATAAGTGGCAGGTGTCATTTTAAGTGGATGCATTTAATTGCCAGTGCTTACCTCTCCAGTCCTTCTCTTCCTCCTGCCCCTAAGCCTGGTGACCTCCTGATGGCAGTGCTCCATCAGCCTGGAGGAGAATGGCATGTAGCAAGCCCTGACTTCCCTGTGCACCAGGAGCAGAAAATAAACCTTTGTGGTTTGAGCTGCCGAGATCTGGGGGCTATGTGTTACTGTATCTAACTTAAACTAATTGAAAGTACCTTCATTCATTCCCTTGGACTCAAATATCTCTATATTGATCACTCTCAGATTTATAATTCTAATGTAGTCCTCAACCCTGAGCTAGACAGAGTTTTTTTTGGTTCTGCTTTTCTTAACCTATGAATATTCAAGCACCCAGGACTCCGTGTTGAGCTCCTTTTTCTTCTCTATCTACACTTTCCTCCTTTGTAATCTTATTCCGTATCGGGCCTTAAATATTTAAGCACTAGGGTCTTCCAAATTTAAATCTCTAGCCCTGACTAATACCTCTCTAGTACACATCGCTTAATTCCTGGATAGTGCCTACATGACTCTGGACTCTTGAAACTGAATTTAAGCATTGTCTCTGTCTCCTGAATTTCACTATTGAATCAACAACCATTATTACCTAATATAAAAAAGCTCCTTGAAGACATCAACACACACACACACACACACACACACACACACACACATACACACTTTGTGAAATAGTGTTTGCATTTTTCCCACTTAAGTAGTAAGACTGGAGCAAATTTCATAATTAAAAAAAAATCCCTTGAACAGTGTAGCTAAGAAGAAAGGAAGGAAGGAAAAAAGGAAAGGGAGATCTAAGCTTGATCACATCAAACAGAAAATGTAAACACTACGAACAGAATGTTATTGTACCCCATTAGCAACCTGTCTTCAACAAATCATTTTGCGAAGCAAGAATCAGAACCTAAACTAGACCCTTTCCCAAGACGTATATTCCTTAAGAAATATGCCCTTGAGAACATTGCTCTCACAGGACACTTCAGTCATCAGTAACTTCATGTGGGCTCCAATGGCTGCAATGATCCACTGCACCTATCAGCCAAGAGCACATTCTAGAGGAGTTCTCAATGTTAGAAGTGACGATGGCATTGCCACGGTTCTTTTTGTCAACAGTGTTCAATGGGAAGGTTGTTCCTGCATAGGTCAATTTCTAGGAAAATCCACCTGAATTAGAGAGGGAAAACAGCAAAAATAGTAACAGAAAAACACATGCGGCCTGCTTCACTATGTCCTATTACGATACATGGAAACGTCTGAAATCTTCACTTACATCTCCCTATTTTGACTCCTAATCAGAGAGGTGAGGCTGACTGAGAGGGAGACAGGAGGCTTTGGACCAGGGCCATGGGCCATGTGGGAGCAGGTGCTAGCTCCAAGCGCTCATTCTCCCCTAAGAGACTCTCTCCCCTACCAGGTCTCAAATCCATCACCCCATCATGTCCAGCACAAGAACTTGGCCATGCATCCATTCTCAGCCTGGTATCCCATACTCCGAGTGGCTCATCTCTCAACCTCACCTCATATCCCCACCTTTCCCAACCTTCCCACAGCAGAGCTTGTGCTGATTTACAAGGCTGCCTCTATTTTGTACAAGTTCCTACATAGTCCAAGGCCTGTTCTAGGCTTTCCAGTTTCTTCCACAGTACCAGCCCAGGCAGGAATACCACATGTTGTAGTTACTGTTCATTTGAAACGTTGATCTCTCCATCCACCCTATGATTAGCCAAGTATTCCTTTTCATCTCTTCTACTCACTATTTAGTAATTACTGTCGTTTTTCAGTTGTTTTTTTTTTTTTTTGGATAGTCTTCCAATTATAATAGTATGCATAAATTATCAGAGGTAAACTTTAATCAACATTATACTATTTCACATACGTGTAAGCACATATACAATATTAGCTCATAATTTTTCTTGTAAATTTGTTTGTGTTCCTTATAGATGCTGGATATTACACCTTTGTTAGATGCACAGTTTGCTGAAATTTTCTCCCATCCTATAGGCTGTCTGTTTACTCTGTTGGTGTTTCTTTTGCTGTGCAGAAGCTCTTTAATTAGATCCCATTTGTCAATTTTTGCTTTTGTTGCAATTGCTTTTGGCATCTTCATCATGAAATCTCTGCCTGTACCTATGTCCAGGATGGTATTGCCTAGGTTATCTTCCAGAGCTTTTATAGTTTTGGGTTTTACATTTAAGTCTTTAATCCATCTTGAGTTGATTTTTGTATATGGTGGAAGGAAGGGGTTCAGTTTCAATCTTCCATACATGGCTAGCCAGTTATCCCAGCACCACTTATTAAATAGAGAGTCTTTTACACGTTCCTTGTTTTTGTCAGGTTTGTCAAAGATTAAATGGTTGAAGGTGTGCGGTCCTATTTCTGGGCTCTCTATTGTGTACCATTGGTCTATGTATCTGTTTTTGTACCAGTACCATGCTGTTTTGGCTACCGTAGCCCTGTAATATAGTTTGAAGTTAGGTAGCATGATGCCTCCAGCTTTGTTCTTTTTGCTTATGATTACCTTGGATATTCAGGCTCTTTTTTGGTTCCATATGAAATTTAAGATAGTTTTTTCTAGTTCTATGAAGAATCTCAATGGTAGTTTAATAGGAATAGCATTGAATTTATAAATTGCTCTGGGCAGTATGGCCACTTTAATCATATTGATTCTTCCTATCCATGAGCATGAAATGTTTCTCCATTTGTTTGTGTCACCTTTGAGTTCTTTGAGCAGTGTTTTGCATTTTTCCTGGTACAGATTTTTAACCTCCCTGGTTAGCTGTATTCCTCGGTATTTTATTCTTTTCGTGACAATTGTGAATGGGAGTAGGTTCCTGATTTAGCTCTTGGTTTGACTGTTGTTGGTGTACTACTACTATTCTTATCAGTTCTTTTGTTCATTCTTCAAAATAATTGTATCCAATTCCCCGAAATGCAATATTAGAACTCTGATTGACAGTGCATTCCAGCTTTGGGTTAATTTTGAAAAAATTGACATTTTTTATATTAACGTAATTCACCTGCCCCTGCTGAAACATGATCAGCTTCTCTAGCTTGTCCTGTCTCCATACCTGTAGCTTTCAGGCATCCTCTGAACACTCTTGTTTTGGATGGCTGGTTGGGTCTCCTCTTTCTCTTGACTGCTGATTGTATTTCCCCGTTATGTGGCTAAGACTTGAGTCTTGAATTCTTTTTCCGACAAACTTGCCATCTGAGAGCACTCAGACAGCATCCTGTCTATAGTTGACCCCATGGTGACAGTTCCAGCCATGACTTCATTCATTCAGCAGATATTTGTGGGGTATTATGGCCCTGTGCCATGCTAGGCACTGAAGAGACAGTGGTGAACAAGACAGATGAAATCTCTGTTCCCTAATAGAGCCACAGGCATGCTCAGGATAGAGAGCCAGAGGGCTGACCTGGTCTAGGCAGCCAGGGGGTGCTTCCTAGAGGAAAAAGCGTTTAAGTTGAACTCTGAAGGACCAATAGGAATTAGTCAGGCTGAGCAGCAGGATGTGAATGTTGGGGTAGAGGAGGTAGAGGGTGGAAAGAACACCCAGGCAGAAGAAACAGCTTATTCACAAATCCTATAGTTGTCCAGATAGTGAGTGGGGCCCACGGTGAGTCTGGTAGAGGAGGGGGTGTTGGTGGAGGGTCAGAAAGAGCCAGAGTTGACCAAACTCAGGGGAGGTAATGGTGACAGATGTCAGTGTCATCTGGCTAGATTTGCTCTGAGCTGGGCTCTGTTCTCAGCCCTTTGTGTTTGTCTCAGTTCACCCTCACAGCAATCCACTGAGTTAAGATGTAAGGAAATGGAGTGCTGATACATCACCAACTTGGCCAGGTTTGCACGTCCCCAGGATTATGAGTCAGGACTGAAACTCGGCCTCCGGAGCCCACTGTGGCAAACTAAGATGCTGTTAAAGAGCTTTTTTTCAGGAGACTGGCTGAGGCTATTGTTTTTTGGGGGCAAGGTGTCACCCAGGCTGGAGTGCATGACAAGATCCTGGCTCACTGCTAACTCCACCTCACAGGTTCAATCGATTCTTATGCCTCAGCCTTGCAAGTAGCTGGGATTACAGGTGTGTACCACCATGCCCAGATAATTTTTGTATTTTTAGAAGACAGAGTTTCTACTAAAACACCCTTGATCAGGCTGGTCTCAAGCTCCTGGGCTCAAGTGACCTGCCCACCTCAACCTCCCAAAGTGCTGGGATTACAAGCATGAGTCGCCACGCTCGGTGTGACAATCTTTGTTTTAGCAAAAACCGTCTGGGCAATTGTGATCCTCAGAGTTTTCAGAACGACTGCTCTAATCTGAGCATTTCGGCTATGAATTATTTCACTCTTACTCCCACGTTAGCAGAATCACAAACATGGTGAGGTGTTGGGTTTCCCTTGTTATTCAGTTTTAAATATTTTCTAAAAATTTGTGAGATTTTATTGACCCATGAGTTACAAGTATTTTTCTTAATTTCCCAACATTTGGGGGATTTTCTAGATTTCTTCTTGTTAAGACATTTCTAATTTAATTCAATCATGGTCAGAGAACATATTCTAAACAATTTCAATACTTTGTTACAAAGATATGTTTTGTGGCCAAGAGTATGGTCTGTTTCAGTGACTATTCAGTGTGGTTTCAAAATAAAGGTATTGCACAATTGTGGGAATTAGCATTCTATAAATGTTAATTTTTTCAATTTTATTAATATCATTCAAATCTTCCATGTTTTCACAGAATTTTTATCTACTTATTTTAAAAATATCCAACAATAATGAATTTGTCATTATCAAGTTCTCCTTTTAGTTCTGTCAATTTTTCCTTCATATATTTTAAAGTAGTCTCATTTTACACAGACAAAATAAGGATTGTTAATGCTTCCTAATGAACTGAAACTTTCATTATTATGAACTGTTTTTATCTCTAGTAATACTCCCTTAATTTTTACTTTGTTATTAATATAGCTACTCAAGCTTTCTTGTTGCTAGTGTTTCCATGGTATATCTTCCTTCTATTTTATAGGTCTAACCTCCTATTTAAACTATGTCTCATAGAAACTGTATACAGCTAGTCCTTCTTCTTTTTTTTTTTCTTTTTGAGACAGAGTCTCACTCTGTCGCTCAGGCTGGAGTGCAGTAGTGGGATCTCGGCTCACCTGCCTCTAGGGTTCAAGCCATTCTCCTGCCTCAGCCTCCCAAGTAGCTGGGATTACAGAGGCGTGCACCACCATGACCACCTAATTTTTTCTTGTTTGTTTTGTTTTTTTGGGTTTTGTTTTTTTTGAGATGGAGTCTCTCTCTGTCACCCAGGCTGGAGTGCAGTAGTGGGATCTCAGCTCACCTGCCTCCAGGGTTCAAGCCATTCTCCTGCCTCAGCCTCCCAAGTAGCTGGGATTACAGAGGCGTGCACCACCATGCCCACCTAATTTTTTCTTGTTTTGTTTTTCTGGTTCTTTTTGAGACAGAGTCTTGCTCTGTCGCCCAGGCTGGAGTGCAGTGGCGCGATCTAGGCTCACTGCAAGCTCCACCTCCCAGATTCACGCCATTCTCCTGCCTCAGCCTCCCGAGTAGCCGAGACTACAGGCGCCTGCCACCACGCCCGTCTGATTTTTTGTATTTGTAGTAGAGACGGGGTTTCACCATGTTAGCCAGGTTGGTCTCGATCTCCTGACCTTGTGATCCGCCCGCCTTGGGCTCCCAAAGTGCTGGGATTACAGGCATGAGCCACCGAACCCAGCTGTAATTTTTTTTTTTTTTTTTTAGTAGAGACAGGTTTTGCCATGTTGGTCAGGGTTGTCTTGAAGTCCTGACCTCAAGTGATCCACCCACCTTGGCCTCCCAAAGTGCTGGGATTACAGGTGTGAGCCACTGCACCAGCCTAGGTCTTTTTTTTTCCCCAATCTAGTATGACAATCTCTGCCTTTTGATGGGAATATTTAGGCTACTCATATTTAACAGTTATTAATATGGTGAGGTTTAAGTGTATCATCTTGTCATTTGCTATTTGCCCTATTTTATCTTTCTTTCTTTATTCCTCCTTTCCTGACTTATTCCTGATTAAATGTTAATTTATAGTTTTTTTTTTTTTTTTTAAGGCTAGTCAAGTGAAGCAGTGGGAGTGGAGAAGAAACAAATCTGTAACTAGTTGCAATCAGGTGTAAACACCACCGCACTATGATTAGCCAAGTTTTCCTTTTTATCTCTTCTACTCACTATTTAGTAATTACTCTTGTTTTTTAGTGTTTTTTTTTTCTGGATAGTCTTCCAATTATAATAGTATGCATAAATTATCAGAAGTAACCTTTAATCAACATTATACTATTTCACATACATGTAAGTACATACACAGTATTAGCTCATAATATTGTATTATGGGCTATACAGGGCATGGTGGCTGGTGCCTATAATCCCAGCACTTTGGGAGGCTAAGGCAGATGAATCACCTGAGGCCGGAGTTCAGGACCAGCCTGGCCAACAGGATGAAACCCCACCTCTACTAAAAAATAAAATTAAAAATTAGCCGGGCATGGTAGCACACACCTGTAATCCCAGTTATTCAGGAGGTTGAGGCACAAGAATCACTTGAACCCAGGAGACAGAGGTGCAGTGAGCCAAGATCATGCCACCACACTCCAGCCTGGGTAACCGAGTGTGCTCTCTCAAAAAAAAAAAAAAAAAAAAAAAAAAACACATACAATATATACATAAAACAATATACACATAAAATATAGGGATACAATAAAATTCACATTAAACACTTCTGCATATGTTCCTCCAACCCTTTATACAATTGCTGTCATATATTTTACTTCTACTTATGTTATAAAACACACAATACATTTTTCTGGCCTTAATCAATAGATTTAACAAGTTATGAAAAATTGTTTATTTTCCAACATATTTACCACTATAGTACTCTTCAGTTATTCTTGTAAACCCAGGTTTATATTTGCTCATTTAACATGAAAAACTCATTTTAACATTTTGAGTCAAATTCTCTCAGTTTGGAGACTAATTTACCCATTTTTTTCTTTATTTCCTTTTTATTTTTGAGAGTATTTTGGCAAAATACAGAATTCTGGGATAGCAATTTTTTTCTTTGAACACTTTAAAAATATTGTTCCACTGTCTAATGGCATCTATGGTTTCAAATGAGAAGTCAGCACACATTGATGTAACTGTTTCCCAACATGGACTATATAGGATTTCTCTAATTGCTTTTAGGATTTTTCTCTTTAGTTTTGATTTTAAGCAGTTTGACTATGATGAGCCTAGATGTAGTCCTCTTTGGTTTATCTTGGTCAGGGTTCAATGTGATTCTTGGGAATGTGAGCTGACATTATCATCAATTTGGAAACATTTTCAACAATTATTCCTTCAAATATTCCTTCTATCTCATTCTTTCATCTCCTTCTGAGGGTCAAATCATGTGACTGTTAGATAATTTTATATAATATTATTCCACAAAGTCTCAGACACTGTGTTCTGTTTTCTTCATTCTTTTTGCTTTGTGTGTCAGTTTGAGTCATTTCTATTAAACAGACCTATAATTCACTGATTCTTTCTTCTATTATGTTCTGTGATGTCCATCCAATAAGTGTTTTTGAACTTTTATTATAAAATAATTATAAACTCACAGGGAATAGAAAAAGCAGTACAAAGAAGTCCCATATGCCCTTCCTCCAGTTTCCCATAATGGTAACATCTTACATAATTATAGAACAATATCAAAGCCAAAAGTCTGCCATTGGTACAATGTGCATATATAATTCTACATCACTTTACCACATGTGTAGATTCACACAACCACCTCTGCAATCAAAGTACAGAACCAATCAATCATGATGAAGATCTCCCTCATGTAATCCTTATGCACTCAAACTCTCCCTCTTCCCCCAATATCCCTAACCCCTGGCAACCACTGTGATATAGTTTGGCTCTGTGTCCCCACCCAAAGCTCACCCTGAATCGTAATAATCCCCACATGTCAAGGGTGGGACCAGGTGGAGATAACTGAATCATGGGGGCGGTTTCCCTCATGCTGTTTTCACAATAGTAAGTTCTTACAAGATCTGATGGTTTTATAAGGGGCTTCCCCCTCCACTCGGCACTCATTCTCTCCTCCCGCCATGTGAAGAAGTGCCATCTGCCATGATTGTAAGTTTCCTGAGGCCTCCCCAGCCACGTGGAACTGTGAGTCAATTAAATCTCTTTTCCCTATAAATTACCCAGTCTTGGGTATTTCTTCATAGCGGCATAAGAATGGACTAATACACACTGATCTGTTTCCTCACACTGTCATTTCAAGAATGGTGTATTAATATGACATTTCACTCACCTAATGCCCTTAAAAACCATCCAAGTTGTTGGGTATCAATAGTTCATTTCACTTTACTAAGGAGTATTCCATTCTAAGGATATAACACAGTTTGTTTAATCATTCACAAACTGAGTGACATTCTAGTGTTTCCAGTTTCAGTTTATTACAAATAAAGCTAGTATGAATAGTCATATATAGATATTTGCATGAACATAAGATTTCATACCTCTGAAAAAAAGCTCAAAGTGAATATTTAATATGTTATTCATATGGATATGTAATATGGAGTTAAAATATGTTAAGTAAATGTTTAGTTTACCAAATGGCCAAAATGTTTCCAGAGTAGTTGTACGATTTTACACTCCCATTAGCAATGTACAGAGCTAGTTTTTCAGCATCCTTGACAGCACTTGGTACTGCCACTATTATATTGTTTTAATAGGTGTATAGTTGCAGAATTAGTTTGCTTTTCTTTAACAGATAACAATGACAAGTATATTCTCATGTACTCATCTGCTATTCATATAGCCTCTTTGGTAAAATGTTTCTCATGTCTTCTGCCCATTTTCTAATTGAATGTTTTTTGCATTGAGGTTTGAGACATACTCCAGATATGAGTCCTTTGTCAGATATGTAGCTTGTAAATATTTAGTCCATGTGTCTAGCTTGTCTTTTCACCATTTCAACAGGGTCTTTGGTGGAGCAAATGTTTTTAATTTTGATGAAGTCCAATTTATTAACTTTTATTAACTTTTTTCTTTTCTAGATGATGCTCTTGGTGTTAAGTCTAAAATCTCTTTATCTAAGTCACAGTCACCAAGTGTTTCTCCTCTGAACCTTCAGGATAATATATACTAAAGACTCTCGATAACCTTATTTTCCTCCACAGAGCACTGAGTTGTGTGTTCTGGCAAGTAGCGTCTGGCCAGTCACCTCAATCCTGTGAAGGCTTCTTTTTGCTTTTGTTAGTACCAGTCTTTTCTTGTTTTTCCTTTAGCCCTAGGATGTAGCCCTTAGTCCCAGTACATGATTCTTAGTCCTAAGGTGTGGCATGGCCCTTCTCACATTTCAATGGAAAGTTCAAGGTGTTTACCAAGCCCCTCTTAACTTGGTGAGACTTCACCTCCAAACTCTATCTCCCTAGCTCAAGCAACTGCTGGAATTTCTGCTCAACTCTTTAACCTCACAGCTGCTGCTTTCTGCTGGCTTCCACAGGGTGTCGTTCAGCACAGGCACAACGTCAAAGATAGCCAATGACTGTAGAGGAACTTGTACACATATTTTGTGACTCTGCTGTCACTATGATTTTTCCCTACTCATTCTCCACCACTCTTTCCCAGCAGGGCCAAATTCCAACCTCAGTTCCTTGCCCCAGGAAGAAGTCACTTCCTGCCTAAACTCTATTCCCTTGGTGTGAACCTAGCACATCTGCAGGATAAACCAGTTAAATGTACAGCTCAGCCAGGTCACTTCCCTTGTTTCAAGTAGTGTGTTGCCTCCAGTTTCTACCTATTTTTGTTTTTATATTCCATCCAGATCTTTTATTATTATTATTGGCAAGAGGGTAAGCCCAATACAGCTCCTCGACCTTTACCAGAACCAGAAGCCCAGGTGTGGCTGTTATGTTAATTTCCCAGTTTGGGAGAAGTATAAATTCATACCTCAAAACATGATGAAAATTGAAAACAAAAAACTGCAGTTGAAAATTTATATGGAAGACTTTTTTTCCCTCTTTCTAGAGCTGAAGATAAAAATCAACAAACTTTGGCTGGGCGCCATGGCTCATGTCTGTAATCCCAGCACTTTGGGAAGCCAAGGCGAGTGGATCACAAGGTCAGGAGTTTAAGACCAGCCTGGCCAAGATAGTGAAACCCTGTATCTACTAAAAATACAAAAATTAGACGGGTGTGGTGGTAGATGCCTGTAATCCCAGCTACTCGGGAGGCTGAAGCAGAGAACTGCTTGAACCCAGGAGGCAGAGGTTGCAGTGAGCCAAGATTGCACCACTGCACTCCGGCCTGGGCAACAGGGCAAGACTCAGTCTTCAATAAATAAGTAAACAAACAAACAAACTTCTTTGTTATCTCTCTGTGTAGGTAAGTGAGTTGCCTTTTTTTTTTTTTTTTTCCAAATTCCCCATTTTATTGATAGCTCTTCAAGGCTCTTAGCTCCACCTAACTGCTTCAGGCAAACCTCTGACCTCATCTTCTATTCTTAAATTGTATCAAACCTCAAAACTATTATACAACAGCAATAACTACCACCTCATCTTGTCCCAGGCAGCCTTAAAGTGTTACCAGTTCAGGATTTTAGTTGCCCCCATTTCTGACTTTTGAAAATTTCCCTCACTTTCTTGTTCATTCCCACGTGTATTCCAAAGTCTTCTTGTTACATTTTACCTTGCATTTTTAGGTTTGTTTGTTTTGTGTTTTTTGTTTTTGAGATGGAGTTTCACTCTGTCACCCAGGCTGGAGTGAAGTGTTGTGATCTCGGCTCACCACAACCTCTGCCTCCCAGGTTCAAGCAATTCTCCTGTCTCAGCCTCCTGAGTAGCTGGGACTACAGGCACATGCCACCATGTCCAGCTAATTTTTGTATTTTTAGTAGAGACAGGGTTTCACCGTATTGGTCAGGCTGGTCTCAAACTCCTCACCTCAGTTGATCTACTTGCCTCGGCCTCCCAAAGTGCTGGGATTACAGGTGTGAGCCACTGAGTCCACCCTCTACGTTTGTTTTTGTATTTTTTTTCTTTTGATGTGGGAGGATCACACATAATTTGCAAGATTATTTCAATAGCTAAATTGCCATAATTAGAAGACCACATGTTATTTTTATAATTAGAATATTTACAAAATCATAAATGCTACATGGAAAAACTATAGGGAAAAATAAGTCCATGTATATGTATATATAATTCATACATCTCAGAAAGTGCAACAAGTGCTGTTTGTTCTTAAAAAAGATTATAAATTAAAAATGAGGACTATAGAAAATAAGGACAATGACAGAACTGACACCGTGTAGTTGTTCTAGAAGTGAAAAGCAATACTACTCAAGCTAGGAGACAGAGAAGAGAAAGTAGTGCAATTGTGCATCTTAATATGGAGCAAGAGCCCAAAGTGGAGCACACAATCTCACAGCCTTTGAAACAGATTCATCATATGCTATGTTTAGAGTTTCCAAAGGCACAGAACTTTCAGAAAGAACTAAGTTAAATAATGCTTCCAATCACCATATACCCACTTTTAACATAAAATTCAATTCTATAACCAATTCAGTAGAAAGCTAAAGAACACAGTACCAATATACTTAAGTCAATAATTCTTATGATATTTCACTCTTTTAAAGAACTAAATCATAAAATGTGATTATCCCACAAAAAACATGAGGACATAGAATGCAAAATAAATTTTTCAAATTAAATTAGAGGCCAGCATTATTCTAAGGAAGTAACTCAGGAACAGAAATCCAAATATCTTATGTTCCCAGTTATAAGTGGGAGCTAAGCTATGGGTATGCAAAGGCATACGGAGTGGTATAATGGACACTGGAGACTCACAAGTGAGGGAGGAGAGAGGGATTAAAAAAACTACATATTGAGCACAATCTACACTACTCGGGTGACCAGTGCACTAAAATCTCAGACTTCACTGTTGTACAACTCATCCATGTAATCAAAAACCACTCATACTCCAAAAGCTATTGAAATAAAAAATAAACATTAAAAATATATCAATTAATTAATTAGAGGTCAGGTGCAGTGGCTCATGCCTGTAATCCCAGCACTTTGGAAGGCTGAGGCAGGTGGATTGCTTGTCACCAGAAGTTAGAGACCAGCCTGGGAAATAATACGAGACACCATCTCTACTAAAAGTAAAAATTAAAAGATTAGCCAGGCATGGTGGCATGTACCTGTAGTCCCAGCTACTAGGAAGGCTGAGGTGGGAGGGTCAGTTGAGCCCAGGAGTGTGAAGTTGCAGTGAGCCATGATCATGCTACTGCACTCTGGACAACAGAGCAAGACCCTACCTCAAAAAACAAAAATTAAATTAGATTAATTTCAAAAACAATCATGGTGATAGTGAATTAATAATCTGTTGAGGCCAGGTGTGATGGCTCATGCCTGTAATCCCAACTCTTTGGGAGGCTCAGATGGATGGATAACTTGAACCCGGGAGTTTAAGACCAGCCTGGCACCTGGTACACAGTAAGCATTCAATAAAGCTAGGCTAAAATGATTTTTTTAAAACTAAAAAGACCAGCCTGGGCAACATAGGAAGACTACATCTCTACAAAAAAAAAGAACAAACGAAAACAGCTGGGCATGGTGGCACACACCTGTAGTACTAGCTACTTAGGAGGCTGAGGTGGGAAGATAGCTTAAGCCCAAGTAGTGAGCTATGATTGTGCCATTGTAGTCCAGCCTGAACAACACAATAAGACTCCATCTCAAAAATAAAAATAGTAATAATCTGTTGAAAAAAAGAGAAAATGCAATGGCGATTAATGACAATATAATGATTAACATTTCCTGAACTAAAATTGTATGTTTTATTTTAGAAAAATGTTAAAACAGCAGTTATAATCTACATGATTTTTAATATTATGTTCTTATTGCATATATCACGTGAAAGGTAAAGTGGCACTGCAAAGGAAAAGATGTACCTTTACTATGGAGCTCTCTGGCAGCACCACTTTAATCAAATGGTCAAAGTAGGCACAACTAATAAAACTTGACACTGCATGCTTCCTGATGAGTTGAAATATGAAGTACCCAATATCACCTACGATATGTTCTTATCAAAAAAAAAAAAAAAAAAAAAAAAGGTTTAACCCAAATCTAATGAAGCTTCCAGACCTAACTTACAGTTTATAGGGAATATGTGGACTAGAGGAATAAGTTAGCAATACCAAGAAAAAGCAAGTAGACAAATCTGCAATGTGGAACATTCTACAGGACAAACAGCCTGGGCTCTCCAAGAGTCAATGTAATGTGGCTAGAAAAAATAGAGGAATAATCCTAGAAAAAAACATTAGGAAAGAGACTCCAAAAGTGAATTATAGAGAGCACCAAGTTGTTTCTTCTGAAGATGCAAAGGTGATTTATTTTTAGGAATTCCATTAATATAATCCACCTATTAATAGAGATGGGAAGAAAAATTCTATACTCATATCTTCAGATGCCATACCAAACTCAATAACCATTAATGTTAAAAACAAAGAGGAAACTGGTAAATACTTATTTAACATGATTTATGCCAACACCAAGCATTAATGAGAATACAGAGCACTGAGCATTCTTTCATTAGTCAAAGCATTTTAACTTCTACAACCTTTTTGGAAAACAGTTTAGATTACCCCCTAAAGTTGAACACCCACATATCCTATAACCTACCAATTTTATTCCTACACATACCCAACAGAGAGCTTGCGCAAGTGCATCAAAATGTGTTTGCAAGGTTTATAATAGCCAAATACAGAAAACAATCCAAATGCCCATCGCCAGTGATGTAGTATACTCATGCACTAAAAATGAACTACAGGTACCTGCAACAAGGATGATTCCATAAACATAATATGAAATAAGAGAAGCCAGATACCAAAGTATACATATCATATGACTCAATTTAAATAAAATTCAAAAGCAGGCAAAATCATCATAGAGTTGGAAGTTATGGTAACTTCCTTTGGCGCAAACGGAGAGAACAGTGATCAGGAGAGGGCACAAGAGGGTCCCCGGGTATGCTGGCAACGTCCTACTTAATGTTCTGTTTCTTGACCCAGTGGCAGTTTCTTGGGTTTTCACACTTGGCAATAATTCATGAAGCAGTACATTTACCTTTTGTACATATTTCTGTATATTTCTAACACTTCAGTAAAAAAGAATTATAATTTTCAAACCAGAAAGAAAGTACAAAGTCATCCCTAAATATCTAAAAAATAATGGAAACATATATAACTATATATCATATTGGTGACAAAAGTACGAACTGAAGAATTATTTCAATTGATTTTAAAACTCACTGTTTTGACTGTATATATCATCCAGTGGGTTATATCACCAGGGAAAAAAAGTACTTACAATGTTCTTTGTAGTTTTGTTGTTAGTAACAATACGTGTACTACTATTTTTAAACTATTCTAAACTTTAAGCTAAAAAAAAAGATCATTATGTTAATATTATTAATGGTCAAGCTTTTTCTTTTTCTTTTTTTTTTTTGAGACAGTCTCACTCTGTTGCCAAGACTGGAATTCAGTAGTGTGATCCCAGTAGCCTCTGCCTCCTGGGTTCAAGCAATTCCCATGCCCCAGCCTCCCAAGTAGCCAGGATTACAGGTGTGCACCACCATGCTCAGCTAATTTTTATATTTTTAGTAAAGATGGGATTTTGCCATGTTGGCCAGGCTGGTCTCGAACTCCTGAGCTCAAGTGATCCACCTGCCTTGGCTCCCAAAGTGCTGGGATTACAGGCATGAGCCACTGCGCCCAGCCAGGATTTTTAGCTTATGAGAAGAAAAATAAAAATTGTAAATCAAGAGGTAAAAATGAATTTTAAATCTGAATTGGGGCCAGGTGCAGTGGCTCACACCTGTAATCCCAGCACTTTGGGAGGCCAAGGCGGGCGAATCACCTGAGGTCAGGAGTTTGAGACCAGCCTGGCCAACATGGTGAAACCCTGTCTCTACTAAAAATACAAAATTAGTCAGGCATGATGCTGCATGCCTGTAATCCCAGCTACTCGGGTGGCTGAGGCAGGAGAATCACTTGAACTGCGAAGGCAGAGGTTGCTGTGAACCGAGATCGCACCATTGTACTCCAGCCGGGGAACAAGAGCAAAACTCCATCTCAATAAAAAAATCTGAATTGGAAAGGTATCAATAAACTCAGAATTTTTCTCTTTTTAAGAAACAATAGTACCCAGATCTGAACTCTGAAAAGCTCTACAAGAAAAAGAAAAAAATCCTAGAGAACCCAGACTGTGTTCTCTAACTACATCTTCTAACAAAAAGTAAATGAGATTCCTTATAAAAGTGGTTTCAAAACTAGGGGCTGACTATTCCCAAAACAAGCCTGTGAAAGCTCACTGCCGAGAAGCCAGCAAGCTATCAGAGACAGGAGTAGGCTCATGTCAACGGGAGAAAGGAGCAAACTTGAATGGCTCCCACTGGATGGAGATGAAACAATTTAAGCATCAAAAAGACTAACGACTGCAAAGGACTAGATGATATACATATACATATATACATCTATAAGTTCTTAAGAATATAAAATCAATTTCACTGGACATTTATGGAGATTTCTAAGGTACCAACTCACTGGACATTTATGGAGATTTCTATGGTACCAACTCTTTATTCTGAAAACTGACCTATGAAGAGAAACAATCAAGCATTTATCCTGCCTTGAGAAACAAATTCTATTTTAGGATAACCAAACAGTTGATCAGGGAAAGCTCTTCTGTAAGAAAACTTCCAACTACAAATAGAAAGGAAATTACAGAACAAGAAAATTATCATTTTGCATCTCTAAAGGATTATTACATGTAGACAATAATCAATTGATGTTAAAACTATTAAATAAAAGAGTGATGAGTTCCTGGCTCACAGATGAGGGTATGAAGAAAAAAAAGAGTGATGGGAATATTTATAATAAGGCCAACAACATCTGACTCCAGTGATCAACTTTAACCCCTCTAATAGAGGTATATAATGCTTAGTTGTCTCACTTTCTATGAAGCAATAGGAAAAATACAGCACCAACTATGAAAAATTCCTATTTCCCTAAGCCATGCCCCCAAAAAAGCACTGAACCAAGGGTCCACATATAAGCAGCCAGGTGCAAGAAGGGAAAGGCAGGTGATAAAGGACTCTGTTAAATAACACCAAAAGGGTGCAATAAAGCTTCTGATGTTCCCATTTGGGCCAAGACAAGGGACAATTTGTAACAAATAAATGACATTAAAAAAAGAGACCAGGAATTAAGACACTTAAGGGTCACATTATCTAAACACAATCCTGGCTCAAAGAAAAATTACAAAATGACATGTATGAAACCATCAGGAAAATCTGAACACTAACTGGGTGTTAGATGATATTCAAGGACTACTGTTGAATGTATTGTGAGTGATAATGAAATTGTGGTTATATATTTTTCTAATCTTTTTCTGTTAGAAAAATACATTTGCTAATAAAATGATATCATTTTATTTAAAATACTCCAGTGAGAGAGAGAGGGGGAGAAAAAGGGAGAGGGAGAATGAAAGCAGGAGACATAGATGAAACAAGATTAGCCAATGTTGATGACTGCTGGAAGCAAATGATGCTTCCTCATTATTGTAGTCTCTCTACTTCTATGTATGTTGACATTTTCCATTATAATAAAAAAAAATTTTCAGACGCTCTTGCTCTGTTACCCAGCTGGAGTGCAGTAGCATGATAATAGCCCACTGCAGCCTCAACCTCCCAGGGTCATGTCTCAGCCTCCTGAGTAGCTGGGACCACAGATCCGCACCACCACGCCAGACTATTTCTATTTTTTCTAGAGACAAGGTCTCTTTATGTTGCCCAGGCTGGTCTCAAACTCCTAGGTTCAAGTCGTCCTCCCACCTCAGCCTCCCAAAGTACTGGGGATTACACCCGTGAGTCACCATGCCCAACCGATAATAAAAAAATTTAATGAAAGGGTTAACCTAGAATGTCTGTTAATATTCCTTTTGGCTGGGCATGGTGGCTCACGCCTGTAATCCCAGCACTTTGGGAGGCTGAGATGGGTGGATTATTTGAGGTCAAGAGTTCCAGATCAGCCTGGCCAACATGGTGAAACCCTGTCTCTACTAAAAATACAAAAACAATTAGCTTGGTATGGCAGTGCACGCCTGTAATCCCGGCTACTCGGGAGGCTGAGGCAGGAGAATTTCTTGAACCTGGGTGACGGAGGTTGCAGTGAGCCAAGATCGTGCCACTGCACTCCAGCCTGGCTGACAGAGTGAGGCTTGGTCACCAAAAAAAAAAAAAAAAAAAAAAATTCTTTTCAGTTATTGCATTTGATGAGTCTGTATTAATTTCCTAAAATATATCCACTGCATGCTTCAAACTAAATATATTGGCTTAATAACAGAAATATTTATTTAAATTACATATAGAAACCACAATGATTACACAGTGGTAAATGTGTTATCTAGGAAAATAAGCTTCAGATAGTTATATTTTTCTGTGAAAAAGATACAGATGCCAATAAAGGCTTCTAAATGCATAAAGGAGATCATGACCAGTTATTTTCTATAGCTGTTAATGAGAGAATAAGATAAAAGAGACTTAAATTATATTACAAGGACAGTAAAATAGATTTTTGCTTTATTTTTTCTTTCTCTTTGTAACAAATTACACCATCATAATCTTCTAACATTCTTTTAATCATTCATTAAACCCTTCAGCTTTGACTGAGTGCCTGAAATACACATTACTTTGCTGGCTCGGCACTGAGGGGTACAAAGGTGAGTAACAAAATGAGGTTCTATGCCTTTAAAATGCTTATAGGGGCCAGGTGCAGTGGCTCACACCTGTAATCCCAGCACTTTGGGAGGCCGAGGCAAGTGGATCATTTGAGGCCAGGTGTTCAAGACCAGCCTGGCCAACATGGTGAAAATCTATCTCTAGTAAAAACACAAAAATTAGTGGGACATGGTGGCATGAACCTGCAATCCCAGCTACTCATGAAGCTGAGGCTGAGAATCTCTTGAACCCGGGAAGCAGAGGTTGCAGTGAGCTGAGATCACACCACTGCACTACAGCCTGGGCAACAGAGCGAGACTCTGTCTCAAAAAATAAATGAATAAATAAGTAAAATAGAAACTAAAATAAAGTGCTTATAGGATCTTCAACCACAATTTTTCTTGTTCCCTGATAGTAAATCTAATAGAGAATTCAGGATTTATCTTACACTTGAAATTTTGTTACTGATTACTGAAAAATTATCTACAAGCACGCAACTACGAGTTTTACAGAAACCTGGTCTCAGGAGTTATGAACCAAAGATTCACCAGTGGATTCCGCAGGGTTTTCAGATCCCCTGAAATCATGTGCTAGGTGCTGACTGCATTTCTCTGGAGAGGCTATAATGGTTTTCATTCATCTGATTCCTCTCAAATAGTAAAAATCGCCAATGGAATGGAGCCACACATCCTGTAGCAGAAAATTCTAAAAAACCAGGAAAAAGATGAAACATGGTACCATGTACCTGCTCAGCCTCTACAGATCCTGCTTCTGGAAGTTGAAACAAATTCTTAAAACTTGCACAACTTTTTTTCTAGTGTTTGAATGACCTCTAGTGGCTCTTTAAATTATCACAGCCAATTGCTCACAGCAGGAATTAGGTTGATGCAAAAGAAATTCACAGATTTTGCCATTAAAAGTAATGAACTAAAGAACTAAAAGGTGTGGAGAAATAACAAAATTAAGATGGCATCACAAAGGAGCACCTGGCTCAATTTCAAGTTATTATATAAGCTCCCTACTATCCAACCAAATGTAGTTCACAATACAGTGTGTGTAATTCAAAACAGTCCACCAGATAGTTCAGTACACACCATTTTTTAAAATGAAATAAGTATGATTTTCCCTAAGTTCTTGCATTTCAAATTAATAAAGCATCAGCAAACACCCATGAAGAGAACGGTACCGGAATCAAAGATACAAGAACCTCGGGAATTAACACCCACCCTTTCCTCTCAGTTGAGGCAGGACCAGGAATAATAAAATACAACGTTGACAAAGTACAACAACTGGAGTAGGAGAAATACTTTGAGAATACAAACTGGCCACAGAACTCAACCTGAGTGAGCACAAGTAACAAATATGGTTCAGGAACTCCTGGGCCAAACTCTCCAAGTGGGAGTGCAGCAGCCGCAACAGCAAGTACCAGTAGAACGAGGGCAGCACATCACCCAGGGTGACCAGCAGGTCCTAGGTTACTTCACATGCCCTCTGCCCAGTCCCTTGAGAATTCCTGCAGCAGCAAAACATACCATTTTCCAGGCACTGCTACAGGGAGTCCCAAGCATACTGATACACTTTCATTCACTTATTTCAAAATATTTGTCAGTATCTAGATATACACAAGACACTGTCTAGGCACCGGGGTGGAGTGTTGAACAAGACAATTCACAATCCCTGTTCCAATGGAGCTTGTAGTCTACTGTGGAAAGAGAAATAAATACATAAAATGCCAGGTGGTGATATATGCTGTGAAAAAGATCAAGTAGAACAACGGGGTTTGGAAATTACAGGGTGCCCATAGTGTTCTTTTCTATAAGTTGGTCATCTCAATTCAGACTAGCCAATCTTGAAGCGCTCAATAGCTACAGTGGCTGGTGGCTACTATACTAGATAGCGCAACAAATCTGAAACTATCATTCATGCCTTTTTAGTTCATAATTTTTATCCTCTTTCTTTCTGAATCCTAAGAGAATTCATCCAACTGATCTTCAAATTCACTAACTCAGCTTCCTAAAGTATCCATACTCTACTGCAACTACTGAATCATTTAATTCAACAGTCATATTTTACATATTCAGAGGCTCTTTCTTCACAGCTCCTGAGCAACAAATGCCTGCTCTGACGATGCAGGAATATCCTCTAAAATCTTGGGACTTTGTCTTGGACTTTATGTTCTCTCCCATCTCCTACAGCTACTCCATCTCACTGGAGACGTTTTGCTCTGAGCCATCAGAAGGAACCCCCATTTTTAAGATCCTAAGCCTTCTCATCTTCCTGGTAATACTGCCCTATATGCTCAATCTTTTAGATAAAAATCTACTCGACACATCTCTGAGAACCAAGTTGGGTACCATCAGTAATCACACAGGTCACAATTCATTTATTTTAGGCCCCCCAAAAAAGGAAAAAATTAGACTTAGTGGCATTTTACTAGTAGCTCAGAGATCCAACAGTTTGCAGGAAATAGAGATGGAATTGTAAGCAAGGGAAATACAGTGAAATTATATTAATCTCCACCCAGACACTATAAGGACAGCTGGGATACTATCCCAGCAATTGGCTACTGCAGTGAACGGCACAGAGAGGAAAGTTTCCAATTCCTCTTAAGGCTCCAAATACCAATTGGCTACTATAGTGGACAACACAGACACAGAAAATGTTCCAATTCCTCTTAAAGCCCCAAATACCACACAACCAGCTTCAGCTCTACAAAATACCCTCTCCTTACCCCCTTTTAACCTCCTTCAGGACCTCTTGCTATTTCCCCTAAAAAGTCTTGGTTCTTTTCACCTACACTGACTCTTGAGCCTCTCCCAATTCAAGGGATAAAACTCTATTACCAATTAAGTGTAATACACATTAACAGAATAGGTAGAAAGTAATCTTTCATACGAAAACACTGAAAGCCAGAAGAATTTGAATTTTGAATTATAAGCTATGATTTAATTAGGAAATACATTAGCTGTAACAAAATGTTGGACAGACTACAAGAAAACGGGAAATGAACAAGTCTTATTCAAAAACAAATGAAATAATGATGAGTAGGGTTCACGAGCCTTGTTAACTCTGCTGTGCCATTTTAATGATGGACTACATTGTAAATGAGCCGCTATGTTTAAGCCTAAAGGTCTGTTGAGGTGATAGTTTTCGAACAATTTCCACAATCCCACAAAGAAAAATCAAGTGAAGGTCAAGGAAAGCCGCATGTTCTAAATTACGGAATCAACAACAGTATTTCTTGTCATTAATCACATTTCAGTCATAAAAGACATTACCTCAACAACAGGTGTATTTTCCTGGAGCTCAGTTGTGTGAAAAGCCAGTAAACCAACCACCCAAGCAACGTTGGCCCATCTGTAAACGGAGAGAAAACAGGCTCTGAAGAGTAGGTACTGAGGAAACTAACCCCAGCTAGTTACATAATGCAACGAAGAGCATTAGATGTAAGACTGTGAAACAAAAATTGAATGTGACAGGTCAGGCCCACACTCCCCATTCTCTGGGCATCTACACAGCCCAGAGAATCTCTCCCTCATATACACAGGGAGACACGAACTGTAATGACTGCGGCAATTCTGCAATAGCAACAAAATTTAAACAAGTTATGGTGTAATAGTAAAAGGAAAAATAAAATTTTTTAAAAGCCTTAACCAGAGAAAAGAGCAAAACAGTAATTAATCATTTTATTTCTGAGTACAGAGGCATTTGGCTAAAGGTCTCTTTTCTAATTGTTAGTAGATCAGTGAGTTTCTATGTAAGTGCTAAATATCTGAACAATAACATACCTGTATGCATTAAGTTTAAAAGAAACTTTTACAATTAAAAGTGTTTAAAATATTGTACTATTTCCATAAACACTAGTCTTAATGAGGTGTTCCTTTAGTGTCCAGCAGAAAACTGAATTTGATAAATCACTATTAATAAATCACAGTGTGATTTGAAAAGGTATTTCATGCAGAAAAATTCGTTTTGAAGAGATTTTTTCTAATTGAAACAAATGGTGAGTTGATGAGAACTGCACTCATTGAGTGATGTCTGCATGTTGTCTGGGGTAATCAGTATGTACCTTAGCTTTTATTTTTTACCTTCTTAAAGTAAACCCATGTGTGGCCAGGCATGGTGGCTCACGCCTGTAATCCCAGCACTTTGGGAAGCCGAGGCAGGCGGATCACAAGGTCAGGAGATCAAGACCATCCTGGCTAACCCAGTGAAATCCTGTCTCTACGAAAAATACAAAAAACTTAGCTGGGTGTGGTGGCAAGCACCTGTAGTCCCAGCTACTCGGGAGGCTGAGGCAGGAGAATGACGTGAACCTGGGAGGTGGCGCTTGCAGTGAGCCGAGATCACGTCAGTGCACTCCAGCCTGGGTGACAAAGTGAGACTCTGTCTCAAAATAAATAAATAAATAAATAAATAAATAAACCTATGTGGCACCCATGGGGGAAAACAAATCAGACTCAGAGAAGTACTACCGGGAAAAGGTCTGCTTTATCACAACTCTAACATACGGAAATAATTCTTAGAAATTTCAACACTTATTAAATTGCCCATTAAAATTTCTTAACATATACAAATTAAAGAAGTCCTAGGCAATTGGAGAGTTAGCATCCCACCTCCAAATAAAAAGATTATAGGTTAAAAGTAATCATTTTGAAAAATATCTGTAGGATAATTGGAAAAGCCATCCTACCACCACAACCCCCCAAGTAGCTGGGACTACAGGCGTGCACCACCACGCTCAGCTAATTTTTTTACTTTTTGTAGAGATGGGGTCTTGTTATGATGCCCAGGCTGGCCTTGAACTCCTAACAAACAATCCTCCTATCTCAGCCTCCCAAACTGCTGAGATTACAGGCCTGAGCCACTGCACCTGCCTATCTCTTTCCAAAGACAAGCTCAAAATACTTTTGAAACACTGAACCATTTTTCAATCTATAAAAGTAAATAATGGCTACCAGATTTAATCAACTAAAATAAAAATCTAACAACATGTCAGTTATTTTCCCTAATATGACCAAAACAATTATTATTAGAATAAGAGAAAACACACTACCTAAAAACCCTATACTTTTAAAATAGAAACTTTAAATAGCTTATGAATAGTCACTTTTTACCAAAATCCTAAATACAAGTACCACATGCCCCATAGACAACACCCTCACAGTACAGGTTCCTTCTCAAAATTCAGGTTTTCTCAGGTCACCACTCCAGGTGCCCCCAGTGACTTGACACTGTACCTCAGAACCAACCCATCTCCATGACGGCATCTAAGGCACCACTGTCTACCAAACCTTCGTGCACTGACAAATGTCCCACATCTGCACTGTTCAATCCAGTATCCACTAGACACATGACTATCAAGCACATAATATATGACACATGCAAGTGAGGAACAACAAATTTTATTCAAATTAATTTTTTTTTTTTTTTTGGGAGACAGGGTCATCCAAGCTAGAGAGCAGTGGCGCAGTCTCCGCTCACTGCAATGCCTCCCGGGCTCAAGTAATCCTCCCAACTCAGCCTCCCAAATAGCCGGGACTATAGGTGTGTGTCACCACACCTGGCTAATTTTTGTATTTTTAGTAAAAACGGGGTTTCGTCATGTTGTCCAGGCTGGTCTTGAGCTCCTGAGCTCAACTGATCTGCCCACCTCAGCCTCCCAAAGTGCTGGGATTACAGGCGTTAGCTACTGCATCTCGCCTTAACTTTTCTTTTAAAAATTACTCCCACAGTTGAGGGTGAGGGAGACAGTGCCCTGGGGTAATTACTCATCTTTCATGTGCCTAGTCCTGGTTACCTCATAAGTAGGACCGATAACAATACATACCGCATGTTGTTAAAAGAATCAAAGGAGATAATCCATGTGCAGAAAGTACCATTGTGTCTGACAATACATGCTGAATGAGTAAGCTACTATTAATTTAATTAATTTAAATGACCCCCATGAAGTGAATGGCTACCACATTAGAGCAGAACTAAAATTTTGCAGTTACTTATTCATTCGTTGACTGGTTTATTGTCTGTCTCCCCGACCAGCCCAGAAGATCCATGAAGGCAGGGCTGTATCCCGATCGCCACTGTGACACCTAGACAGTGCTTGGAGCGCACTCGGGCATCTAAAAATGTTGGTTGAACAAATATATCAACATCAAAAGCAAAATAAACACATTAGTAGGAAAGGAGTGCATAAAAGTATGGCTGTACAAGGCAAACAAAATGCAAACAGGATTGCCAATGTAAATCTCAGCAGAATTCAAGGCTAAACTCTTCAGAAAAAGATTCCCTTTAAACTAAACACCATATGACCTACAAAAGATCTAAGGTGTGAATCTTTATACACCAAATAACAAAGCACGCAAAGTAAACCCATGGTAGTGGTAAACTTCAATTTTCTTCTCTTCCAAGCACAGAGAGAAGGCAATAATGAATATATTAATCAATACATTCATACATTCAAGCATCCTAAATAAAACTAATGAAGTCAAAGTAACAGACGTATCTATCAAACTCTACACCCTACAAACAGTGACCACCCTTACTCAGTGGGAGGCTGCATAGGATGGTGTCTAACACTCTAGAATTCAAAGTCTTGGACCTAGCTCTGGCCCAACATTGGAGGTGAGGGAGACAGTACCCTGGGATAATTACTCATCTTTCATGAGCCTGGTTTCATGTTGTTCTAAGAATCAGGAGATAATCCACATGCAGAAATTACCACTGTGTCCTGACAATTTGTGCTGACTGAGCAAGCTACTATTACTACATTATTATCAATACTTGACTACATTCATGGCATACATTTAAAATGATTTTATATTAGACCACAAAGATAAATCTTTAGAATTCCCTAGGGCAGAAATCATAAAGGACTCATTTTGATATAGTAAAAGGAGAAAAGTAAAAATAGCAAATATAACCCAAAAAGCCTAAACACTTGTGGAGTTAAAAGCACTTCTCCTGGGCATGGTGGCTCATGCCTGTAATCCCAGCACTTTGGGAGACTGAGGCGGGTGGATCACTTGAGGTCAGAAGTTCAAAACCAGCCTGGCCAACATGGTGAAATGCCATCTCTACTAAAAAATACAAACATTAGCCGGGTATGGTGGTGGGCGCCTGTAATCCCACCTACTCGAGAGGCAGAGGCAGGAGAATTGTTGAACCCAGGAGGCAGAGGTTGCACTGAGCCGAGATCATGCCACTGCACTCCAGCCTGGGTAACAGAGCAAGACTCCCTCTCATAAATAAATAAATAAATAAAGCACTTCTATATACCTTATACACCATATTAAAAAGTGAAAACTTTGGCCAGGTACAGTGGCTCACACCTGTAATCCCTAGCACTTTAGGAGGACAAGATGGAATGATCACTAAGGCCAGGAGTTCAAGACCAGCCTGGCCAACAAAGTGACACTCTGTCTCTTCAAAAAAAAAAAAAAAAATTGTAATTTAGCCAGGCATGGTGGCATGTACCTGTAGTCCCATTGCAGCCTGGGGCACAAAGTGAGACCCTATTTTTTTAGAGTAAGTCTCTAAAAATAATACTAATAATAATAATAATAAAATAAGTAAATGAAAAGAAAAAATAAAAGGGAAAGGGAAAGAAAGAAAGCATCTGTAAATCAAAATCATGTAAGTAACACAGATCCAAACTTATGAGACATTCTCTGTCTTTAACGGTTGCAGACTAAACACTCGACACTCACTTTTCTGAACCCTCTAGAGTCTCTAAAATACAAGCTCTTTTTATTAAATGATAATTGGAAACAAAAAGGAGGGCTAAAAGTGGACTAGAAAGTTTGAGAAAATCTCAGATGACATGCACAAATAGAATTAAGACTGACAGAGAATCAACAAAGGAATCCCCTGTCTAAGAACCACAGGTAGACAGACGTTCCCAAGGAAGCCTCAGGGACTTGGAATAAACTAAGACAAAAACAAAGAATGAGCCACAAGACAATCATCAGATTAAACAACTGCACAAAGAAAAATTGTGTCCTTGTACAAGGAACAGTTGAGCCAATCAGATCCTGTCTCCTTTCCGTCTCCTTCCCCTGGTACACAGAATAAACCCTGCAGCCCTGGCCTCCTGGGTAAACGTGGAAAATCGTTCCTACAGTGAGCAATCCACCTTGCTCACTGGATGGATGGATGTGGGAAGCAGCGACTGTGGTCCTACAGATACTGAAGCGGGAAAGGGGTTAAATGAGGAAAGCCAGCTCCACTGCAAAGAAAAACCCACCCTGGCAATTGCAGAGGCCTCCAGCCTGCCTACTGATCTTCAGCCAGCTGGAATCCCAAATTAAACTCAACCAGTCAACAGGCCTCACATACCACATATCAGCCCTTTCTTTAAAGGAAAGGCTATTGGAGAAAGAGACTTAGGCACGAATAAAGGAAACTCGTATTGCCAACTTCTATACCAATCAATTTAATCATTTATTCATAATATAAACGAAGAAACAGAGATCACCAGGCATTTGAGAAATAAACAGCATTAAAAAGCAGGACCATGATGAAAAACAAGTGACCTACAAGTTCAAGACATAAGAATACAATGTTTATAATCTGAATTTTGTTCCCTTTTTTTCAAAGTCCAGGTTCCAGGCTTATATTATATAATCCTAATGTTTAGCCTTAAATATTAATAACAACATTTAATTCTAAATTCTGCTCCAAGACGAGGATTTTTATAATCCTAATATTTATCCTCAAATTCAAAAGTACACACCTAATATAGGCAGCTAGGAAAAAGGACCAATCAGAGAAAAAGAAAATGAACAAAAACTTTCAAATATGATTGTTGAAATTAAAAAATTAACTGGAAATCCTAAATAATAAAATGAGTGGGGATAAATATCAAGTTTGAGAGCTCAAAGATAAAGTCAAGGAAGAGCAATAAAAGAAGAAAGTTTGCATGGACACAAAGAGGGAACAATCGACACGGGGGCCTATTTAGGGTGGAGGGTGGGAGGAGGGAGAGGATCAGAAAAAATAACAATTGGTCCTTACCAAGCTTAGTGCCTGGGTGACCAAATAATTCATACAACAAACCCCCATAACATGAGTTCACCTATATAACAAACCTGCATGTGTACCCCTGAACCTAAAATAAAAGTTTAACAAAGAGACTTTGGCAGTTCTTCAAAAGGTTCAACACAGAGTTACCATTTTATCCAGCAATCTCACCACTGTAGGAGAAATAAAAACGTATATGTTCACACAAAACCCTGTGGACAAATGTTCAGAGCACCATTATTCATAATAGCCAAATGTGGAAACAACCCCAAATGTCCATCAAGACCACATAAGCAAAATGTGGAATAGCCATACAAAGATTATTCAGCTAGAAAAAGAATGAAGTACTCACACATTCCACCATATGGAGGAACCTTGAAAACATTATGCTAAATGACAGAAGCTAGACACAAAAGGCCACACACTGTATGATTCCATTTATATGAAATATCAAGAATAGCAAATCAGCTGACAAGAAGTAGATTAGTTGTTGCCAGGGGTTGGAGAAGAATGGGTACTGGGTTTCACTGGGTGAGAAAACTGTTCTGAAATTAGATAGTGGCGATGGTTGAACAGTTTTCAATATACTGACACCTACTGAACTGTACACATTAAAATGGTGAATTTTATGGTATGTGAATTATATCTCAATAAACAAGAGAAAGTGAGAAAGCAAAAGAAAATTTGAAAGAAGAGTCAAGAGACACAAACTCCCACACCCATCCTGTAGGGGTTTCAGGAACAGAAAAAGGATGAAATAGAGAGGAAGAAATCTAAGAAGTAATATGAAAGCTAAAGGAGGGGTGAAGAGGATAGGCATTGTGGCTTACACCTATAATCTCAGCACTTTGGGAGGCCAATGCAAGTGGATCACTTGAGGTCAGGGGTTCGAGACCAGCCTGGCCAACATGGTGAAAACCAATCTCTACTGAAAACACAAAAATTAACTGGGCATGGTGGCACACACCTGTAATCCCAGCTACTCAGGAGGCTGAGGCAGGAGACTCACTTGAACCTGGGAGGTAGAGGTTGCAGTGAGCCAAGATTACCCCACTGCACTCCAGCCTGGGTGACAGAGCAATACTCTATCTCAAAATAAATGGAAAGAAAAGAAGGGAAGGAAGGGATGGGAGAGGGGAAGGAAGGCATGGGAGAGGGGAAGGAAGGGGAAGAAGGGGAGGGAGGAAGGGAGAGAGGGAGGGAGGGAGGGAGGGAGGAAGGCAGGAAGGCAGGCAGGCAGAAGCAAATTAGTAAAAAGAGATGGCAGGAAGGCAGGCTGAAGCAAATTAGTAAAAGAGATTCCTAGAGACAATCTAGTAAAATTTACAGGCCTGGAATAAAAAGAAATGCTAACTCAAATAAGACACACAAAAGACGGGGTAAAAATAAAAGGTAAGGTTGACCCCCAAGTCCTACAGAGCTACAGTTAGTACAGGGAAGAGAGCTCAAACACCAAAGCATGGCACAGAGGTAAGCCACTGAGAGGCCTTGTTCAAAAGAAAGCAAAACAAAAAATCTATCAGCCAGGCATGGTGGCTCATGCCTATAATCCCAGCACTTTGGGAGGCCAAAGCAGGTGGATCACCTGAGGTCAGGAGTTGAAGACCATCTGGCCAACATGGTGAAACCCTGTCTCTACAAAAATACAAAAATTGCCAAGCATGATGGCAGGTGCCTGTAATCCCAGCTACACGGGAGGCTGACACAGAACAATCGCTTGAACCCAGGAAGCAGAGGTTGCAGTGAGCTGAGATCGCGCCACTGCACTCCAGCCTGGGCGACAGAGCGAGACTCCATCTCAAACAACAAAAAAACCTATCCAATGATAAAATATAATCAACCAAGAGGAGAACTACACCAAAGAAACAGGAAAACTGTGTTTTTAATTAAAAAATTAATGATGGATGAGCATTTACCTTATTCAAGTATAAAACTCTTATTTAAAAAATAGAAAAATTCTTCCTAAATTCATATCTCAAAAAGGCACTTGCCACAGTAAAAAGCGACCAGTGTAATGAGAGAAGATATTTACAATCATTTATCTGACACGGGGTTAATATCTAGAATATATAAAAAATACCTACAACTCTAAACAACATAAAACTCAATACAAAAATTGGCAAATGACTTGATTAGACCTTTCTCCAAATAGCCAACAATCAAACAAAAAGATGTTCAACATCAGTAGTCACAAAATACAAATCAAAACCATGAGATACTACTTCACACCCATCAGGATAGCTGTTAGCAAAAAACAAAAACAGAAAACACTAATGTTCGTAGCAGCATTGTTCACAATAGCCAAGAGATATAAACAAGCCAGTGCCCAACAACAGATGAAAAAATAAACAAACTGTGGTATATACATACAAAGGGATATGATTCAGCCTTAAAAAGGAATGAAATGCTGACACATGGTTAGTTACAACATGGATGAACCTTGCAAATGAAACCAGCCCAATTGTCCTATAGAACTGATGCTTACAGTCTTTTAAAATAAAGATAGAAATTGACCCTCCCAGTCTTAAAACTTGAGAAAGTTACATTTGTCTTATCTGAATTCCTTTTTTGGGAAACAAACCATAAGGCCTCCCAGATAGTTATCAAGGAACTGAAACTTACCACATCACCACATCTGAACCATAAGACACCAGACCACCTCACCCATCACAATTGCCTAACCAACTACCTGCTTCCTGTTGACCAACTCCTCTTCCTCACCCTTCCCTAACTCCTGTTTTCCCATACATGGTTACATTTCTTCCCTGCTAAATAAACCCCTGGTTTTAGTCAGTGGAGGTGACAAATTTGAGATTGATCTCCCATCTCCTTAGCTGCAGTACCCAGTTGAAGCCTTCTTCCCTAGCAACACTCATCGTCTCTGTGATTGGCTTTCTGAGCTGTGAGCAACAGGACCTAGACCAAACCCCTTGATGTTTCGGTAGCAATATGAGGTGCTCACCATAAGCAAATTCACCAGGATAGAATAAGTAGAGTATAGCTCACCAGGACTGGGGAAGGGAAAGGGGAAGTTACCGTTTAATGGGTAAAGAGCTTCTGTTTAAGATGACGAAAAAGTTCTGGAAATGAATAGTGGTGATGGTTATACAACAATGGGAATGAACTAAATGCCACTGTACACATAAAAATGGCTGAAATGGAACATTTTAAATTATGCATAATATACAATTAACACATTTTTAAAATTACACTATTACAATATTACTATATATGAATTATACCTCATAAAGTTGATTGGCAAGGATAGAAGGATACACAATTTGATAAATACTCAATGTTGGAAGTTCTAACAAAAGGCATTTTAAACACATTGGGATTATATATTGATACAATTTATTTAAGAGTATTTCAGCAATTTTTTAGAAGTCACAAAGATATTTACTGCCTTCTACCCATTTGTTCTAATTTGTTCTAATTCTATGAATCTTCCCTAAAGAGAAAAAGAAAATGTGGGCACAAAGATTTAATCTCAAATATGTTCATCAAAATGTTGTTTCCAACATTATAATACTATCCAAAATTAGTAAACAAAATGATCAGATATTCACAACATATAAAAAGTTTACCTTATTATGTATTTTATTTTAAAATGTTAATAACATTTAAAATACATAATATATATGTTACAGGGGAAAACAAACTTATAAAATTATATCACGTGATTCTAATTTTTTTATATGCAAAACAAAACTAAGGAATAAATATGCCTACTTCAAAAATAGTTATCTCACAGACTACGTTAAGGACCCTTTATCATATGCTATCAAGGTAATATAACCTGAGATCAGAGAAAACCTCACTAGAAGTGGCTTTGAATGGAGAAAGAGAATAAAAGAAGATTCCTACCAGAGAACTTGTCTACCTCAGTATCATTTTATTCAAATTAAAACAGTTTTACAATCAAACTTCAATTCTTAAAAGCAGAGGAAAAATAGTATGTGTGAATTTTGGTATCCAAGGGGATACTAGAACCAATCTCCGGGCTGATACAGAGGGATGACTGTACTTGGAAATGATTTGGAATGTCTGTTTGAAAATGTCAACAGGGGGCACGCCATTCAAGGGTATAACATGTTTTAAATAAAAGTGTTTAAATAAATATTTCATTGATTCATTTTTAATGAGCATACCATAAGCCTTCTCAAAGTATTAAATGCTCAAAGTATTAAATCCTACTTTCTATTACCAGATTTTACTTTGGGAGAGTAACATTACAAGATGTATAATAAGAATTACCCTTATTATTAAGCATTTTCTAAACTCCTATTGTTTCACCCATATTTTACCAGCATCGAAGAATAATTATTATACCACTGCCACAATTCACAAAATCCTTTCACCTCCGTTTTTTCATGTGCTTTTCCTAACAGTCATGAGATAAGCAAGCTTCATGATAATAACTGCAACTTCTACAACCCCAACCCCATTGTAAGTGAAATACCCACTAAGAATCAGGCACTATACAAGGTATCACATATTTACCTCATTCACAGTGGAATAATTACAAAAATCTATGAAGTAGTTATCTCATCTCCATCGAAATTTTACAGATGAGGAAACTTCGACTCAGCAATTAAAGTAATTGGCCCAGAACACAGATCTTTGATCCACACCCAGGTCTGTCTGAATCCTAAACCTATGTCATTTCCTTGTTCCACTCACCCTCCCCAGGAAACAGAGAATGAGAAAAAGATAATCATTTGGCCAAGTCTTACAGGCAACAGGAACCCAGAGCCTTCTAACACTTGATCTACGGTGCTTTCCACCTGGTATGCTGCTCCTATAAAAAGTAAGGACACTTCCTTCCATTGGGAGTTTATAAATCATAATCTCATTAGCTTATAAATAAAATCATAGGGAAGCTACGTGCTACATGAGGGACAGATAAGGGTGGCCAAGGGAAACTTTGAGGAAGTATAACTAAATTAATACACAGGGATCAGGGTTGAAGTATTTTATAACCAATACTCAAAACAGTAACAGTTAGCCTGGCGCAGTGGCTCACTCCTGTAATCCTAACACTTTGGGAGTCAGAGATGGGAGAATCACTTGAGCCCAGGAGTTGGAAACCAGCCTGGGCAACATAGAGAGAGACCTTGTCTCTATGAAAATAAAAAAACAAGAACAGTTAATAAAGTTTCCAGGAGTAGCTTAGATAATCCCAGAATTGTATATTAGGAGAAGGGTTATTTTTAAATATTCTAAAATTTATAATTGGAATGCCCATAAAAATTGCCTATGAGTAGAGTCATCATTATGTCAGAAAAATTTATGATAATTATTTAGGACTGTGCTTTTGATAAGTATGTATGCTATAACTACTTAATAAAGTCATGAAAAATAATTTTTAAAATATAAATGTTACTTACATATCCCAGTTTGGAGCTATCCGCAAATACTGGATTAGCAATTAGAACTAGAATAAAAAATTTAAATATAAAAAAAGAAAAAATTAAAATATTTAACTCACACAACACAGAAAGTGACAGCAAAGTTAAAAACTCAGATCTTTATAAAAAGGAAATTTATGCTGTATACCAAAAATGATATTTACTAAATTACAAAGGCACTTGTATATGAATAAGATTAAAATAGAAACTAAGAACAGTACTTTTAGTTTCTCCTACCACTTTATATTCTCTAAATGACTGCCCTTACCTGATAGACACACACCAACTATCGAAAAAAGTAACCTTAATACTATCCTGGGAGCAAATGAACTTAAATTTTTTCAAGCCAATTCCCAAATGAGGGCCCACTACAGAAAACACCTCTGAACCACCGTAATTCCTTTCTGAGGATGACTCCAAAAACTCTGCCAATCGATGCTAAACATGAGCCCAAAGAAACAAAAAACAAAAAAACGCTGACAAATTCCCATAAGCTTACCAATGGACCAAGATTGTCCAAAACGTAATATTCCCAGAGGATAGGAAAAAAATGTCTTAGGGGGTTGATGTCTGCCTTCAATGTCACAGCAGAAACCTTGCAGTTTACCAGATGACCCAGTAAAGGAACCAACACCCACAACCCATTCCACATGGGCAGTTCATTCCAGTCACTGATGAGAAGGGAAAAGGTCTTATGATATCACGTTTTGTTTTGTTTTGTTTTGAGATGGAGTTTCGCTCTTTTTGCCCAGGCTGGAGTGCAATGCCGCAATCTCGGCTCACTGCAACCTCTGGCTCCCAGGTTCAAGTGATTCTCCTGCCTCAGCCTCGCCAGTAGCTAGGATTACACGAGTGCACCACCACGCCCGGCTAATTTTGTATTTTTAGTAGAGATGGGGTTTCACCACGTTGGCCAGGCTGGTTTCAAACTGCTGACCTCAGGTGATCCACCCGCCTCAGCCTCCCAAAGTGCTGGGATTACAGGCATGAGCCACTGCGCCTGGGCTAATTTCACATATTTTTTTTTTTTTTTGAGACGGAGTCTCGCTGTCGCCCAGGCTGGAGTGCAGTGGCACAATCTCAGCTCACTGCAGGCTCCGCGCCCCTGGGGTTCACGCCATTTTCCTGCCTCAGCCTATATATTTTTTTAAAATCTTACAAGTTAACATAAAATGGAAATCTAAGTATTACAAACAACAACAACAGAAAGTTCAAAATCACCATCTACTCTCATCTACTTTAAGACCTAAGGATTAAGCAGACGATAATTTGCATAAACCTAAAATCATGATAAATCAGTTTTTTCATGGTAGTTAAATCAAATTGCTATTTTAGCACTTGTTTGAGCCTCTATAAAAACATACATTTAAATGCATAAGTCATGTCACAGAGGCCTACCAGCGGGGAAAGGAGAAGCCTGGTGGCCACCTCCTGGTGACCAGCCACCATGCACAAATAGCAAAGGAGATTAAACTTGGCTCAGGAGGTCCCCGAGCTCTTCTCACTGGAGTCGATCTGCGAGCACACTTGTTACAAAAAGTCATTCCAATCTTGGTCTTTCAGAAATTATAACTTATCCACTGCCAAGGAAAGAAAATAACAGAAGTATGATGATGAGAAAAACAACTGCTGGAAACATTACATGAGAAACACAGAATTACGACAACTAAGATGAGGATAAAGAAAACATTACACTGTCAAAATCAAAAATACTCCAAAGATGACACTACTTCTATTTGTCCTTCTATATTTCCCATCTCTTTATCTACACATGGAAACTTTTTAACCACTTCAATGGAAAACTATGCTTTCAAATAAAGCAGATGTCTAAAGCAGAATTGTCCCACAACCTAGACTATAACAAAATGTAAAGTTGAATACGACTGAAGTAAAAGACAAAAGAGCCTTTGTATAAATAAATCAACTCTCAAATATTGAGAAAAGCACAAATCCCAGTTATTAAAAAGTTCCAATAAAATCACTGTAAAAAAATAACGAGGATAACATGATAGCTAAAATCACCTGAAATTTTAGCTCCAAATCCCTATACAAAAAAAGGGCAAAATCTAGGAAATGTGATACCCCCTAAAATTAACATATTTTTGGCTGATCTCAATCTTTAGACAAAAGAAATTGTAAATATAATTTCCTAAATAAACCAAAGAAGAAAAAATAAATAGTATTTCCAGGTAATAATTCTCTAGGTTTGCATAAATAGACCTACTTGGCACTGAAAGCACTATTAATATTTTGCTTCACTTTGGTCTTTCAAAAACATCCTTCACAGGTTTTTTTGGTTGTTTTTATCGGTAATTAGGTTGACTGATACAAACCCTTAGCTAGTTTATTTAAACCTAAATATATTTTAAATTTATTTCAAATCATAGATTCTAATCTAGCCACAATGAATAATTTTCCCCAAATTGAGTTTAACAGCTTAAAATATAATTTGTTAAAAAAAAAAGTTTAAGGTATGTAAAAATTTCTGACTTTCACCCTAAATAAGATTTTCATTAGCTCAACAGAAATGTAATAATTATCCCTTAAGTATCTCCACTCCCACACCATCTCCACAGTCATGAACCACCTAGTCCCGTTCTCAAATGTCCTGGTCCCGCCAATAGAATCCCAATCCTTCCTTGTTGTCCCCAACCCTGTGCACCTACACCTGCCATAAATGGTGGAAATTCAACCAGCTCTATGAACGGAAGGGAGGAGGCCCCCCACCCACTCTACAGGAAAACTTGCCCAGATCTACAGGAACCTCCCCACACACAAGAGGACAGGGCAGCCCAGACTCATGTCAACAGCTGGCACAAATGAATTACAGATTACTTACAATTCACATAACACTGACCCAAGAATATAACCAATTGTCAAGACAAAATAAATTTAGTTATTCACATACAAATATTCCATTTGTGAATAAATTTCATATTCGTATCTGTATACAGACAGTCTACATGTTCGATAAGTCCTTTATGATCCTACCTGAAAATGCTGGTAGATGCAATATTTTTGGATCAAATTTAACCGATGGTGGTTGTTTCATTATCTGTGGTTAAAAAAAATAAAACCTTTTGAGACAATTTTTGAGATTGATATGTCTCCTTATATGTCCCTTATATCAGATAATAAATCAATGAGGACAAAAAAAGAATGTGTAAAATTTGTTACCAAAAACAATAAGAACGATGCCTTTTCAGATTAAAACATACAAATATAGATAATTTATTTTAAAAAATCATTTCAATTGATATCTGTAATAAAATAAAGCTTCAAAGAAAAAATTCACCCCTATCTTGGCTTACTCTTTAGATAATTTACCTCTAATTAGAAATTCAGTCATTCAACAAATATCTATTGGGTACCGTGCCAAGGTAAGGCTCTATGCCAAGTGCTAAGGGGGATACAAAAATATAAAAGACACAATCCTATTTTCAGAGAGCTGACATTCTGGTTGGGAAGATGAGACAAACATTTGATAAACAACAAAATATTTCACAATTCAAAAGAGGCAGGACATAACTACAGACAAAACCCTGGACAGAAAGAATTTTTTTTTTTTGTAAATAGTAGTTTAGAGAATACAGCAAGCACTTTACTTGATATAGTTGGCACTGGGTTTACAGAAGAGGTATAAGGTGGGTTGAGGTCTTGAAGGATGGCTGGAACTTTATGGTTATATCAGAGAAGACTCCATTCAAGGAAGCCATAATAGCATGAATTGGAAAGTGCACAATTTGAGAAATGTGAAGAAACCATGTAGTTGGATCCATGAGCTTCGGACAGCCAGATACTGCATCTTGAGACTTTTAATTAAAAATTCAACCATCATTTCTATACCTAACTTCTGCAAAACTTCTATATGTAATATTTCTTAAAACCTTTACTAATTAAGTAACCAGCATTACTGTATTTACTGCAGTATTCTTACTAAAATGCATATTCCCATTCTAATCTCATAATCCAAATTCATAATCTCATTCTAATCATGAGAAACCCTTAGACAAACCTAAATTAAGGGACATTCTTCAAAACACCCAACCAGTTACTCTTCAAAGTGTCAAGGACTTGAGTCATACGTTTTATAACATGTATTACAAAAACATACAAAGGCCAGGTGCCGTGGCTCACGCCTGTACGCCCAGCACTTTGGCAGGCCTAGGCAGGCGGATCATGAGGTCAGGAGTTCAAGACCAGCCTGGCCAACATGATAAAATCCCGTCTCTACTAAAACTACAAAACTTAGCCAGGCGCAGTGGCAGGCCCCTGTAATCCTAGCTACTCAGGAGGCTGAGGCAGGAGAATAGCTTGAACCCGGTCGGCAGAGGTTGCAGTGAGCTGAGATCACACCACTACATTCCAACCTGGGTGACAGAGTGAGACTTCATCTCAAAAAAAAAAAAAAAAGAAAACTGTCAAGGTCATGAAAGGCAAGAAAAGTCTGAGAAATTCTGACAAAACCATGAAAGACTAGGACAGATTATATGAGACTAAGGGGGCATAACAACAAACTGTAATGTGGCATCCTGGAAGAAAACAAAAAGAATATTAGAGGCAACTGGTAAAATTCAAATAAATTTGATAGTTTAGTTAACAGCACTATTCTCATGTTTTATTTTTCCTTTTACAGAAAGAATGTAAAAGGAGCAATCAGGGTACTGCACACCATCATTACACAGACATATGAATCAAGTATCATGCAACTCCAACTACCACATTCTACTGCCCTCCAATAGCAGCAATTAGATTCAAAGCCTTAATTTCTATCCCAAGCAACAACCGAAATCACTTAATTTCTGGTTAGAAACTTCAAGTGTCAAATAACCCAACTCAGCTAAGAAAAAGCATTCATTTCTTACTTTTGACTTGCCAATTAAAGGTCAGCTTAAGCATTACTTTTATATTAGAGCTTTTCTTTAAACTCTTTTAATAATACAAGGCAGGGATAGGCACCATTGCAGACTGGAAAAAGAACAAGATTTGGAGACAGGCTTGAGTTTGCTCCATCACTTACTAAATGGCTTTAGGCTCTGAAAACGGACTTCTATGATGAATATTACTGTTATCTATATAAAATATTTAGTCAGTATCTAGTACATAATACTAATTAATGGTATTATAAAAAATAAGCTATTGGCAAACAAGTTGGAATCTGAGTATTTGAGATATACCTGCTGGCCAACTGCTACCCACCTGACTCCTGAATGTAATTTGTTCAATATTTTTGGCAAGTAAACAAAAACTAATTATTCTATAACACATTCCTAATCCCTTGGCTGCTGCTGTGTTCCATGCAAATAATTACTGGTACAACAGAAGCTCAATTATTTAACACCATTTATATTATGAAATCAACTATAGTAAACAATTACAAAAGAAGTAAAATAGTTATGAACAAAGGCTCCATATACATTTATGTTTGAATCACACCCAGGACACATTCAACAAACATGAACCCTCTCAATTCATCTGAGTTATTAATAAAGAATTCACAAAGTTTCCCAGAGACATTCACATTTTTTCAATTATGAAAACGGAAAAAAATACAACCACCTTAGAAACTTTTGGGTGCATTTAGCTAAAGAAAATTTTGGAAGCCAATATTATACATCTAAAGTGTCATAAGTAGCTTTATTCTAGGGCTGCAGTCTAGTCACTTTAAAAATGTGTCCAGCCAGGCACCGTGGCTCACGTCTGTAATCCCAGTATTTTGGGAGGCTGAGGAGGGCAGATTGCTTGAGGCCAGGAGTTCAAACGAGCCTGGCCAACATGGTGAAATCCCATCTCTACTAAAAATACAAAAATTAGCTGGGTGTGGTGGTGCATGCCTGTAATCCCAACTACTCAGGAGGCTGAGGCACAAGAATCACTTGAACATCGGAGGTGGATGTTGTAGTGAGCCAAGATCATGCCACTGTACTCCAGCCTGGGAGACAGAGCGAGACTCCGTCTCAAAAAATAAAAATAAAAAAATGCGTCAATGGTCGCAGAAGGCACAGTCAGAATATATGGAACAATGCAAATTTATCACATCTGTAAGAAAATTATGGCCAGGCATGGTGGCTCATACCTGTAATCCCAGCACTTTGGAAGACCAAGGCAGGTTGATCAGCTGATGTCAGGAGTTCAAGACCAGCCTGGCCAACGTGGTGAAACCCCGTCTCTACTAAAAATGCAAAAGAAAATTAGCCAGGTGTGGTGGTGGCCACCTATAATCCCAGCTACCTGGGAGGCTGAGGCAGGAAAATCGCTTGAACCTGAGAGGTGGTGGCTGCAGTGAGCCGAGATTGTGCCATTGCACTCTAGCCTGGGCAACAAGAGCAAAACTCTGTCTCAAAAAAAAAAAAAAGAGACAATTATGAATAGATACTCTATGGACTACAGACTAATGTTGTCTTTATATATTTTTAAAAGCATCATATTTTTTATAATCTAAACTTAGAAATCAATCTATTTTCAATTTTGCAAATGGAATTTGTTGAATTGTGGCTGAGAAAGTAGGGTCAAAGAAAAGTGGTGTAAAAATAATACGATTATTATTGTTGAACTTTTAAATTTTTTTATTAAAAAATTCATTGATTAGGCAAGCTCAAACTAAAAATAGAACAAGACTGTTTAACCTCTGTTTTGGGAGCTTGGAGGAGGAGAAGAAGGAATCAGTATGTTCATTCCTTGGGGAAAATGTAATGCTAATAAGCAAAGGCAGGTAGAACTACAACTCCCATTTGCCATTTGGAAAAAGTCCTCCAAACTGCAAAGGCTTTTAAATATTCAAAAAAAAAAAAACTGAACTATGTTACTTAAAAAAGTTTAAGTCTCCAACCTGTGAACACTGCAAAAGCTACAGACATAAGCTTCAGAGTTACTATCATCACATTTCAATGAGCCCTAGAGAACCTGTGAGGAAGTGTTTTTTCTGGAAAACCTCAAGTTGCTATTCTGTTCAACTTCTCAATAAAACAAATAAGAACCCTTTTGGACAACAGAAAAAAGAGACAGGCTTTGGGAAGGAACTCATATAACTCAGATAATGAATCAAAAATGAAACTTAACATTGTCTGAAACCAACAAAATAAAAATCTAAAATAATCAGAGATCACTCACATTTTGACTAAATGTAAGATAAATGAGATGGAGGACCCTGGGCTTAGAGTTTCATTTCATTTTTGGTTGATCGTAAGGTTAATATGAGCCAACTTGAATTCTGTATATGCTAAAAGAGCCAATTGAATCTAAGACCCAGACTAATCTCCGGATTAGCATGATCATACTCTATTACTCTCTGAAGGCTCTGGTTGGCCACATTAGAACTTGTAGTTAATATGGAAGAAAATGGCTGGGCTGGTAAGGGATCTGGAAGCCATGGCACAAGGAACAGCGTCAACAAAGTTCTAAAGCTTTTACAAAAGGTACTTGAGTCTAAAACTTTAAAAATACCCTCATTTTCAAACCATAACCTGCAATAGTAACGCTCCCACTTGGGAATCAGACATGATCAAACATCTGGCAACCTCAATTCAACAAATGACAGCAATAAAGCCACAGCTATAGACCCAGATGTAACTATAGCAGGATTCAGGATGTCTAATCACATAAAACCTAAGCATCAATGCTATCACCAGAAGCCCAAACTACTACTCTGGGTTATCACAACTTTCAATAGATGTTGTCATAACACACACACACACACACACACACACACACACACACACACACTCTATATTGAAACACTGTCTATTTTAAAAGGCAGGGGGTTTTATAAAAATTCATAGGTTGGATAAAACAGAATAAAGTTCTAGTTCCTAAGGGTGGTATTATTAATATGAAATTGCACTGTGCCCAGAATAGGCACTCATTTTAATCTTTACAATCCATTTATATAAATTCTATTTGCTACCTGATACTGGTATAGAACTGCTATTGAAGAGATTACTTGGCAACAGCTCAAAGTTAAAATTGTGCTTGATGGACTTCCTTTTCTTACTTGAGAAACCATGAGAAGAATCTACTGGCATGGCAATTTACACTTAGCATTTGGTGTAAGAATCACTGGTGATTCAGATAGCTGGGCTGAAAAAATATCAAAACAAAACCAACTTCTTGCTTCTACTGCAGAGTTGACAACATATAAAAGCTTTACATAATTTCTTCTTATAAAGCTATTACTTAGAGCTAAACAAAAAATGAGAATATATTTACATCATCAGTTAAGTAGATGTTGTTTAACTAAAACACTCTGCAATTACTTAAATGAAAATAAGGAAGTCGCAGAGGCAAGACTCTTAAGAGACAGCAGTTACTTAAATCTAACAGACTAAAAGATGCATATGATATACATTAAAGAATATTAATGTAAGGAAGAAATTACAATCAAGGAGTTGAAACAAAAACTAATCTAAATATTATTTTTGCTTTTCATCATAAGTGAGTATTAACCAGTTCATTTCTTCACTCTAGAAAACAGAAGATCATGTTGACTCTTACTGGCTGAATAATTTCAGCCACAAGCAAATTAGGATAAAAAATTGAAATATACAATAATGAACTTCTAGTCCTAAGATAAAAATGAGGTTGAACTATTTTCACACGTTCAATAGCATCTAAATTACAAACAGAAAAGCATGATTAAGAAGATTAAAGACATAGGAAACTAAAAAAATTTTTGCCTACAATTTTGGGTTCATTATAGCCTATGTAATTAGCAATGTCACAACATAGTGTGTATAGTACAGTATGACTATTAAAAATAATATTTGATTTGATTAAACTAAATTTGATTACTAAGTTAGGCAATTATTATTGTAATTGTATTTTATAGAATACTATACAAATTTTAATTTAAATAAATGCATATAATAAATACCTACCAATTCTTTCTTGTTGAGGTGTAATAGAAGGTGTTCTGTTAGGTTTAAATTTATTTAGTGCTCCACTAACAAAATCTGAAATGCAAGACATAAGCAATTACAACTTCACATTTACTTGTCTTTCACCAATAATTCATATTAATATTTGCGGTCTTCTTTCAACATGTAACTTTACATCGGCTTATAAATTTTAAGTTATTTAAGAGGAATTATTTCAAAATAGGAAAAATACTAAAGGATATATTTTTATTCCATTCCCCACTTATACTTCCATATCCCTAAAATAAAAAAGACATAATACAGAAAGAAATGTAATACAAATACATATAATGTACAGTAAGGGTAGGGAAAAAGAAATCATTACATGTTAAGGCAAAAGATGAAGGTCTGAACTGAGGCAAGAACCATGGAAATGGAGGCACGAATAAAAGTATTTAAAAGATCAGTAGAGATGGAAGTAAAAACATTATATCAATAAATAATGTAAGCAAATGAATAAAAGTGTCTGGAAAATAAATAACACCGTTTGACTAAAGTTGCTCAAAGACAGGAAATAGTAGACAGGTAGACAGATTGCTAGAGCAATCCTATGAAAGACCTTTAATGCCAAGCTATAAATATCCCTATTACCAATTAAAATTTCTGAAGGGTATGTGTGTGAGATACTTGAGTAGAGTTATACATTTAAAATGTAAGCCTTGGCCAGGTGCCAGTGGCTCACACCTGTAATCCTAGCATTTTGGGAGGCCAAGGCAAGCAGATTACTTGATGTCCGGAGTTAGAGACCAGCCTGGCCAACACAGTGAAACCCCCTTTCTACTACATATACAAAAATTAGCCAGGCATGGTAGCGTGCACCTGTAATCCCAGCTACTTGGGAGACTGAGGCAAGAGAATCGCTTGAACCCAGGAGGTGGAGATTGCAGTGAACCAAGATAGCATCACTATACCCCAGCCTGGGTGACAAAGACAGACTCCGTCTCAAAAAAAAAAAAAAAAAAAAAGTGAGCCTTAATAGCAATATGTAGGGTAGATTCAAGGAGGAGGCATAAAGACCAAGAAGATTCTTTTTTTAATTTTTATTTTTGAGACGGAGTCTCGCTATGTTGCCCAGGCTGGAGTGCAGTGGCCCGATCTCAGCCAACGACAACCTCCGCCTCCCAGGTTCACACCATTCTCCTGCCTCAGCCTCCCAAGTAGCTGGGACTACAGGCGCCCGCCACCACGCCCAGCTAATTTTTTATATTCTTAGTAGAGACGGGGTTTCACTGTGTTAGCCAGGATGGTCTCGATCTCCTGACCTCATGATCCGCCCACCTTGGTCTCCCAGAGTGCTGGAATTACAGGCGTAAGCCATCGCACCCGGCCAAGAAGATTCTTACAGTAACAATGCAATAAACACTATGGAGATAGAATCTTATATGACACAAAAACTGTCTGATTATAGATGGTAGAGGAAGAGGTAGAACCCATGGTTAAAGCCTGAGTTATCTAGGGAATAGTGGTGCTGTTAGAAGAAAATGGAATTCACACAGAACCAGGATAAAGAGGATAAAGATGGTCATTTCAAAACGTTAAGCTTAAAGCACCAATGAAAAGCAGATGTGATGAGGTCTCCCTAGCAAGCCATTAGTAAAGTGGAACTGACATTTTCAAGATAACGGTGGTACAGATGTGGTGGTTATCTATTTAGATGTGATAACTGAAACTACAGGACTGGTGATAACTGAAACTACAGGACTGGGAAAGAGGGCAATAAAGATGATCTGCATCTGAGAAATATCTCCATTTGGGATAGGAAGTTTTATGGGTTGCATTGTGTTCTCCAAAAAACCTATGTTTAAGTCCTAACCCCCAGTTCCTATGAAGGTGACCATACTTGGAATTCGTGTCTTTACAGATGTACTCGAGTTAAAATGAGGTCATTTGGGTGGGCCCTAATCCAATGTGCCCTGTAAGAGGGAAGTTCTGACACAGAGCAACACCATGGGATGACATAGGCAGGGATTGGAGTGACGCGGCTGCAAGCCAAGGAATGCTAAGGACTGACAGCCACTACCAGGAGCCAGGAAGAGGCAAGAAAGGATTCTCCCCTGCAGGTTTCAGGCATTCTGCCAACACCTTGATTTCAGACTTCTGGCCTCCAGAACGGTGAGACAAATTTCTGTTGGTTTAAGCCACCTAGTTTGTAGTACTTTGCTACAGTAGCCCTAGGAAAATCATACATAAGTCATCAGTATTATCCTATCTACAAAGGAGGTAAAGAAGAAACACAAGTATGCAATAACAAATAAACCAAAAGATGAAAAAGGGATTGGGATAGTTAGTAACATTTGGTTCTGATATTCAAAAGATAATAAATTTCCTAAAGTAATTGGAAGAATAATGGCCTCTGATTTCTTGATCAAGGAGATTGCAAGTTTTATTACCAACTCTACCATCTTATGATGGTCTTTTGGTCTTTCTGATTCTTCCTTGATAATATTTCCTTCATTATTTAGTTCGTACTCCTAACTAACTAATCCATGTCACTAACAAGTTCAAACAATAATCTCATGCCTGGACTACTGACACACATTGCTGACCATTCTCCCTACTTCCAAGTCTCAATTCTTCAAATCAGGTAATTTTCTAAAATTTTTAAATCATATCATGCCTCACATCATAAATCTTCAATGATTCACCAACACCCAGGTTAATATTCTAATTCTTTAGCCTGGCATTAAGTTTACCATAATACCATCCTTTATCCTTATGCTGAACACTTCACTCAAGTCATACTGCGCTATCTACATTAGACATAGGTTACTTCTTCCCTACACAAACCTTTCTTCATAGCATCCTTCTCATCTAGAATAGGATACAAGTATTCTGATCCTCCACCCAATCCCACTAAATTCTATCCATTATTCAAGAAGGTTCAGTTTGGCTCCTCTTTGACAAGTCCCTGATAATTACAATCCAGGGAGCTTTTCTCCTTTTAACACATTTTATGTTTGTGCTAAAGATGTAGCACTTAACATTAGATTGTACTATCGCTTTAACTTTTTACACGCATACGTCCTATCTTTCCAGCTGTGCTTTAAGCACCAAAAAGGCACATACCACAGTTCATGCTTCTTTATGTGAAATGTACTTTCGATTAAAGCAAATCACTGTACCTCCATAAAATGGGACCACCACTTACCTCCTACACGTTGTCTTCTCTTTCTCTTATATTCACCAGGAGTTTCATATTCACCTTCTTCAAAGCCTTCCAGTGATGGAGTAGCACAGAGACCATCAATACCCAACATGGCTGGTATCTTTTCCAGGATAAAGTCTGGTACACGCCCTAAATGAAAATGTTCACAAGTAAGACAATTATTATCCTTCCTCCACTCTTCCCCAAAAATGTTTAGATACTAATATACCAATTTCTTTTCTTTTTTTCTTTGCAGGAGGGGCCGGTACTGTAGGGTGGGGGTGAGGTCAGTAATATACCAACTTTCTAACAGTTGCCTTCATAGTTCCTTTGAAAGAAACAGAGATTTTCCTCATTTAAACAAATTCTGTTAATAATGCAACTACATCTTACCAATATCTGATGCATAATCGATAAGAGTCTGTACTACTGCAGCCTGTAATCGTACCTTCTTTTCTGCGTTAGAAGACATCTTTTCATGTCCTTCACTTGTCTGAAGAAGATTTGGTGCAAATATTACTGCAAGATTGCTGCTATCCATCTTATTCTCACTGGATCTTAAGTGAATAAACGCTTTATTAGATGGAGCCAAACGTGAAAATACAGAAGAGTTAAAATAACGTATGTAGTACATTTTGAAGACTTTATTATCAGTCATACACAAGTCAAAATAGTTACCCTTCATCTACATGATTGGCTTGAACACAAGAAAGAACCAGAAATATATAGCCTCTCTATATTTAAATATGTATTCTAAAAACCATGCTAATCTTAGAGTTCATACTTTGCTTTTCCACACAAATTGAACATCTTTATCTGATTTTCAGACCTACACATAAAAAGTTGGAAGTATCAGAAGGCAGCAAGTATGTCTAGAATAAGCAGGCTCACTGACAGCAGGGAGAGGGAAATTTTGAAAAGCAAAACAGAAATATTTTAAAAACCCAGTAAACAAAGGCTTTCAGTGGACAATGAATCTTATAAACACCAATGATGAACCATTAAGGCATTCATGATGATGACTTTAAGATAAGGAAATATTAAATCATTTGGTATGCTGTTTCTTAAATTAGAGTATACTCCTCATAGTAATGAAATATGGAATTTTTAAAGAAAAATTTCCATTCCAAATGAAATTGTACATATCTACAAGCATAAAACGTTAGTTGAAAAATTCAACTATTATTTGCCAAGAGTTTTAATTACCACTTACCTAAGAGAAACATTCCTGAGAAAGTTAAAGAAGTATCTTAATACATGAACTGTGTGGTCAGCCAGAAGACAGGAGAGCAACAGTATAGCTTTATTCTTTTCCTCTGTGCCTAACTGTTGAGCTTTCAAAAGTGCTTCATGCAAATCAGCTGGGAGAATGGGCTCTGGCAGTTCCCTAAAAAACTGCTTAAGAAGTCCCGCAATATCACAAGGAGGTGCAGAAGATAGGCAACCTTCACCATGATCCACTTTATTCTGAAATAAATATAATAATCTTGAGTATTTTGGCAACTTAAGAGTTTATTGCAAATAAAGAATCTTTTGTTATACTCTAATTACACTTTTCTTTAATAAATTTCTCTTAACTCTTATTTTAATATATGTCACTACTTTATTTTTAATGATTTTTGAATTTATTTTTATTTTTATAGAAATGTGGCACAGACTATGTGGCCTGGGCTGGCTTCAAACTCCCAGGCTCAAGCAATCTTCCTGCCTTAGCCTCCCAAGTAGCTGGGACTACAAGCATGTGCCACCACACTCAGCTATATCACTCCTTCTAGAAGGCTAACAACAATATAACTTAACACATTTTTTCATTTTACATAATACTTGATAGAAATAAGGACCATGAATTTAAAAGTACCCTATTAAATTTTTAAAGCACGATAGAAATAATATACCATTTCTTTTGGAAAAAAAAAAATCTTCTGCCATGAAAAAAATGCAAATTCAATTTCTGTCAACTATTCATATTAATAGTTCTAAATATTTCAGTTTTAAAAACCAAATCAGAAAATGGCTCAAATGAAAAATTATAGTTCAACAATATGCTCACCTTTAGTGCTTTTAGGCGAATCACAGATCCTGATTTCCGAAAAAGCCCTTCGGTATGAATATGTTCTTCTAAAGATGTGCAAGCATCGACAAGAAAGCTGAAAGAGAGATTTTTTCAGGTGGCTAGACATACATATCACATCCTATTCCTCTGCTAACATACATGAGCAGGCCAAGCACTACAGACCTTTCAGAGGCTCTAAAGCCACAAATCTCTGTAGTCTTTGAGATGAAATGTTACTTTTAGTTGTCTACTTGCTTTCCAAATTCTTCTCCAAGGCCCATCTTTTTACTTATAACAACTCCAATATGCACACTAAATTTTATCTTTCTCAATCCTACTTCATTTCTGCTTCCCTTCAGAGCGTAAGACTTGTCTTTTTTTTCTGCCTCTACTTCTTCATATCTCAGTCTCTACTCACCCCTATCCAATCATTCTCATACCTCATTACTCCAAAGAAATAGCTCTCTTCAAGCTCACTAACAGCCTCTGCCTTGCCAAATCCATGGTCAGTGTGTTGTCCTCGTATTGCTCGATCTATCACCATTTGACACACCTGATCCCTTCCCTGTTCATCTCAAAAATACTTTTTCACTACTCTTTTAGTTTTCCTGCTATCTCCCTGCCTGCTCCTTCTCAAATTCCTTTTCTCACTCCTCTTATGTGAAACCTCTACATGCTGGAACAACCCAGGGCTCCGTCCAAGGCCACCTTCTTTTATCTACTATCTCTTCATGGGTGATTTTCTCATCTCCTACATCACCCAAAAACAGGGCGAGGTTTTTTTTCCTCACCCCAACATTATCCCTCAGAAAAGTAGGATATATCCCAGTCCTTACAAGCCTTTTCATATTAAGGGGAATGTGCTCAATTTCTTTATTTTGAACAATGTTCAAATAAATCTCAATGTTGGCTTTAGATACCTAGATATTGAACAGCTGGGACCCACAAATTAGAATGAATATCGGCTACCAACAATTGATACAGCTGTATTGGTGCACAGTGGCTGAATGTCAGCCTTATTTACAGAAGGTAACTGACAAAACAGTCTTTTTAATTAAATAAAAAGTAGGTCATGAAATTGCAATGAAGATTTAGTCATGATTCCTGGGAATATGACTTTGCAATTCCAGACGCCGAAAATCTGCTTTTTTTTTTTCTTTTAGTTTTTGAGACAGTGTCTCGCTCTGTCACCCAGGCTGGAGTGGTGCGATCACTGCTCACTGCAACCTTTGCCTCCTGGGCGCAAGTGATCCTCCCACCTCAGCCTCCCGACTAGCTGGGACTATAGGCACACATCACTACGCCCAGCTAATTTTTCTATTTTTTGTAGAGACAAGGTTTCACCATGTTGCCCAGGCTTGTCTTGAACTCCTGGGCTCAAGCAATCCACCACCTGGGCCTCCCTAAGTGCTGGGATTACAGGCGTGAGCCCCCGCGCCCGGCTAAATTATATTCTTAAAACATAAACTTTCCTAGTAATTTCTGATGCAGTTAGAATAGGCCAGCACAGTGGCTCACGCCTGTAATCCTAGCACTTTGGGAGGCTGAAGCAGGTAGATCACCTGAGGTCAGGAGTTTGAGACCAGCCTGGCCAACATGGTGAAACCCCATCTCTACTAAAATACAAAAATTAGCTAAGTGTGGTGGTGGACACCTGTAATCCCAGCTACTCGGGAGGCTGAGGCAGGAGAATCACTTGAACCCAGGAGGTGAAGGTTGCGGTGAGCCGAGATCACGCCATTGCACTCCAGCCTGGGCGACAAGAGCGAAACTCTGTCTCAAAAAAAAAAAAAAAAGAACAAAAGGTTATTTATAAATAGTAAGTGGCATAGAAAAGCTAAGTGATACATAATACATTTTCACAAACACTCTAATATCTTAGCTTAAATATTCTTTTATCCAATATTTGTTTTCAAGAGACAGGGTCTCACTCTGTTGCCAATGCTGGAGTGCAGTGGCAATGAGCATAGCTCACTGCAGCCTCAAACTCCTAGGGTCAAACAATCATCTGCCTCAGCTTCAGGAGTAGCTGGGACTACAGGGGTGTACACCACCTTGCCCAGCTGATTTTTCTTTAAAATTTTTTTTATACATGGAGTCTTGCTTTGTTGCCCAGACTGGTCTCAAAATCCTGAGCTCAAGCGATCCTCCTGCCTCGGCCCTCAAAATGCTGGGATTATAGGCATGAGCTACTGTGCCTGGCCAATATTTTTTTAACAAACAAAAAAAAGGCAAAATTATTACTGAATTGGTAATTCAGTATATTACTTAATCTGAGTTGTGGCAAAAGAATTCACATAGAACTGAAAACTGACTTAACAGAACAAAAATTTTTTGTGATTTCTAACATTTACTCATTACTGGACTTTAAAATTCAATCCTGGGAATGAGTACAAATTATAAATTTAAAATATGTAAAAGTTAAAAAAATATTTTTAACATTATGAGAGATTAAATCATTTGCTGGTTTGAAACAATTATGTTTTAATCAACTATTTCTTTTAAACTCTCTAAAACCAGTTTGAAATGCTTACTCTCTTCTTCTTCATTTCCCTGGCTAGAAGGCTCACTGCAGCCTCCACCTCCTGGGCTCAAGCAATCCTCCCACCCCAGCCCCCTGAGTAGCTGGGACTACAAGTGTGCTCCGCCAAGCTAATTTTTCTATCTTTTGCGACAAGGTCTCACCATGTTGCCCAGGCTGGTCTTAAGCTCCCGGACTCAAGTGATCTGCCCACCTCGGCCTCTCAAAATGCTGGGGTTACAGGCATATGCCACTGCACCCGGCCTTCTTCATTTCAAACTCTGCTTACCTTGGAATGTGTCCATATTCTGGTACAGCAGAATGGGGCAGTGCATTAAAAGGTACTCCAAATATTTTACCCTAAAATGACAAATTCAGTTACTCTAACACAAATATTAGGCATAATATCAGTTTTCTTAAACTTTAGGCAAATTAAAGAACTCAGGAAATTAAAAAAAATCAGAAATAAATGATAAACTATCAATCAAGACAAAAATAATCATTTCAAGTGCATTTGATAACAAATAATTACTATATTAGATAGTATGCTGAGTGCTGGGAGTACAAAGATGGCCAAGATAATGTCATTCCCCTCAAATAATCTAGTAAACTCAAGTTTCCAATCTGATCATAAAGTCAATTTGGTTAGTGGTTAGTCAGTAAATTCTTAAAACAGAATTTGGTCCAAAACACTAACATTTACCCCAAAACACTATAGGTTGCTTTAATGATCTTATAAATACTTACTAGATACTTTCTTTTGGTCACCTTATAAATACTTACACAAAAGACTAAGTCAATTGAAAAGCAAAACACTAATTCCTGTCATTCATTGAGTCTTCCTAAAATTACATCAGAAGAGGTTATTTTTATACCTAATACATTTTCCACCTTCTATAGAAGAGTGCTTTTCAAACCATGCCCTGCGGTAAGCAAGGCAGGAGTGTGCAAATATTTAAGTCAAACTTCATTTAACTAGCTGGAAACCCATTTTTAAAACCTCACATTCAAATTTTAATACACTGAAGATCCCAAGAGTAAAGTTGTTTGTTGGTTAACTTGAATGTTTTTGCACACTGAAGAATAAAGAATCTGCCACTATCTTTGTGCGTGCATTCGAACCTCTTAAAAATGTGTCGCTTTCCACAGCACTGAAAGGCAAATTCAAGCCTGTAAATGTCTGGTTATTCAAACTTAAGTGGGTATGCATAATCTCACATGTTAATTTAGTTTACATGCATCTGCTCTGTGAATGCTGAAGTACTTTTTTTGATGTCACAAGTTATCAACCAAGAAGCATTTATGTTTTATGAGCATTATATTTAACTTTACAATAAAAATCACTCAGCATTGTCAATGACGCAACACAGTAACAAAATTTTACTAATTCCCTTTCAAGCACCTGGCTCCAATTAATTTACAAATATTGTAAGCTGAAAAGACAGTATAGTATGGTAAGGGCTTAAGAGAGTAGGCTCCTGAAGGCAAAAATGACAGGTGTATTTTTTTTGAGACGGAGTCTCACTTTGTGGCCCAGGCTGGAGTGCAGTGGCACAATCTCGGCTCACTGCAAGCTCCGCCTCCCGGGTTCACCCATTCTCCTGCCTCAGCTTCCCGAGTAGCTGGGACTACAGGCGCCCGCCACCACGCCCAGCTAATTTTTTTGTATTTTTAATAGAGACGTGGGGCGGGGGGGGTTCACCGTGTTAGCTAGGATGGTCTCGATCTCCTGACCTCGTGATCCACCCTCCTCGGCCTCCCAAAATGCTGGGATTACAGGCGTGAGCCATCGCACCCACAAAAATGCCAGGTTTTACATCTTAACTCTTGTACTTAACAGCTGAGTGACCTGGATCAAATTAACATTCTGTTCCTCGGTATCCTCACACAGATCCTAAGTCATAGAGGTGTAGGAAGAATTAAATAAATTAAAACATACAAAACACTTGTATCAGTGTCTGACACACAGTAAGCATTCAAAAAATATTTGTTAATCTTATGATCATCATTTTAAGCTGAACTATTTAAAAAAATGTTAGTATGGGCAACCCCTTTATTGGGTAAATCAGAATTTTCTTGATACTGTGCAGCCAAACCAAATGTAAAAATAAACCAGATACTTAGGCTGGTAAGTCTACTTCTGTTATATATAACTAGAATTCAGCGTGTTTTTTTCCTTAAGTCTTATTATTTAGAATAACTGGCTTCACAAGTAACCACTAAAATTTAATCTCATAAAATGTTTTTAAAACTTAAAACTACAGTTAGCTAACAAACACCAGTCGGCTAAAGAAATTGTTTTCAAACAAACTATCCCATTAGATCTCATAACACAATGATCTTCTACATTTCTTCATTAGAATATTCTTATAAGTGTTTCTAGCTGAATTTATATGGCGTGATTACCAATTAGGAGGCAGACCAATGATATGACAACTATCATTAGATGAAGTGGCATGTGACACGCACTGTGCTAGGCCTACATAAAGAGCTTCACTTTTTAAAAATCCCTAAATAATCCAAGGAGAAATACGTTCCCACTTTATAGATATAAAACTGAAGCTTAGGGAAATCAAACAAGCAGCCCAAGTTTACAGATGTAGTAGGGGTGGAACAGCACTCAAACTCAGGTCTATCCGACTCTGAAAACAGGCAACAGTTTTTCTTGTTAAGGGGTGAAAAGGACAGGTGCAGTGGCTCACGCCTGCAATCCCACCACTTTGGGAGGCCGAGGCGGGCGGATCACGAGGGCAGGAGATCGAGACCATCCTGGCTAACACAGTGAAACCCCGTCTCTACTAAAAAATACAAAAAATTAGCCAGGTGTGGTGGCGGACGCCTGTAGTTCCAGCTACTCGGGAAGCTGAGGCAGGAGAATGGCGTGAACCCGGGAGGCGGAGCTTGCAGTGAGCCAAGATCGCGCCACTGCACTCCAGCCTGGGCGACAGAGGGAGACTCCATCTCAAAAACAAAAAAAAAAAAAGGAAAAGAAAAGAAAAGGGGTGAAAAAAAGTCCATATACAAACTCTTCCATATACTTACAAAATCAGCTACATTTGAGATCTTGGAAAGCCAGTTTTACAATCAGAAAAAAATCACTGTAGCTTTTTAAATGTAAGTACATGTATTGCCATTAATTTGCTACCAACAAAAATAACTTCTCCAAAGTTTATCAGCGATTAAGAGACACACATATTACTTTTGTTAGTGGTTTTCTTCTCCAAGCACTTTTTTTTAGAAACCATAAACTATTAAAAGCAACGTATATTAACTTTATTAGCTTGTCTCCAAGTACTAGGAAGTACCATATAAATTAGGCACATAAATTTAAAATAAAATGCTTTACATTCAGCTTATTTTTCACAATGCAATTCCTGATTATGTGGCAGAGCTATTAAAATCTCATTCAAAATCCCTTTATTTCAACCACCAAAACATCAACAACTTCTCAATTATTCCACTCTGGCTTCTCAATTTACTCATACAAAAAAAAAAATTGCTGTCCCAAAAGTATGATATGGCCAAGCAGCAAATCTGTTTCCCAAATTAGTGAATATGCAGTCATCATTTGAAGCCTATTTCTAATGTTCTGTCATACTTCATCTACAGATTCATGTAGAAAATGCACTGGTCTCCCTTGTCCCTCTACAACCTTACTCTAAAACAAGGGTGGAGGGGTAGAGTTTTTGTCCCTCCCAACGTACTACCTGTTCCAAATACAGTAAGCTGGCAATATCCGGAGACATTTTTAATCGTCACAACTGAGAGATGCTACCAGCATCTAGTGGGTAAAAGACAGACATCCCGCTAAACATCCCACAATTCACAGAACAGCATTTCGTCTTCCCCTAACAAAAATTATCTAATCCAAAATGTCAATAGTGCTGAAGTTGGAAAATCCTGCAACTTTCTCTCAATGATCAAAAATCCTTGGGGAAAAAAAAAACAAGAATGTCACTTTTTAAATATCAGCAATCGATCATCTGAACTGAATTACACACCTAACCATTCTTTTTGATACACAGAGTGAACATTTTAGCACGATCTGCTAATAAGTGATGATAAAGGGTGTGCCCTTTCTTTTAAACCTAAATCCCTTTTCACAGAACTTACCCCTATTTCCGTGGCTGCTGTTTCATGTCTCCTGCGATCGCACTGCCCACGGACACCCTTCACCTTAATACCATAGAAGGCCCGCAGATGCTGCAACAGGGCCAACTTCACCAGCCTCTGATCCCACATTCCGGATACGTCGATAACTCTGAGGCAGGATGCAGGTCCTGACCCTCGTTCGCCACCAAGTCTTCCAATTTCCAAACGCTCTCAAATTTGAACTCCGCTCGGCTGCTTTCCGGCCCCGTCTGGCACTTCTGCGGCCCCGACCCCCGGCCACTTCCACGGCTTTTCCTTGATCCTCACTCACATCCACTTACACAGACCCGCTTCTCTTAGCCCTTTGATCCAGCCACACCTCACTCTTCCTTCACTTACAGCGACCTTCTTTCTGGTCACCCAATGCTTTCAGCTACTCACATAGACTTCTTTCTGATTCTTTCGGTTTCTCGCCTATTGCCAGATTCTCTCCACTTCCTGCTACTTCCAACGATCCCCCTTCCTCCAAACCTTACTGTCCGTCTGGTTCGCTCTGAAATGTGAAGAGAACCCTTCTCGCTCCTCCAGCCCCAGCAGGCTCAACTGGGCGCTCGCCCCCGCCCTAGCCTGGCCGCCGGACCAGCCGGCTGCTCAGGCAACTCTTCCAGTCCCGGTGCCCGCCCGGGCTGGTAGCCGCCGTCACCCCGTCTCACAGGCTGCTCGTTCCCTCCCCCATCAGCCTGCCTCTACCTCCCGGCCTGCACATCCCGGTGCGTTCACTGAAGCCAAGCCGTTAGCCTCATGCTTCCGCCCCCAGCTCCACTGCAGACACCCGGAGCCACCACGGGGGGGTCACACCCGCAGTTTCAGCCCAGGCTCAAATGGCAGCGCCAAACAGCGCTCCACATCTGATTGGTCCACTCCTCTTTTCAAAATCAGGACCCCGGAGGGTGGCCGAGAGCTGCCTGTCTAGATAGGTGCGGGCGAAGGGGTGTAACGGGCAAACCCAGCAAACATGAAAAGCAGGATGAGTTTCACTTGTTCCTTCAAGGCCAGTTTTTGGGGCGGGGGAATACTGTTTAAAGGTTTTTAAATACACCTGACCTGCGCCTCAGACCATTCACAGTATTTGAGGAAATGTAAGAGACAACTTATTCCCGTTCTTTTCCGAGCTCGGCTGTCGCTGAAGGCCCTCTTACGAAGAAACCGTTCTACGGAAGCCCAGTTGAGACAACTTGAGACAGGATTCAGAAACGCTGATTTTAGTAACCTTAACCCTCGGCCTTTGGTGGGAACTTCGGCTCTGTGGGAATTAGTCTTTGGGGGACTGATGGTGATGCTGAAATCTTATTGCGTAGGAAATTAAGTACAACAAAGAAGACCCGTCGTGAGAGGAGAGTGCGGAAGAAATGCGAAGTCTACGGGAGGTGGCAGCTGCAGAAGCTTGGTGTTGGATTTGGAGTTAGGAGACCGGGAGGAGCCCAGCTTCCGGTCCAGACGGTTATCTTGTTGACTTGCACGACTGCAAACGCCCTGAGCTGCTTTTGCAGTCTGAAACATCAGCGATCCCATCAAAATATTCTGTTTCTTGGGATATAAGAAACATCCCAAGGCGGGCTGTAGAGCGAGAGATTTGGACTCGATTTAAATACAGACAAAATAGTATGCATTTACTAACACCACATCTCACCCCCACGAAACTTGGTAAGGGCAGCAACAGAACTTTATCTGCCATATGCACTCCTGTATTCCTATTACCAAATAGTGCCAGGGACTAAGTGAATATTTGCCCAATGAATGAGTTTTAAGTAGGAAACGTTTGCATAGAATCATTTTGTTTCTTTTGGAGTTCAAATCTTCGGATATTTTACCCTTCCCAATCCAAAGAAAAGTCTCTGAGTGAAGAGATGGGAACAAAATGTAAGTTAAATATGTTGCTTTAACAACTGTTTATTGAACTCGTGCTATATACTGTAGAATGATGAGCAAAACCAGGCACAGTTTCGGCCCTGGAAGAGGAAAGGCAGGCATATATTTATCAAGTAAGTACATTAATGGCGGCACTTATCAGTTGAGAGAAGTGCGCTAAGGAAAGGAATATGATTCTATGATAGCGTATAATAAAAGATCCTTGACCGGGGAGGGGAAACGTACCAGTGATTAACTGATCTGAAGAATCAGTATAAATTGACTTTGTAGAAAGTATAGGTGGATGGCTGAGTGGGACCATCATTCAGGAAGCAAATGCCTGCAGAAAAAAACATCAATTTTAACAAGAAACAGTGTATCAGAGATGAAACTGAACCTATTCCTTGTCTTTTCTTCTTGCTTCAGACATAACTTTAAAAAATTGCTTACGCTGTCTTTAGCCACATCTCTTCCCCAAACTCCACACTGTTCTGCGTTTTAGCCGTCTCAAATTTCCTTTTCTTAAAGACCCATGACAATCTTCAGTGTTGTGTCTTTTTCTACGTCATAATCCTTTTTTAAAGCTGAGCTCTTTTTGTTTTTCGTCTCCTTTCTCTTTTTTTTTTTTTTTTTTTTTTTTTTTTGTGACGGAGTCTCGCTCTGTCGCCCAGGCTGGAGTGCAGTTGCACAATTTCGGCTCACTGCAAACTCCACCTCCCACGTTCAAGCAGTTCTCTGCCTCAGCCTCCCAAGCAGCTGGGATTACAGGCGTCTGCCAGCAGGCCCGGCTAATTTTTGTATGTTTAGTAGAGACGGTGTTTCACCATTTTGGCCAGGCTGGTCCTGAACTCCTGACCTCGTGATCCACCCGCCTCGGCCTCCCAAAGTGCTGGGATTACAGGTGTGAGCCACCACATCCGGCCCTTCCTTTCTCTTAAGATGAAAATATTGGTTCTTTTTTCCTACACACAAGGAGGCAATGAAAATATTGGTTCTTTTCATTGCCTTAATTATTATTAATGTTACTATTAATAAATATTAATAGTAACATAATGGTTATTTGCTTCATCTACCTATATTCACAGGTATGTAAAAACAACAATAGCAATAACAGGATAAAGAATAAAAACAGAATAACAATAGAGATATTGCTAACAGATAAATGAAGTTTAACTTTGCATGTACTTCCTTTTTTCTAAAATTGTATCCAACTAAGGATGTAAAATCAAGATACTGTGTTTTAAATGAACTGGGCATAATTATTCTTTTTGGTTATATATGGATGTACTGTAGTTTATTTAGCCAGGCCCTTACTAGTGGATATGTGGACTATTCCCAGTCTTTTGCTATACAAAAGTTTCCTTGTGCATATATAATATGCTTTTGCCAGTGGGTCTTTAGCATAGATTTCTATAAATGGGATTGTTAGGTCAAAGGGTAAAAGAACATGTTATTTTGTTTAATTCTGCCAAATTCCCCTTCATAGGGGTTGTGCAGTTTTGTATTCACACCAGCAGCATTTCCTGTTTCTCTGCAGCCTCTCCAATAGAATGAATTGTCAAACTCCTAGATGTTTGCTAAATCGATATGTGGGAAATGTTATCAAAGTGTAGTTTTTTTTTTTTTTGAGACGGAGTCTCACTCTGTTGCCCAGGCTGGAGTTCAGTGGCTCTATCTTGGCTCACTGCAACTTCTGCCTCCCAGGTTCAAGTGATTCTCCTGCCTCAACCTCCTGAGTAGCTGGGACCACAGGCAATCACCACCACGCCTGGCTAATTTTTGTAATTTTAGTAGAGACAGGGTTTCGCCATGTTGGCCAGGCTGGTCTCGAACTCCTGACCTCAACCTATCCACTCACCTCGGCCTCGCAAAGTGCTGAGTTTACAGGCATGAGCGACTGCGCCCAGCCTTCAGTATAGTTTTGTATTTATCTTTTTGTCAATGAAGTGGAACATTTTTTCAAATGATGCATGCATACGACAAAGTATTATGAAGCTGTTAAGGAATGTGGAAGATATATGACTATGATGTGAAGTGAAGTGAAAAAGCAATGCATAAAAGAGTGTATATAGTATGCTGCCTTTGGTATACGGGGTGGTAGAGATACATATACAAATGGATACTTACTTATATTTTCAAAAATAAACAATAGAAAGGTAAACCAAAATCTAATAAAAATGGTAAACAATAGGAGAAGATCAAGAACAGGTGAAGTAGAAAATAGGAATGGAAGCTAGACCTCTCTGAATATATCTTGTTTTATATATAAACTTGGAACCCTGTAAATGTGTAACATGTTTAAAATACAAAATAAGGCCAAAATAAGGTGGTGGCTCACGCCTGTAATCCCAGCACATTGGGAGGCCGAGGTGAGCGGATCACCTGAGGTCAGGAGTTCGAGACCAGCCTGGCCAACGTGGTGAAACCCCGTCTCTACTAAAAATACAAAGATTAGCCATGCGTGGTGATGCATGCCTGTAATCCCAGCTACTTGGGAGGCTGAGACAGGAGAATCGCTTGAACCTGGGAGGCGGAGGTTGCAGTGAGCCAAGATCCGGCCACTGCACTTCAGCCTGGGTGACACAGTGAGACTCCATCTAAACAAAATAATAATAAATAAAATAAAATAAAATGTAAAAGCAACTCCTAAAATGGAAAACAAAGTGCAATAAATCAATCTTTTCACCTGTTTAAGGGCTATTTGTACTTCTTTTTATTTAAATTGTCCATCTTTTACTTTCAGGATGGTCTTTAAAAATATTTTAGAAGCTTTTTATATATTAGTCCCTCATGATATAAGCTGCATATATTTTTTAGACTTTTTGCCTTGCTTTTTTGTTTGTTTAAATTATAGTTAATCTCTTCCCTTAATGCTTCTGGATTCTGATTATAGATAGGAGTATTTTCCCCACTTCTGAGTTATAAAGGTATTCACTCTTGTGAATTCTAGTACTTAATTTTCTAGTACTGCTATGTTTTCATTTGTTAATGTTAGATCTCTGAGGCTGGAGTGCAGTGATGCGACCTCTGCTCACTGCAACCTTCACCTCCCGGGTTCAGATGATTCTCCTGTCTCAGCCTCCTGAGTAGCTGAGACTACAGGTGCATGCCACCACACCTGGCTAATTTTTGTGTTTTTAGTAGAGACGAGGTTTCACCATATTGGCCAGGCTGGTCTTGAACTCCTGACCTTAGGTGATCTGCCTGCCTCTGCCTCCCAAAGTGCTGGAATTACAGGCGTGAGGCACCGCGCCCGGTCCTTAAATTTGGAATTTATCCAGTGTAGAAAGAATGGATCCAATTTTATGTGTTACCCCACACAGCTATCCAGCTGTAGATATTGTAATTTTATTTCATTTAGTGAACTCCCACACCTACTTCTAAAAGTAGGAAAACACTACTGAAAACCTCACTGAGTTCCCTGACGATGAAAAGGGAAATCTTTCGTTAAGCATTAGGCTTTGCTTTTAGTGCCACTAGATGGCACACATCCTTTTCCTTAGATGTTAGTTCACCTAACCCTCATTTCTGTGAAATCAGTCCATAAAGTGTCTGCCAAAGGGCCTTCCTGAACCTTTTACCTGCATCCCTGCTGGAAATAAGATGATTTGTGCAACTTTCAAATTAGGTCCGAGTTTTTTTCTGTAAAACCAAAATGATTGTTCCTAGAATCACTGCCTCTAGGGCCTGGCACATTCCACAGACACATTGTTCCATTTATTTATTTATTTATTTGAGACGGAGTCTCGCTCTGTCCCCCAGGCTGGAGTGCAGTGGTGTGATCTCGGCTCACTGCAAGCTCTGCCTCCCGGGTTCACACCATTCTCCTGCCTCAGCCTCCCGAGTAGCTGGGACTATAGGCGCATGCCGCCACGCCCGGCTAATTTTTGTATTTTTAGTAGAGACGGGGTTTCACCGTGTTAGCCAGGATGGTCTTGATCTCCTGACCTCGTGATCCGCCCGCCTCAGCCTCCCAAAGTGTTGGGATTACAGGCGTGAGCCACCGCGCCCGGCCACATTGTTCCATTTATTAATAAAACAGAAATGTCTATCATATTCTGTCCTAAATGTGGACTAAGATGGAAAATAGTACAGTGATTTCCTGAGGTCACTGGGCTATCACCAGAATAGTAGACACTGTGGTGCTTCACCTAGATCCCCCTCCAGGCTGAGGTGCTCACTCGCCCCACTTGCAGAAGTGTTGGTTCCTCATGGCTCACAACAAAGTCCCCCTCTGAGAGCTGCTCCATGAAAAGGACCTGCCTCACCCCAAGTGATGCCTTCCCCTGGGCAGTCTACGTTCCGTGCCTGGTTAATATGGGGTTTCATAGGCCTGGCCCCCATATCTCAAGACAACGGAAGGACTTCCCAGCTCTAGAGCTTCCTGAAGGAGCAGCTGAGATGGTGGCAACTGTTTCACAGGCTGCCCAATCCTGTTTCTTTTACTCCTTTACTTGTGTTGTTCCAAGAGCCTTCCCAAGTAAGCCTCCTGTGGGGAAATCTCCATCTCAGTACCTGTTTTTCAGGCAACCCAACTTAAGATACAGGGCCAATGGATTTCCCTAAACAGTGCTCTAAACTAGAGCCTTGCTATTCAAATACGGCATAGGTATCGCCTGGAAACTATAGCCATGTGTCTCTTAATGACAGAGATACCTTCTGAGAAATGCATTGTTAGGCAATTTTGTCATTCTGCAAACATCATAGAGTGTACTTACATCAACCTAGATGGTGTAGCTGACTACACACACACCTAGTTATGTGATATAATCTATTGCTCCTAGGCCACAAACCTGTACAGCAGATTACTGTACTGAATACTGTAGGCAATTGTAACACAATACCAAGTATTTTATGTATCTTAACAGATTTAAAATTTGTGATATAACATTTAAATTTTTTTCTTTTTTTTTTTTTTCTTTTTTGAGATGGAGTCTTGCACTGTCACCAGGCTGGAGTGCAGTGGCACAATCTCAGCTCACTGCAACCTCTGTCTCCCGGGTTCAAGCGATTCTCCGACCTCAGCCTCCCGAGTAGCTAGGACTATAGGCGTGCACCACCACGCCCAGCTAATTTTTGTATTTTTAGTAGAGATGGCGTTTCGCCATGTTGGCCAGGGTGGTCTTGATCTCTTGACCTTGTGATCCACCCACCTCGGCCTCCCAAAGTGCTGGAATTACAGGTGTGAGCCGCTGCGACCGGCCACAGATTTAAAATTTTACCTGCGTAGGGTACTTACGAGTGGAGCTTGCAGGACTGGAAGTTGCTCTGGGTGAGTCAGTGAGTGGTGAGTGAATGTGAAGGCCTAGGACCTTACTGTACATTGTTATAGACTTTATAAACAGCATATACTTAGGCTACATTAAGTTTATTAAAATTTTTTCCTTCAGTAATAAATTAAGGTTAGCTTACTATAACTTTTTAATTTCATCAGCTTTTAAATTTTCTTAACTTTTGACTCTTTTGTAGTAATAGCTCAAAACACAAACACATTGTACAGCTGTACAAAAATATTTTCTTTCTATCCATATTCGGTAAGATTTTTTTCTATTTTTTTTTAATTTTAAACTTTTTTGTTAAAAACCAAGACATGGCTGGGCGTGGTGGCTCACACCTATAATCCCAGCACATTGGGAGGCCGAGGCAGGTGGATTGCTGGAGTCCAGGTGTTTGAGACCAGCCTGGACAACATGACGAAACCCCGCCTTTACAAAAAAATATGAAAAATAGCCAGGCATAGTGGCACACACCTATAGTCTCAGCTACTTGGGAGGCTGAGGTGGAAGGATTGCTTGAACCTGGGGAGCAGAGGTTGCAATGAGCTGAGATCGCACCACTGCACTCCAGCCTGGGCGATAGAGCGAGACCCTGTCTCAAAACCAAACAAAACCAAAATGAAGATACAAACTCACACATTAGCCTAGGCCTAGGCAGGGTCAGGATCATCTATATCCACTGGTCCCATAAGATTATAATGGAGTTGGGGCCTGGCGCAGTGGCTCATGCCTGTAATGCCAGCACTTTGGGAGGCCAAGGCAGGCAGCTCACGAAGTCAGGAGATTGAGACCATCCTGGCTAACACGGTGAAACCCCGTCTCTACTAAAAAATAGAAAAAAATTAGCCAGGTGTGGTGGTGGGCGCGTGTAGTCCCAACTACTCGGGAAGCTGTGAGGCAGGAGAATGGCGTGAACCCGGGAGGCGGAGCTTGCAGTGAGCCCAGATCGTGCCACTGCACTCCAACCTGGGCGACAGAGCAAGAGTCTGTTTCAATAAAAAAAAAAAAAAAAAAAAAAAAAAGATTATAATGGAGTTGGAATGTTCCTATTGCCTAGTGATGTTGTTGACGTATAGCATCACTGTAGCACAGTGCATTACTCACATCACATATTTGTGGTGGTCTGTGGGGAGCTATTCCAGAAAAAAGCCTTGTTATCATAGGAGATGATAGCTCCTTGTGTGTTATTGCACCTGAAGACCTTCCAGTAGGACAGAATGTGGAGGTGGAAGACAGTGATAGATATATATGTAGTCCACTGTTGACCGAAACATTGCTATGTGGTGCATGAAAGGAAGTAACTCAGGGCCGGGCGCAGTGGCTCACGCCTGTAATCCCCGCACTTTGGGAAGCCGAGGAGGGTGGATCACGAGGTCAGGAGATCGAGACCATCCTGGCTAACACAGTGAAACCCCGTCTCTACTAAAAAATACAAAAAAATTAGCCGGGCGTGGCGGCATGCGCCTATAGTCCCAGCTACTCCTGGGAGGCTGAGGCAGGAGAATGGCGTGAACCCGGGAGGCGGAGCTTGCGTGAGCGGAGATCACGCCACTGCACTCCAGCCTGGGCCACAGAGCAAGACTCTGTCTAAAACAAAAAAAAGAAGTAACTCAGGCCCCACCCTAGACCTACTGAATCAGAATCTGCATTTTTATGATTCTCAATGATTCTCTTATGATTCTCATTTTATTTTTATTCCATGACTTTTTAAAAAAAAATCCCGTAACTTCTTTTTCATAACTTTTTTTGTAACTTTTCATAATACTGTTTTCTACTTTTTTCCCAGAAGTTTTTTTGCCACAACGTTTTTACATTTTTTATCCCATAACGTTTTCACCCCATAACTTTTTTTAATCCCATAACTTATTAAATCTTGTGTTCTTTTAAGAAACACTTGCATAGTTATATTACAACTTTGTAAAAATGAAACACATTATCTCGTGCCAAGCATGCCCAGCATTTGCACAGTATCAATACCTTTAAAACTATAGTTTTGAAGAAACGCAAAATAAAATTTTAAGGCAAAAACAACACTTAGAAACAATTTAATAATTTATTACATTACAGTGGCATCACACCAGCAGTCAATAAGGCCACTCTAGGGAAAAATCTTTCAGTATTTCCATGACACATTCTGTTTACAATAATTCATAAACTGGTAAAATTCATTCTAAGAAAACTTGGCAAATAAAACTTTGGACTGGAATTGGCATTTCTTTCTCTGCTTTTCGTTCCCACCATTTCTTTCTTTTATACTACAGTATTCATATTTTAAAATGTTTTAAATTATTTCAGAACATTAAGATAGCAGTTACATTTTTTAATAGTTATATTATTTTAAAATGACTCTTTAAAATAAAGTTTTAGAGAAACTATATTATGGATAGGGCTGATTTACATTTTCAAATTTTCTAAAATCAGCTTTGGTTTTAGAGCTGATTTTTTTTTTCATTTCTGGAAAATTATCAGGTTTAATCAAATACTTTTAAAATGATTATTATATATTGCCATCTTTAAATAGGTGTTTTGATTCTTCCTACAGAAATTAAAATGTATTCAGTGGAACTCACAGTTTAAAATTCTATGTTTCTGATGAACTCTAACATTCCAATGTTGCCTTCTAAGCAAACTGAAAGCTGCCTTATACTGAATGAGGAAGAGCACAAATACTCGGCTGAATGAGGTATCGCAAAAGACTGCATGCACTTTGGAGAAAGACTTGAGTTATTGTCATACAATTTCCATTCTTTTTAGCTTTTTCTTAAATATATGACAAATACCTACACAAAGAGTGGTATTTCAGTCAATATAGTAAATTTATTTTCCAGACTGACCTTCAGCTTAAATATGCCAGTGTGTGATTTAATCCATAGGCACCTCATGAACACATTATTGTCAGATTGGTTACAGATGCTAAACACTATCCGAAGGTCATTCTAGTCACTGATATTTATCAGGGTAAAAGTGAAGTGATTTCAACGATAAAAGTACCTTTGCAATAATTTATCAATGTATTAGATAAACCCAGTTTCAGAATGATAAAAGAAAAAACGTTAGACCAAATAATGTGGCTGATTAACAGTGGTCCGATTTCTAGCCCGAGGGTTTAAAATGCTCTTAAAGTAACTGTCTTTAAACTGAACTCAAAGAATGCAAAAGCGGCAAGTTCAGAAAATAAAAGGCGAGAACAGGACTTTAAGTGCATTTTAAACCCACGGGCTACAATTCGTACCACTGTTAATTAGCCGCATTATTTGGTCTAAGATTTTTTCTTTATCATTCTGAAACTGGGTTTATCTAATACATTGATACATTCATAAAATTTGGAAGAGTCAGTGGAAGTCACAAGGACCGAATATTTGCACTCTTTCAGTGAATGCCAGCAAATCTGTTATTCCATCGGTAAAATCGTATTGTTGCTCTCCTGTTAATGTCATATTTATAGAAGTATCATGAGGATGCCAAATGCTAAAAATGGAGATGATCTAGTAACTAGAAATCCCCACCGCAGGGAGCACACACACCTATCTCCCTGCATCCTAACAATGTGATGTGTTTTGGAACACAGACATTAGAACTTCATGAAGTTTGAACTGTTGAGTCTTTCCCAAGCATCATCAAGTTACGATTTAGGCAATATACAACTGAAATGCATTCATTCATCATGCATAGGCACAATCACATAAATATCGCACAAAATATGTCCCGAACAGAAACCCAGAGGTACAAAAACATATTTCACTTTGTAAAGAAGTCTGTGAGAAAATATAGCTCTGTGATTGTATAGACACGTTTCCTGATAATACATTGACATTCACGAACAGTAGATTGCACTGCAGTTTGTACACATTTTAAGTTTCATAAACTTCTCCTTGATTTTCAAAGAGAGTACAATACCGTCTACTAAAACTCCTTTTTGTTTCAACTAAGTATCTCACATATATTAGTTTATAATAATGTTTCTATTATTTTTTAAAGTGTTGTCCATTCAAGGAAAAAGAAGTAAATTCCTATGTCAGAGTAACCAAGGTGGTTGAAGAATAGGTATTAGCCAAAGAGGTCTAGATGGTAAAATCAATCTTCAAGCCTCAAAGAATCTCCGTGAACAGAGAGGAATGCCAGGTGTCACACAGCTTTCCTTCACTCTAATTCATTCTTGACTAGAGCCTGTATGCCTGTTCCAGGGACGTTTGAACTCATAAAGGATTTCTTATGATCTTCACTAAATACATTAAGAAGAATGCCAACCAGTGCCCTTTTGTGTACTGGGACATGTAGTCATGTGATTAAAACAGGTAACATGAACTCTGACTTTAAAATGTATTGTAGATACAAATGCTCTAAGCTAGGAAAGGATTTCCACATCCACAGTCAATGATGGGAACCTTTCATTCCTCAGAAATAAGCCCTTTTTAGGTCATCGAAAAAGAGTGCAACTGCTGCAGCTCATGATGCAGTATCTTCATGAGCCCAGAGCACATACAAATCCTAAGGGAACCACCATAATACACTGCTAATTCCTGGCACCGGAACAGATGAAACACACTCTATCCTGCACGTACCTGCCAGAGGAGGCCACTTTCCTCTTCTGTGAGATTTAAAAAGCTCCCCCAAAAGGTTATCACTCCCATCACCAATACACAGAAAATGGAGGAAAGGCTGTTTCCAGTTCTTGGCCTTTAAACAACTCTAAATGTCAGTACTCATAGTGGCATATTACAAAGTAATAAACAGTGCACACTTGGGGGCAAACTACATATTGAGCTAATGAAGAGCTCACTGTGATTAAGATTAGATCAAACAACAGCAGAACATAGGCAAATTTTGTCTGAATTCTGTAGTGAATGTACATGCTGCAATAACATTAAAAAAGCATGGCAGCCTATTCCAAACCAAAGAGAACAGTTTTGGGCAAAGAGTGGGTCTTTGTGTGTTTGAACTCCCACCACGTAAGGGCAAACTCGATATGCACGCTAATGACCTACAATTATGAAATTAAAAAAGAAAAATGCTAAAGGATGCCAGAGTGAACATCAGTGAGAGCCACAGACACCCACTCTCTTTTAACTTTTTACAAATAAACTTAAAACTATAAATTAGAAAAACAAATAATCATGAGTGACTCTAACATTCAAAGGAAGTAAATGAATTGTGTAGGAGATTAACCCCATAACTTGGTTTCTTATTTAAAAATTTCTTGAGCAGCTCTTTGAGGATGGTGATGTTTATCTCCTTCTTCTTGGCAGCCAAGCCCAGCACAACAATGGCACACAGCAGTTGCTGCCCAAGCCTGGGTGCTCCTGGTGGTCCTGCACGATCGGCTGTGCAGTAGGCTTGTCAAGGAGAGGATCCTCCCTGGCCTCTCCTTGGGCAGAGGAGGTGAGGCTCACCTCACAAAGATCTTTGGAGAGAGGGAGGCAGGGATCTGAGCACAGTGGGAGCCCCCTCTTCCTGCCTGCCCACCCCACCTGAGGGCTCTACTCACCACCATGCTTGTCTGCAGCCCCAAGCTCCTGGGGGGCTGGGGCTCCTGGACCGGGCTCATCAGCAGAGTTGTGGGCAGCGGCCAGGAATTTTCTGTGCCCATTGTTGTAGTTGCTGTAAGCCGCAATACCATCTGCTGCAGCTCCAGCAGCTTCACCTGGAGGGAGGGGTGCTCAGCTGCCATGCCGCTGCCTGCGCCCACCCTCACACCCACCCCCACCCCCACCCCCACAGAGATGTTGCACACCCTACCTTCATCTCCTCCCTGAGCTCCAGCCTGATGGTGTCCTCCTCCCAGTGCCGCATCTTTGGCACGGCCCCCTGGTTCTGATAAAAGGTGATGGGTTTTCCTGCGGGAGGACAGGGCTCAGACGCTGGGGCCCCTCCGACGGCCCTGTAGCTCCCCCTGCCGTGCCCTGGCCTCCCACTCACTGATGGCATCTGTCTCGCCAGTGGTGGATGAAGCAGAGTTCTTTTTTCTTCACCAGCTCACTCAGGTCTGCCTTCTCCTCCAGGTGGTCCATAAAGCTGCTCTGGAGCCAAAATATTGCAGTCACATCTCGGCAGCGACCTGCCCTCAGGTGGCATTTTCAAGTCATGGAGAAGGTGGAGGTGAGTCCTGGCATGGGCCAGCTTCTCCGTGACTTCCTGCAGGGCCCAGTGGGTCTCCCCACTCACAGACTCGCCCCCAGGCCCTGGGGCTCCAGGGCCTCTGGCTGCCTCTGGCTCCTTCTGGGCCGAGGCCACCGGGTGAGCCAGGCGCTGGCAGCACACCCTCTGCTCTTTCACCTGCTCTTGTAACTGTGCCTGCTTCTCCTGGGCACTAGCTCCAGCGGACTTGAAAAATGCCACCTGAGGGCAAGATGTGAGCATTCTTCTAGGGGCATACACAGAAGAAATGGGGCAGAGAGGTGGAGCGCAGCCCCTTCCCTTGGAGCCTCAGAGAGTGCACCTGTTGGCCACAGGTGAAATGGAGTCTGACCACTGGCTCTCGGAAGGGGTGAGGGTCCAGAGAAATCAGAAGGCAGGGAAACGAAGAGCATAAAGGGGTCTTGGAGGGACCACAGAGAAAGGTGGCAAAATGGGTGCAGGGGGAGTCAGGCTCACCATGGCCTCCCTGCTCTCCGGGTCCTCTGGGACACTCGGCATGGGCCGAGGTGCCTCCTCCCCCTCACTGTCCAGATGTTCTCCTCCGTGTCCTGTGGGGGGTGGCCAGAGGGGTCTTCAGACAACCCAACAAGGGAGGAACTGTGGGCCCACCTCTACCTCCACCCTCACTGTGTAACCCTGAGCCTGCCCCTCCCCAGAGAGGAATGAGCTGTTGTTCTTTATTTTTACTTTTAAGAATCAAGATCTTGCTATTCCGCCCAGGCACACTCCCACTACTGGTCGATGTGGGAGTTCTGACCTGCTCCCTTTCTGACCTTGGCCAGTTCAGCCACCCTTAGGCAACTTGGTGACCCCCCGCTCACAGGAGGTCACCACACTGATGCCGAACTTAGTGCAGGCACCCGGTCGGCATAATGACCAGCTGTTCTAAAGGTCTCTTCCAACTCCTCAATCCTATGCTGCTAGCAGTCCCCCCTTCCTCCTGGGGCTCTCTCCTCTTCCTCTGAGCGGTCTCCCGTACCTTCCCCAGGGAGAGCCATGAGGCTCAGCTGGGCCGTTAGCTGCTGGTTCTGCTGGCTGGCAGCTTCCAGGTGCTCCTAAGGGGCCAGGACAGAGTGAGAAGGGGTGGAGTTTGCCAGGTCGTCCCCCTCACAGCCCCATCCTCAGCAGCTCCCTCCCCTGGGTCTCCTGCAACTTTTGGCAGGCCATCTCAGCCACCGCTTTGCCCCAAGCTTCCTGCTGCTGCAGCTGGTTCATTAGCTGGGTCTGCTGCAGTCACTGCCTGTACAGCGCCTCCTTCTCACAGGTCAGCTGCTGATAGGCGGCCACCTGCTGCTGATAGGTGGCCACGTACTGCTGCAGGTGACCCAGGTAATGGTCTGGCTGCTGCTGCAGACTCTGAGCCTCTTGGCTCTTCAGCTCCACCTGCAGGAAGACCCTGGGTGTGAGGGCATGTGGTGGCTGGTTTCCAGATTCTGGGCCCATTAATAGGGTAGCGAGGGCACTGTGGGGCTCTGTCAGCTGCCCAGGCCCCTGTCCCCTTACTCCAGGCCTAAGTGACTGCCTCCCTTTCCTAGAACCCCATGCCTCCTTCCCCAGCCTCAAATCTCATACCCTCTTCTCATTTAATCCTCAGCACCTCTGTAAGGAAAATGCTAACTTCCCTTTGAAGTTAAAGAAACAGAGACTTAGAGATGCAAAGTACTTGAATGGTGACCAGTGGAACTGAGGCTGGAATCCAGTTTCAATCTAAGGAGTCTTTTTGTTTTGTTTTCAGACAAGAGTGTCACTCTGTGGCCCAGGCTGGAGTGCAGTGGTGCAATCTCAGCTCACTGCAACCTCCACCTCCTGGGTTGAAGCAATTCTCGTGCCTCAGCCTCCCGAGTAGGTGGAATTACAGGCATGCGCCACAATGTCCTGCTAATTTTTTTTTTTTTTTTTGTAATTTTAGTAGAGATGAGGTTTTACCACATTGGCCAGGCTGATCTCAAACTCCCGACCTCAAGTGATTCTCCTGCCTCAGCCTCCCAAAGTGCTGGGATTATAGGCATGAGCCACTGCACCTGGTATAAGGAGCCTGTTATAGCACTGTCTCTTCCCCTGTGATTGGGGGCTCCATGCCTCTAGCTGGGATGATGATGTCCAGACCTGAGAGGAGCCCAGGGCTACCCACCTTTAAAAGTCAGAGGCAGGAAGCAAGAAACAGTCACAGGACTGCCCTGCGGGGTGCTGTGGTCACCAGCCCCCAGGCTGGAAGCTGCCTCTGGCCTGGCACCTCCCCTCCCAAGAGGCTGCTGCCCGCCTCCCAGCCCTTCTTGGATGGGGTGGAGGTTTCCGTCTCCTTCACCTCGCCAAGCTTCTCCTGTAGCTCCTTTACTTGCTGCTCCAACTGCAGTGCGTTCTTGTTCTCATTGTTCTGGACAGAGAGAAGCAATCAGCAGCCACCCACTGCAGCTGGAGACCCCAGAACTTGGTGTCTGCCTCCCATGGCACTGGGAAGGCTGGAGGCAGGTTAGAAAAATCACCCCCTCTCTCCCACAGCCACCTGGCTCACAGGTGCCTTTAGAAGTAACATTTCATGTGAGGGCTACACTGCCCCATTTTAGAGGTGGGGAAACAAAGGCCCGGAGGGCTAGGGAGGAGGGCAAGCTCCCCAGTTTGGGCAACGCACCGGCTCCTCGAAGACGCTCTGTGGCTTGGCCAGCTGCTGAAGGCTCTTGTGCTGCTCCTGAATCCTCTCCTCCTGCTTCCGAAGCCTCTCTTCCTGCTCCTGAATCCTCTCTTCTTGTCGCTGGTTCAGGAGACTTATGCGCTGATTCTTTTTGACCTGGGCCTGGAGCTCTCCTGCCACTCTCTCTAGTTCCTTCCTCAGGTGCTGCAGCTCCACCTCAGAGGGCACTGCTGGGGGCTCCGGGGGCAAGGGTTCAGCTGACAAAGGAAGCAGATAATAAGGGCCTCTGGATTCTCGGAAAAGAAAAACCCTCCTCTTGGCGCACAGCTCCTCTCAGGCTCCTCAAACTTGGCCTCACTGCTAATGATTCCTCGCACCCAGATGGTAGCCAGTCTTCCAAAGCACATTCAGAGAAAGAGCACTGCGGGTGGCTGGCAACGGGCCCTCTTTCCTGATGGGGACACTGAGACACTGAGACTCATTGAGATGACAAGACTCGCCGTCTCCTGGCACAGATCTCTTTCCCTCTGCCTCAAAGCCCTTCCATCCACCCACCTCCCTGGGGCACTCTAAGCCACCCTCACAGCCCTCTGATGCCAGTCCTGCTCCCAGGTCATGCCAGCCCCATCTTACCCATCTGGTTTTTGAGTTTGGACAAGCTCCTCTCCAGCTTCTCTACCCGACGCATATCTTGCTGCTTCTCTTTCTTTAATGTGCAAATCTGCCCAAAGCACAAGGGGAAAGGGCCTTGGAGAGAGGGGCTGGAGGCTGGACAGGCTGCCCTCTCCCTCTCTGCCCCCACCTCCACAAAGCCCAGACCCATGACCACCTCTGGCTCTACTATTCCCATTTTACAGATGCCCAGAAAGATCCAGTGACCTATCTAATGTGGGGGGGCTGAAGGGTGAGATCTCACCTCCTGCGACATTTTTCTCATCCTCTGCTGCCACCGGGCCCTCTCTCCTTTTAGATGTTCAGCACACTCATCTCTTTCTAATTGGACTTGTTGAAATGACTCCTTCAACTGCAAGAATGGGCACAGAACTTAGGAAGGGCTGTCACTGGTCCTCACCTGCTCCTGGCCACCTGGGGTCATCTTCCTTCCACATAACTCCCTCAGAAAACCTCACCTGTGTCAGCTGCACTTTCAGTAGTGCCTCCTCCCGCATGGACTGCTCTAACTTCCACTCCGTACGTGCTTTGCTGCGGCTGGACAACTGGATGGTGAAGAGTGAGAAGTTTCAATCTGGAGAGCCTGGGCATTTCCACACAGTGCCCCTTAAAAGGACTAGGGCTAGGCCCAATATACAACTCAGTCAGTAAAGATCAAGGCATTTCCAAGCCCGTGGTCTGGTTTTTAAAAGAACACAGTAAAGTTGGAACGGACAGGGAATGAGATTGAATTTATAGCTGGCTAACAGAGGCCCAGAGAGATCAGATAATATTGCTATTGTTATTACTGTTATTATTACCACTGTTTGAACCTTTGTGGAATACTTCACCAGGTACCGTGCTAACAATCCCATTTAATCCTCGCAACCACCATAGGAGACAGTTACTATGATTCCCTCTATTGTGGAGATGAAAAAACATGGAGTATTTGAGGTTAAGTGCTTGCCTAAGTTCACTTAGGCAGAGCTGGGATATAAACACCCAGGTCTATCCAATTCTCTAAGCCCGTTTTTCTTGCTGGGGATGGGGGCACAGATAGGAAGGGGAAAATTAATCTTTTGTTCACTTTTTGAAAGGATGATACATTTGCATAGTCCAAAACTCAGAAGGTACAGAAGGGAAGTATCTCCCGGCCATCTTGTTGCTCTCTCCTGAATTTTTTATGAACCCTTGCAGACATGTTTTATGTATATTATCACAGTATGCACACACACACACACACACACACACACGCACACACGTTTCCTCTTTCTACAGAAATGGTAACATACTAAAGGTACTCTTCTGTACCTTCACAGTAGAAGTACCCAATACCCCACCTAGGACTTGCTCAAGACCACAGCCAGGTAAGGGCGGGGCAGGCATTTGGCCTCCAAGCTCTGCGTCCAGTGCTCACTCCACACAGTGACCCCCAACTCACCCACAGCAGCTGACTCAGCCCCAGGCTGCCACTAAAAACCATACAAAAAAGTAGCAAGAAATGGCCATGCTGCCTTCTGGGCAGGACACGCCATCCTGCAGAAGGGACCTTTAGGCTCACTCCTCCATCTGCAAAGCCAGGCTCCCAGGGGATGGGGCAGGTGGTTGGACTCACCTGGTTTGCCTTCTTCTTCTGTGTGGCCATGACATTAGAGAGAACACTCTCTAACTCTCCTTTACGCTGCAATGAATGTTGCAGGCAGACAGCCAGATCCTTGGACTTTTCTGTAATGAGAAAGTTGAGATGGGGCCCAAAGGACTCCCCCTGAAGACCTGTCAAAGTGCCAGGTTGAAGGATGACAGGGTGCCCAGATTCCCACCTTCAAAGTATCTGAGAGAACGTTTCATGTGGTACAGGTCCGTATTTAGTTTCCCTTTCTGTATGTTCAATGTCTGGATTTGAACCTTTGGGAGAAAAGCCAAGCAAGTGCTGAAAGAGAAGGAAAGAAACCTTCTCCGGAGGACAGGAGGAAACTGCACACCCTCCACTCACCTCTAGCACCCTTTTGGCTTTCTGTTTCTTGTTGTTTGCTTTCTTTTCCTGTAGGAAGAAGAAGACAGAGCTCTTACCAGGGGGAGGCAGAGATGGCACAGCAAGAGACATGCCCCCAGAATGCCACCAATGCCCCAGGACAGGCCCACCCATGGGACCAGGTTATCAGGGGCCCTGTGGGGATGGGGTGGAATCTGAAGGGTGAGCCTTCATCCCCAGGCTGGGAGTGGGTGAGACGAGACTGGGGCCTGTATGTCTGAGTGCCCCCCAAACCCAGCAGTCATGTTGCGAGGAAACGAAATCACGTTACTTCTTCCAGCTGATGTTCCACTTGTTTCTTCTGTTGTTTCTGTGGGGAGAGTCAAATAAGGTGATGGAGGGTGGCCCCCTCAACTCTATTCCCCAGACCAGGAAGTGGTAGGCAGGGGCCAGGAATGGATTTTAAAGGCAAAGTTCTCAGACATAATGGGAACACGAACCGGTAAACTCTCCTCAAGCTCCCAAGGACAGAGGATTTGGGTCTTTGTTGGCTTTTGCCCACAGCCACAGAACTCAAAGTCTGAATCTGGAATCTCTTGAGAGGACAGCAATATAAACCTCTAGAGATGGAGTTTCAGAAAGGCCCCTCCTTCTGGCAACTTGTGATTTAGAGAAGTGGGTTCATTCAATAAACATTTACTGAGCATGTATGGACCAGGTACGGTTCTTTACAGCAGATATAGGATGGAAAAGGACAGACAGGAGCCCTTAGCCCTGAGGTTTCCGTTCTAGGGGGCCTTTAAATCTCAGACTCGAGAGCTAACAGAGACCTTTGATACTCACTACCTCCTCTGGAAACACGAGCCCAAAAAGGAGAGGTGGCTTGTCCAGAATCAAAGAGCAAATTAGGGACTGAGTCATGGCAGAAATACGGGGCCCTTGACAACCAGTCAGGCTAGCACTTCCCCAAGAGGCAACAACCCCAGGGCGTGTGTAGCAAGGACTCGAGCAGGGGTGTCTGGAGAGGAGAGAGTCGGCAAAGAGGGCAGCAAAAGAAGAGCCATGCTGCATGCTCTGGGGTCCCTCCAGGTGAGGCCTGGGCACCCAAGCTCCCTATTTGTCCCAGGCACCAGGGACCCCCAGCCCCTTTCTTCAGGGCCCCAAGGGGAAACTGGAGCCCAGGATTGGCAGCGTGGAATCAGGGGACCCCAGTGGACTCTTACCAGAGATTTGATGGTGTTCTTCAGTTGACTGATTTCTACGGACCTTGAATCCAGGACTACTGCTCGTTCTTGGCACGGGCTCTGAGGTGCATGCAGAGAGGAGGAGGTGGAGCAGGAGTGGGGGGAGAGGTAGAGAGAACAATCATTAGGGCTGGGGTGTGTGGGCTGTCTCAGCTGGCAGAGGGGCACCCAGTCCCACCTGGAGGAGGAGGTTGGAGGGTTGACCCGAAGGGTCACTGCACCTCTGCCCAGAGCCTCTTACCTCCAGATCTTTCAGGGTAGCAGATGATGTAGGGCCTTCCCTGTGGAAACCTGTTGCTGACTACAAGAGATGAGAGTGCACATGGAGATGTTCTGTCCCCCACAGTGTCTGAGCCCTCTGACTTCCTTTCTTCCCCATCAACTGGCAACATTTTCTTTTCTGCCTATCTTGGACCTTTTGTCCCATAACTCCTTTGTGCCAACTTCTCTCATGGTTCTTATCTCCCCACCATCCCATCCTGGGGCCCCTTCAGTGACTCCTGATGGCAAGTGGCTGTTCTCTTTGTCCTGGTTTCCCCTTGAGACTGGGGATGAGGAAAATCAAACCATATCCTGGGTGTCCTGAGTGTTTACAGCAGGCCATGTACTAGGGATTAACATAAAAACAACAATAACAAATCTCATGAAAATTTCACAAATGGAAGTGAAACAATATCACCTCTATTATACAGATGTGAAAAGAGAGGCCCGATGAGGTCTAGCAACTTGCCCTAAATCATATCCCTAGCAGAGCAGATGGAGAGGCAGGATTCAAATCCAGAATTCCTTTTTTTTTTTTCTTTGAGACAGAGTCTTGCTCTGTCACCAGGCTGGAGTGCAGTGGCATAATCTTGGCTACGGCAAGCTCCACCTCCCAGGTTCACACCATTCTCTTGCCTCAGCCTTCTGAGTAGCTGGGACTACAGGCACACGCCACCACGCTTGGCTAATGTTTTTGTATTTTTAGTAGAGACAGGGTTTCACCGTGTTAACCAGGATGGTCTCGATCGCCTGACCTCATGATCCGCCTGCCTTGGCCTCCCAAAGTGCTAGGATTACAGGCGTGGGCCACCACACCCGGCTAAAGCCAGAATTCTTAACCAGTACCCAGCAGTCCATCCACAATCTTAAGAATTACCCTCTATTGCCCCTTGGGCCCCCTGTCCCCAGAAGCCTGGTCAGCCAAGACTCACATCCCCAGGTGGCTGGCAACCACCAGAAGTGGCTTTCTCAGGGACACTGCCATTTGTTTTCCTGTTCCTGTTCGCTCCTGCTGGAACTCTAGGGCTGTTTTTCTGCCAATATTCTTTTAACTGTTGGAAAGAAGAGCAGTAATACTCATGAGAACCGTCAGCCCCTGCAGCCACATCCTCCTTTACAGTTTTTACAAAATACACTTACACACCATCTGATTTAATGACACCAACAACCGTACAAGGTGTTGTCACACTCATTTAGTGACTGAGAAGGATTGATATCATGGCTAGAAAAAAAAAAGAAAAAGGCAATACTGGAACTTTGAAACTCAGTCTTCTGACTCCAAGCTCTGAGGTTTTGCCAAGAATCAGCAGCTGCCAGGGACCAAAACCAGAGGCAGAGGTAGAAAAGTAAACATTAAGTAGGCAGGAACTGTATGCCATGTGGTTTAGAGTCATACATCCTCACACGTCTGTTAGTGTGAAGAAGTGCACCAGTACCTCTCAAACTCTTATATCAATGTGTCCTCATGGCAGAAGGCAGCCTTTCTCTTAAATCAGAATTTATCAGAAAGAGGACAACCCAAGCCTCATTTCAGAGAGAGGGCTGGTATACTCTTAGAAACCTATGTGACTGTCATCCCTAAGTACATTCATGTTTTTTCTCTTGATCTCAAGAGAATCAAGGGAAACTGATGCTTCAGAAAGATGTCCCACATTTATCCTGTGGCACTCAAAGTACCCAAGGTTGAGATAATATGAGGAAGATTCAAGGTGTCAAGTTCAGTTTCCCAAGATCTATTCCACAGAAGATGAGCAAATGTCACTTCAGAGACCACTGACTGAAGGAGAGTCTGGTCCCAGAACCATGGAGAATTAGAATATGAGGTGGAGAACTCAGAAAAAAATGTTAAAATCTCTCTGGAAAGTAGAAGCCTGGGAGAAAACCAAATCAAACCCATTCTCTCATTGCCACCCAGAGATACTGTCAACGTTTTGAGTTCATGGGGGAAGTGTAGGCTTTTCCCACCGTCAACATCTGTAAGGGAGTGAGGCAGCCTGGAACCTCTTGCTCCTAGGTCCCATAGTCTCCATTCCCCTTCCAGCTGGAAATTTGTGCTGTGACCAGAGGAACCAGAAACGGGGTGAGAACGCTTAGGGGACTGGGTCGTAAGATCAAAGGCCAGTCTTGCAGTAACAGCAGTTACTAGGTGGACTGTGACATCACAACATTCCACTCCTCCTGGTCGGGGGGAGGGACCATGTCAGCACCATGTCCAAGTCGCTGCTCCACGATGGGGGAGGGAAGCACAGGGTTGGGACCCAGCTCCTTGGAGACGCCAGCACAAAGAACCCAGGGAGGTCGACCTTGAGGCAGCAGGAGGGGAGGGCACAGTCTGCAGCAGGGAGTCCCAGGAGTCACCAGTCCAAAGTCACCCAGGGATGACTGGCGAGGGTGGGGCCTGGCTCCTTGGAGATGAGAGCCCAAAGAGCCCAGGGAGATCAAGCTTGGGGCGGCAGGAGATGAGGGCCCAGTAATGGAGCGGGAAGCCCCAGGACTCACCCACCCAAAGTCACCCTGGGGTGATTGGCGAGGGCAAGGACTGGGCTGCTTGCTGAAGGGGTGGGGCTGACTGACAAAACTTTGATGGGGGTAGCCCAGAGGCACCGGGGTAGGGGGGACCAGTCCAGTGTGCCTCAGGAGTCGTATAGACTCTGGCAGGGGTCTTGTCATCAGAGGGGATCTGTGGCTGGGTTGAGGGTCTATGACCTAGTGCGTTTTTACCTTTTTCTTGGCTGCAGCCAATTTGTTGTGTTGAGTTTCTTCTGCCATCGCAGGGTGGGGAGGGAGGCAGGGTTGGGGTCACAGCAGCAAAATCTCAATGAGAACCAATCAAGGCCTCCAGTCACCTACCAGGCAGCTGTGTGAGTGAGCCAGAGGAGGCGTAACCAGGGCCCCAGTAGAATGCGGAATAGGGGCGTGGCCTTAATGCTCCAAGCCCATTGGTCAATGAGAAAGATGAAAAGGAAAGGGGGCGTGGCCAGAAAGCAGTGTGTCCAGAGGGCCCTGTGGCTCACAAGGAAAGCTGCCCATGGCAACCGCTCTCCCCACCCACTCTAAGAGAGGGGAGAGGCCTCCCACTCTGGAAGAGAAGAGGGGCCGGCTTTTGCTTTAAAAGCTTTAAAACTTTAAAAAATATATGTGTGTATACTTTATATATATGTGTGTCTGTGTGTGTGTATCTATGTTTTTCTCCTTAGCTGTCTTCATTATCCAGCTTCTATGCAAGGTCTATGATTTTGGCCTATATTTTTCATCTTTGATTACAGTACAAAAATTACCAGTATTACCTTAACTGAGATACAGATCCTATAAAAATGGAAAATGCATAGCATGCTTGATGATTAATGAAGCAGACTATATTATCCAACATTCTAATAAGATAAAATAATCACAATGATTTCTCTTTTTTGGAAAAATGTTTCTCTTATTCTCCTGCGTTTTCGTTAAGATTTTTTTTCTTAAACAAGAAACATGTCTAATATCTGTAAAAACACAAAGCTTTTTGGGCAGGGTGCAGTGGCTCATGCCTGTAATTCCAGGACTTTGAGAGCCCCAGGTGGGTGGATCATGAGGTCAGGAGATCGAGACCATCCTGGCTAACACGGTGAAATCCCATCTCTACTAAAAATACAAAAAAGGCCGGATGGGGTGGCAGGCAACTGTAGTCTCAGCTACTTGGGAGGCTGAGGCAGGAGAATGACATGAAACCCCGAGGTGGAGCTTGCAGTGAGCCAAGATCATGCCGCTGCACTCCAGCCTGGCTACAGAGCAAGACTCCATCTCAATAAATAAATAAATTAATTAATTAATTAATAAAAATAAAAAATTAATAGTAAGAGCAATGTGAACAAAAGTTGTAATAAAATAATTTAGAAAATACAAACTATTAAAAAATAGATTTTAAAACTTGTGCAACAAAGTCAAACAGCACCCAACGAAAATGTATACCCTTATATGTTTGTTTAAAAAGCAATTTAAATTACATTGATCCACTAAACTGGGAAAAGCAAAACAAACAAAAAGGGGGAAATAATTAAGACATAAGGAAAAAGGAAAAAGAAAAACCACTAGATTTAAAAAATAAAACTAAAGGAGGATTCTTTCAAAAGACTGAGATAATAAAACAGTCAAGCCTCTGATAAGTAATCAAGATAAAGAAAACTTTGAAGAGAAAAGGGCATATAGCCACATGTGAATATGATGCAAAAAGTGAAAACTTTACACATCTTTACAACACCTTAGAAGTATGGATGACATGTTCATTTTTTTTTTTTTTTTTGAGACGGAGTCTTGCTCTGTCACCCACGCTGGAGTGCAGTGGCGTGATCTTGGCTCACTGCAAGCTCCGCCTCCCGGGTTCACAACATTCTCCTGCCTCAACCTCCCGAGTAGCTGGGACTACAGGCGCCCGCCACCACGCCTGGCTGATTTTTTGTATTTTGGCTTAGTAGAGACGGGGTTTCACCATGTTAGCCAGGATGGTCTCGATCTCCTGACCTCGTGATCCACCCGCCTCGGCCTCCCAAAGTGCTGGGATTACAGGCATGAGCCATCGCACCCGGCCAAAGTGTTCATTTTTTTTTTTTTAAGAACCTACAGTTATGAAAACTAACTGGAAAGAAATGGGTTTTGGGAAAGATTGAGTACATTTTTGTGATGTTCAACATTATTTTTTCTTACAGTTTTAAAAACACAATTGATGTTTCTATCAATTTGACTTAAAAAAATTAAGAACTATATTAAAATTTACCAGCAGAGGGGAGTGAAGGAACACAAAGCAACTTTCAGTTTAGGGTAATTTTTGGGCATAAACAGGGCAGCAATGTCCTCAACTCTATTCTTCTTTATTAGCCAGTGAATCCATGTGAGCTCATTAAATGTTATTAACAGCTCAGTCTATAATGGAGGGCAAATAAAGAGACTTGTAGGTCACAAAGGTATTGACTTTTGATCAGAAGTTCCAGGGGGCGAGAAGAATGAACTAACTCCATGCATTCTTTTTTTGTTTTTGTTTTTGTTTTTTTTGAGACGGAGTCTTCCTCTTTTGCCCAGGCTGGAGTGCGGTGGCTCAATCTCGGCTCACTGCAAGCTCCGCCTCCCAGGTTCACGCCATTCTCCTGCCTCAGCCTCCCGAGTAGCTGGGACTACAGGCGCCCACCACCACGCCCAGCTAATTTTTTGTATTTTTTAGTAGAGACGCGGTTTCCTCGTGTTAGCCAAGATGGTCTCGATCTCCTGACCTCGTGATCTGTCCGCCTCGGCCTCCCAAAGTGCTGGGATTACAGGCATGAGCCACCGCGTCCGGCTCCATGCATTCTTATGGCCACATTTTTCCAGTTTGAAGTTTTATTTTCCGAGTTTCTTGAAACAATTGTGAAATCAGTTTTATTACACTAAAATCACTGTATTTTCTTATTTTTGGATATCTATTTAAAAATATTCATTTAGAATGACATTCCAGTGAAATACATTTTTAACGGCTGTTCTATGTCACAGGGATAACAATTTGACTTTCACAAACTGTATTTCAGACGTACAAGGTCTTCATTTTGATGAAGAGGGGCTGTGGGAACATAATCTGATGCCTGTTCAAAATGTACCAGAAGTGCACGCATGTGTATGCAGGCATGAGCGCACACACACACACACACACACAAAACCCCATTGGGATTCCATTTAGCACACACACACACACACACACACACACACAAACCCCACTGGGATTCCAGTTAGCACGCGCACACACACACACACAGACACACACACACAGCCCATTGGGATTCCAGTTATTTACCTCGAGATGGATGCTTGCTGATGTTCCAAAACCTCTTTAGGTCTTAAGGCAAAGGGCCTTTTGAATGCAAAAACCCTTACCTAGATGGAATAGACAGCAGCAATCATTGTCAACAACCTGAAATATATATTGAGTAGTTCCCATGCTAGACATTAGAGACATAAAGATGCAGAAGAGGCCATCGCCTTAAGGGAAATAATCCCGTTCAGACAAATGAGAATACATTGTGTAATGAGCTATCTCTTATAGGAAAGATGAAGACCAATCACCAACAGACCAGAATTCCAATATTTCACCAACTTGTAATATTATTCCAACTTCTCCTTCACATTCACTTAATTCTCATAGAGCAGTAACCAGAGTTTTGTGTTCTTTTTCTTTTTCTCTTCTTCTTCTTTTTTTTAAAAAACAAAGTCTTGCTTTGTCGCCCAGGGTGAAGTGCAGTTGTGCGATCTCGACTCACTGCAGCCTCCACCTTTTGGGTTCAAGAGATTCTCATGCCTGAGCCTCTTGAGTAGCTGGGATTACAAGCATCTGCTACCATGCATGGCTAATTTTTGTCTTTTTAGTAGAGACAGGGGGTTTTATCACATTGGTCAGGCTGGTCAGTTTTGTGTTCTTACTAGAGAGTTCTACTCTGTTATGTCAGAGAAGGAAAATGTCTTTTGATTTCATTTCAATGAAATGTCTATTCATTAATTACATCTTCATTGGCATTTCATACAGGATTAAGACTATCTTCTTTGCCTTAATGGTATACTGTGTGCATTGTTCCTTACCCATCGTAGCAGCTTTGAAGGTCTTTTATCCATATTGGTATTTTCCAGTACCAGAAAACCAAGTCTTGAAAGAAGGACTTCATGTCTTATCCATGGACACGCCATGGTTCCAGAATGTGTTGTCAGTTGATAAGATAGGCTTGATTTGTTACTGGTCTTAATGAGGGCTTTAGGTCAGCACACCAGGCAATGTAGGAGTTCTGGGACTGTTAGGGAAGGCCTGATGGAGAAAATGGAATGTTAGCTGGGCTTTAAAGAGAAAGTAGAAATTAGATCACTGGGGGAGGGGGTAATGTAAAAAACATTCCAGGTAAGAGAAAGTGCTTAGCAAGTAAGAAAGCATCCAAAATATTAGAAAGTACCAGGCTGGTGCAGTGGCTCACACCTGTAATCCCAGCACTTTGGGAGGCCAAGGCAAGTGGATCACTTGAAGCCAGGAGTTCAAGACCAGCCTGGCCAATATGGTGAAACCCTGTCTCTACTAAAAATACAAAAGTTAGCGGGGCATGGTGGCATGAACCTGCAGTCCCAGCTACTTGTGGGGCTGGGGCTGAGGCTGAGAATCTCTTGAACCTGGGAAACAGAGGTTGCAGTGAGCCGAGATCACACCACTGCACTACAGCCTGGGCAACAGAGCGAGACTCTGTCTCAAAAAATAAATGAATAAATAAGTAAAATAAAAATAAAATGCTTACAGGAACTTCAACCACAATTTTTCTTGTTCACTGATAGTAAATCTAATAGAGAATTCAGGATTTATCTTACACTTGAAATTTTGTTACTGATTACTGAAAAATTATCTACAAGCACCCAATTGTGAGTTTTACAGAAACCTGGTCTCAGGAGTTATGAACCAAAGATTCACCAGTGGACTCCGCAGAGTTTTCAGATCCCCTGAAATCATGTGCTAGGTGCTGACTGCATTTTTCTGGAGAGGCTATAATGGTTTTCATTCATCTGATTCCTCTCAAATGGTAAAAATCACCAATGGAATGGAGCCACACATCCTGTAGCAGAAACTTCTAAAAAACCAGGAAAAAGATGAAACATGGTACCATGTACCTGCTCAGCCTCTACAGATCCTGCTTCTGGAAGTTGAAACAAATTCTTAAAACTTGCACAACTTTTTTTCTAGTGCTTGAATGACCTCTAGTGGCTCCTTAAATTATCACAGCCAATTGCTCACAGCAGGAAATAGGTTGATGCGAAAGAAATTCACAGATTTTGCCATTAAAAGTAACGAACTAAAGAACTAAAAGGTGTGGAGAAATAATAAAATTAAGATGGCATCACAAAGGAGCACCTGGCTCAATTTCAAGTTATTATATAAGCTCCCTACTATCCAACCAAATGTAGTTCACAATACAGTGTGTGTAATTCAAAACAGTTCACCAGATAGTTCAGTACACACCATTTTTTAAATGAAATAAGTATGATTTTCCCTAAGGTCTTGCATTTCAAATTAATAAAGCATCAGCAAACACCCATGAAGAGAACAGTACCGGAATCAAAGATACAAGAACCTCGGGAATTAACACCCACCCTTTCCTCTCAGTTGAGGCAGGACCAGGAATACAACGTTGACAAAGTATAACTGGAGTAGCAGAAATACTTTGAGAATACAAACTGGCCACAGAACTCAACCTGAGTGAGCACAAGTAACAAATATGGTCCAGGAACTGCTGGGCCAAACTCTCCAAGTGGGAGTGCAGCAGCCGCAACAGCAAGTACCAGTAGAACAAGGGCAGCACATCACCCAGGGTGACAAGCAGGTCCCAGATTACTTCACATGCCCTCTGCCCAGTCCCTTGAGAATTCCTGCAGCAGCAAAACATACCATCTTCCAGGCACTGCTACAGGGAGTCCCAAGCATACTGATACACTTTCATTCACTTATTTCAAAATATTTGTCAGTATCTAGATATACACAAGACACTGTCTAGGCACGGGGGTGGAGTGTTGAACAAGACAATTCACAATCCCTGTTCCAATGGAGCTTGTAGTCTAGTATGGAAAGAGAAATAAATACATAAAATGCCAGGTGGTGATATATGCTGTGAAAAAGATCAAGTAGAACAAGGGGTTTGGAAATTACAGGGTGCCCATAGTATTCTTTTCTATAAGTTGATCATCTCAATTCAGACTAGCTGTTCTTCAAGCACTCAATAGCCACAGTGGCTGGTGGCTACTATACTGGATAGTGGAACACATCTGAAACTATCATCCATGCCTTTTTAATTCACAATCTTTATCCTCTTTCTTTCTGAATCCTAAGAGAATTCATCCAACTGATCTTCAAATTCACTAACTCAGCTTCCTAAAGTATCCATAATCTACTGCAACTACTGAATCATTTAATTCAACAGTCATATTTTACATATTCAGAGGCTCTTCCTTCACAGCTTCTGAGCAACAAATGCCTGCTCTGACGATGCAGGAATATCCTCTAAAATCTTGGGACTTTGTCTTGGACTTTATGTTCTCTCCCATCTTCTATAGCTACTCCATCTCACTGGAGACCTTTTGCTCTGAGCCATCAGAAGGAACCCCCATTTTTAAGATCCTAAGCCTTCTCATCTTCCTGGTAATACTGCCCTATATGCTCAATCTTTTAGATAAAAATCTACTCGACACATCTCTGAGAACCAAGTTGGGTACCATCAGTAATCACATAGGTAACAATTCATTTATTTTAGGCCCCCCCAAAAAGGAAACAATTAGACTTAGTGGCATTTTACTAGTAGCTCAGAGATCCAACAGTTTGCAGGAAATAGAGATGGAATTGTAAGCAAGGGAAATACAGTGAAATTATATTAATCTCCACCCAGACACTGTAAGGCCAGCTGGTATACTATCCCAGCAATTGGCTACTGCAGTGAATGGCACAGAGAGAAAAGTTTCCAATTCCTCTTGAGGCTCCAAATACCAATTGGCTACTATAGTGGACAACACAGACATAGAAAGTTTTCCAATTCCTCTTAAAGCCCCAAATACCACACAACCAGCTTCAGCTCTACAAAATCCTCTCTCCTTTACCCTTTTTAACCTCCTTCAGGACCTCTTGCTATTTCCCCTAAAAAGCCTTGGTTCTTTTCACCTACACTGACTCTTGAGCCTCTCCCAGTTCAAGGTATAACACTCTATTACCAATAAAGTGTAATATACATTAACAGAATAGGTAGAAAGTAATCTTTCATACGAAAACACTAAAAGCCAGAAGAATTTGAATTTTGAATTATAAGCTATGATTTAATTAGGAAATACATTACCTGTAACAAAATGTTGGACAGACTACAAGAAAACGGGAAATGCACAAGTCTTATTCAAAAACAAATGAAATAATGATGAGTAGGGTTCACGAGCCTTGTTAACTCTGCTGTGCCATTTTAATGATGGACTACATTGTAAATGAGCCGCTATGTTTAAGCCTAAAGGTCTGTTGAGGTGATAAGTTTTTGAACAATTTCCACAATCCCACAAAGAAAAGTCAAGTGAAGGTCAAGGAAAGCCGCATGTTCTAAATTACAGAATCAACAACAGTACTTCTTGTCATTCATCACATTTCAGTCATAAAAGACATTACCTCAACAACAGGTGTATTTTCCTGGAGATCAGTTTTGTGCGAAGCCAGTAAACCAATCACCCGAGCAACCTTGGCCCATCTGTAAACGGAGAGAAAACAGGCTCTGAAGAGAAGAGTCAGGGACTGAGGAAACTAACCCCAGCTAGTTACATTATGCAATGATGAGCATTAGATATAAGACTGTGAAATAAAAATTGAATGTGACAGGTCAGGCCCACACTCCCCCATGTACACAGCCCAGAGAAACTCTCCCTCGTATACACAGGGAGACATGAACTGTAATGTCTGCTGTAATTCTGCAACAGCAACAAAATTTAAACAAGTTATGGTGTAATAGTAAAAGGAAAAACAAAATTTGTTAAAAGCCTTAACCAGAGAAAAGAGCAACACAGTAATTAATCATTTTATTGCTGAGTACAGAGGCATTTGGCTAAAGGTCTCTTTTCTACTTGTTAGTAGATCAGTGAGTTTCTACGTAAGTGCTAAATATCTGAACAATAACATATCTGTATGTATTCATTTTAAAAGAAATTTTTACAATCAAAAGTTTCTAAAATATTGTACTATTTCCATAATCACTAGTCTTAATGAGGTGTGCCTTTAGTATCCAGCAGAAAACTGAATTTGATAAATCACAATTAATAAATCACATTCAGTGTGATTTGAAAAGGTATTTCATGCAGAAAAATTAGTTTTGATGAGAATTTTTTCTAATTGAAACAAATGGTGAGTTGATGAGAACTGCACTCATTGGGTGATGTCTGCATGTTGTCTGGAATAATCAATATGTACCTTAGTCAGCTTTTATTTTTTACCTTCTTAAAATAAACCTATGTGGCACCCATGGAGGAAAACAAATCAGACTCAGAGAAGTACTTCAGGGAAAATGTCTGCGTTATCACAACTCTAACATACAGAAATAATTCTTAGAAATTTCAACACTTATTAAATTGCCCATTAAAATTTCTTAACATATACAACTTAAAGAAGACCTAGGCAATTGTAGAACTAGCATCCTACCTCTGAATAAAAAGATTATAGTTTAAAAGTAATCATTTTGAAAAATATCTGTAGGATAATTGGAAAAGCCATCCTCCCACCACAACCCCCCAAGTAGCTGGGACTACAGGCGTGCACCACCACGCTCAGCTAATTTTTTTACTTTTTGTAGAGATGGGGTCTCGCTATGATGCCCAGGCTGGCCTTGAGCTCCTGACAAACAATCCTCCCATCTCAGCCTCCCAAACTGCTGCGATTACAGGTCTGAGCCACTGCACCTGCCTGTCTATCTCTTTTCAAAGACAAGCTCAAAATACTTTTGAAACACTGAACCATTTTTCAATCTATAAAAGTAAATAATGGCTACCAGATTTAATCAATGGAAATAAAAATGTATCAACAAGCCAATTATTTTCCCTAATATGACCAAAACAATTCCTATTAGAACAAAAGAAAACACACTACCTAAAAACCCTATACTTTTAAAATAGAAACTTTAAATAGCTTATGAATAGTCACTTTTTACCAAAATCCTAAATACAAGTACCACATGCCCCATAGACAACACCCTCACAGTACAGGTTCCTTCTCAAAATTCAGGTTTTCTCAGGTCACCACTCCAGGTGCCCCCAGTGACTTGACACTGTACCTCAGAACCAACCCATCTCCATGACGGCATCTAAGGCACCACTGTCTACCAAACCTTCGTGCACTGACAAATGTCCCACATCTGCACTGTTCAATCCAGTATCCACTAGACACATGACTATCAAGCACATAATATATGACACATGCAAGTGAGGAACAACAAATTTTATTCAAATTAATTTTTTTTTTTTTTTGGGAGACAGGGTCATCCAAGCTAGAGAGCAGTGGCGCAGTCTCCGCTCACTGCAATGCCTCCCGGGCTCAAGTAATCCTCCCAATTCAGCCTCCCAAGTAGCCGGGACTGTAGGTGTGTGTCACCACACCTGGCTAATTTTTGTATTTTTAGTAAAAACAGGGTTTCACCATGTTGTCCAGGCTGGTCTTGAACTCCTGAGCTCAACTGATCTGCCCACCTCAGCCTCCCAAAGTGCTGGGATTATAGGCGTGAGCCACTGTATTTGGCCTTAATTTTTATTTTAAAAATTACCCCCACAGTTGAGGGTGAGGGAGACAGTGCCCTGGGGTAATTAGTCATCTTTCATGTGCCTAGTCCTGGTTACCTCGTAAGTAGGACCGATAACAATACATACCGCATGTTGTTAAAAGAATCAAAGGAGATAATCCATGTGCAGAAAGTACCATTGTGTCCGACAATACATGCTGAATGAGTAAGCTACTATTAATTTAACTAATTTAAATAACCCCCATGAAGTGAATGGCTACCACATTAGAGCAGAACTAAAATTTTGCAGTTACTTATTCATTCGTTGACTGGTTTATTGTCTGTCTCCTCGACCAGCCCAGAAGATCCATGAAGGCAGGACTGTATCCCGATCGCCACTGTGACACCTAGACAGTGCTTGGAGCGCACTCGGGCATCTAAAAATGTTGGTTGAACAAATATATCAACATCAAAAGCAAAATAAACACATTAGTAGGAAAGGAGTGCATAAAAGTATGGCTGTCCAAGGCAAACAAAATGCAAACAGGATTGCCAATGTAAATCTCAGCAGAATTCAAGGCTAAACTCTTCAGAAGAAGATTCCCTTTAAACGAAACACCATATGACCTACAGAAGATCTAAGGTGTGAATCTTTATACACCAAATAACAAAGCACGCAAAGTAAACCCATGGTAGTGGTAAACTTCAATTTTCTTCTCTTCCAAGCACAGAGAGAAGGCAATAACGAATATATTAATCAATACATTCACACATTCAAGCATCCTAAATAAAACTAATGAAGTCAAAGTAACAGACGTATCTATCAAACTCTACACCCTACAAACAGTGACCACCCTTACTCAGTGGGAGGCTGCATAGGATGGTGTCTAACACTCTAGAATTCAAAGTCTTGGACCTAGCTCTGGCCCACCATTGGAGGTGAGGGAGACAGTACCCTGGGATAATTACTCATCTTTCATGAGCCTGGTTTCATGTTGTTCTAAGAATCAGGAGATAATCCACATGCAGAAATTACCACTGTGTCCTGACAATTTGTGCTGACTGAGCAAACTACTAGTACTACATTATTATCAATACTTGACTACATTCATGGCATACATTTAAAATGATTTTATATTGGACCACAAAGATAAATTATTAGAATTCCCTAGGGCAGAAATTATAAAGGACTCATTTTGATGTAGCAAAAGGAAAAAAGTAAAAATAACAAATACAAACCAAAAAACCTAAACACGTGTGGAGTTAAAAGCACTTCTCCTGGGCATGGTGGCTCACGCCTGTAATCCCAACACTTTGGGAGGCCAGGGCAGGCTGATTACTTGAGGTCAGAAGTTCAAAACCAGCCTGGCCAACATGGTGAAATGCCATCTCTACTAAAAAATACAAAAATTAGTCAGGCGTGGTGGTGGGCGCCTGTAATCCCAGCTACTTGGGAGGCTGAGGCAGGAGAATCGCTTGAACCCAGGAGGCGGAGGTTTCAGTGAGCCGAGATCGTGCCACTGCACTCCAGCCTGGGCAACAGAGCGAGACTCCGTCTCAAAAATAAATAAATAAATAAAATAAAGCACTTCTAAACCTTATACATCATATTAAAAAATAAAAACTTTGGCCGGGTACAGTGGTTCACACCTGTAATCCCCAGCACTTTAGGAGGACAAGATGGAAGGATCACTAAGGCCAGGAGTTCAAGACCAGCCTGGCCAACAAAGTGAGACCCTGTCTCTAAAAAAAAAAAAAAAAAAAAAAAAATTTAATTTAGCCAGGCATGGTGGCATGTACCTGTAGTCCCATTCCAGTCTGGGGAACACAGTGAGACCCTATTTTTTTTAGAGTGAGTCTCTAAAAATAATAATAATAAAAAATACATAAAAGAAACAAAAGGAAAAATAAAAGGGAAAGGGAAAGAAATAAAGCATCCCTAAATCACAATCGTGTAAGTAACACAGATGCAAACTTATGAGATATTCTCTGTCTTTAATGATTGCACACTGAACACTTGACACTCACTTTTCTGAACCCTCTAGAGTCTCTAAAATACAAGCTCTTTTTATTAAATGATAATTGGAAACAAAAAGGAGGGCTAAAAGTGGACTAGAAAGTTTGAGAAAATCTCAGATGACATGCACAAATAGAATTAAGACTGACAGAGAATCAACAAAGGAATCCCCTGTCTAAGAACCACAGGTAGACAGACGTTCCCAAGGAAGCCTCAGGGACTTGGAATAAACTAAGACAAAAAGAAAGAATGAGCCACAGGACAATAATCAGATTAAACAACTGCACAAGGAAAAATTGTGTCCTTGTACAAGGAACAGCAGAGCCAATCAGGTCCTGTCTCTTTTCCATCTCCCTTCCCTGGTACACAGAATAAACCCTGCAGCCCTGGCCTCCTGGGTAAATGTGGAAAATCATTCCTACAGTGAGCAATCCACCTTGCTCACTGGATGGATGGATGTGGGAAGCAGCAACTGTGGTCCTCCAGATACCGAAGCGGGGAAGGGAATAAATGAGGAAAGCCAGTTCCACTGCAAAGAAAAACCCACCCTGGCAATTGCAGAGGCCTCCAGCCTGCCTACTGATCTTCAGCCAGCTGGAATCCCAAATTAAAGTCAACCAGTCAACAGGCCTCACCTACCCACATACCAGCCCTTTCTTTAAAGGAGAAGCTATTGGAGAAAGAGACTTAGGCAAGAATAAAGGAAACTCCTATTGCCAACTTCTATACCAATCAATTTAATCATTTATTCATAATATAAATGAAGAACCAGAGATCACCAGGCATTTGAGAAATAAACAGCATTAAAAAGCAGGACCATGATGAAAAAGAAGTGACCTGCAAGTTCAAGAGATAAGAATACAATGTTCATAATCCTAATTTTGTTCCCTTTTTTTCAAAGTCCAGGTTCCAGGCTTATATTATATAATCCTAATGTTTAGCCTTAAATATTAATAACAATATTTAATTCTAAATTCTGCTCCAAGATGAGGATTTTTATAATCCTAATATTTATCCTCAAATTCAAAAGTATATTATACACCAAATATAGGCAGCTAGGAAAAAGGACCAATCAGAGAAAAAGAAAATGAACAAAAACTTTCAAATATGATTGTTGAAATTAAAAAATTAACTGGAAATCCTAAATAATAAAATGAGTGGGGATAAATATCAAGTTTGAGAGCTCAAAGATAAAGTCAAGGAAGAGCAATAAAAGAAGAAAGTTTGCATGGACACAAAGAGGGAACAATCGACACGGGGGCCTATTTAGGGTGGAGGGTGGGAGGAGGGAGAGGATCAGAAAAAATAACAATTGGTCCTTACCAAGCTTAGTGCCTGGGTGACCAAATAATTCATACAACAAACCCCCATAACATGAGTTCACCTATATAACAAACCTGCATGTGTACCCCTGAACCTAAAATAAAAGTTTAACAAAGAGACTTTGGCAGTTCTTCAAAAGGTTCAACACAGAGTTACCATTTTATCCAGCAATCTCACCACTGTAGGAGAAATAAAAACGTATATGTTCACACAAAACCCTGTGGACAAATGTTCAGAGCACCATTATTCATAATAGCCAAATGTGGAAACAACCCCAAATGTCCATCAAGACCACATAAGCAAAATGTGGAATAGCCATACAAAGATTATTCAGCTAGAAAAAGAATGAAGTACTCACACATTCCACCATACGGAGGAACCTTGAAAACATTATGCTAAATGACAGAAGCTAGACACAAAAGGCCACACACTGTATGATTCCATTTATATGAAATATCAAGAATAGCAAATCAGCTGACAAGAAGTAGATTAGTTGTTGCCAGGGGTTGGAGAAGAATGGGTACTGGGTTTCACTGGGTGAGAAAACTGTTCTGAAATTAGATAGTGGCGATGGTTGAACAGTTTTCAATATACTGACACCTACTGAACTGTACACATTAAAATGGTGAATTTTATGGTATGTGAATTATATCTCAATAAACAAGAGCAAGTGAGAAAGCAAAAGAAAATTTGAAAGAAGAGTCAAGAGACACAAACTCCCACACCCATCCTGTAGGGGTTTCAGGAACAGAAAAAGGGTGAAATAGAGAGGAAGAAATCTAGGAAGTAATATAATAGCTAAAGGAGGGGTGAGGAGGCTGGGCATTGTGGCTCACACCTGTAATCCCAGCACTTTGGGAAGCCAAGGCGGGAGGATCACATGAGGTCAGGAGTTCGAGACCAGCCTGGCCAACATGGTGAAAACCCATCTCTGAACTAAAAATACAAAAATAAGCTGGGCATGGTGGCGTACACCTGTAATCCCAGCTACTTATGAGGCTAAGGCAGGAGAACTGCTTGAACCCGGGAGGCGGAGGTTGCAGTGAGCCAAGATTGCGCCACTGCACTCCAGCCTGGGCAACAGAGCAAGACTCTATCTCAAAATAAATGGAAAGAAAAGAAGGGAAGGAAGGGACGGGAGGGGGGAAGGAAGGGATGGGAGGGAGGGAGAGAGAGAGGAAGGGAAGAAGGAAGGAAGGAATTAAGGAAGGAAGGAAGGAAAGAAGGAAGGAAGGAAGGAAGGCAGGCAGGCAGAAGCAAATTAGTAAAAAGAGATGGCAGGCAGGCAGGCTGAAGCAAATTAGTAAAATGAAATTCCTAGAGACAATCTAGTAAAATTTACAGGCCTGGAATAAAAAGAAAAGCTAACTCAAACAAGACCTACAAAATAGGGAGGAAAAAAGAAGGTAAGGTTGACTCCCAAGTCCTACAGAGCTACAGTTAGTAAAGAGAAGACAGCTCAAACTCCAAAGCATGGCACAGAGGTAAGCCACTGAGAGGCCTTCTTGAAAACAAAACAAAACAAAAAATCTACCAGCTGGGTGCGGTGGCTCACACCTATAATCCCAGCACTTTGGGGGGCCAAAGCGGGTGGATCACCTGAGGTCAGGAGTTCAAGACCATCTGGCCAACACGGTGAAACCTCGTCTCTACAAAAATACAAAAATTGCTGGGCATGATGGCAGGTGCCTGTAATCCCAGCTACTTGGGAGGCTGAGATGGAATGATCGCTTGAACCTGGGAGGCAGAGGTTGCAGTGAGCCGAGATCACGCCACTGCACTCCAGCGTGGGCGACAGAGCGAGACTCAATCTCAAAAAAAAAAAAAAAAAATTGGCAAATGACTTGACTAGACCTTTCTCCAAGGAAGATATACAAATAGCCAACAATCACAAAAAAAGATGTTCAACATCACTAGTCACAAAATACAAATCAAACCCATGAGATACTAACTTCACACCCATCAGGTGTGAAAACACTAATGTTCATAGCAGCATTGTTCACAATAGCCAAAAGATATAAACAAGCCAGTGCCCAACAACAGATGAAAAGATAAACTGTGGTATATTACATACAAAGGGATATTATTCAGCCTTAAAAAGGAATGAAATGCTGACACATGTTAGTTACAACATGGATAAACCTTGCAAATGAAACCAGCCCAATTGTCCTATAGAACTGATGTTTACAGTCTTTTAAAATAAAGATAGAAATTGACCCTCCCAGTCTTAAAACTTGAGAAAATTACATTTGTCTTATCTGAGTTCCTTTCTTGGGAAACCAACCATCAGGCCTCCCAGATAGTTATCAAGGAACTGAAACTTACCAGATCACCACATCTGGACCATAAGACACCAGACCACCTCACCCATCACAATTGCCTAACCAACTACCTGCTTCCTGTCGACCAACTCCTCTCCCTCACCCTTCCCTAACTCCTGTTTTCCCATACGTGGTTACATTTCTTCCCTGCTAAATAAACCCGTGGTTTTAGTCAGTCGAGGAGACAAATTTGAGATTGATCTCCCATCTCCTTAGCTGCAGCACCCAATTGAAGCCTTCTTCCCTAGCAACACTCATCGTCTCCGTGATTGGCTTTCTGCGCTGTGAGCAACAGGACCTAGACCAAACCCCTCGATGTTTCAGTAGCAATATGAGGTACTCACCATAAGCAAATTTACCAAGATAGAATAAGTAGAGTATAGGTTACCAGGACTGGGGAAGGGAAAGGAAAGGGGAAGTTATGTTTAACGGGTAAAGAGCTTCTGTTCAAGATGACGAAAAAGTTCTGGAAATGAATAGTGGTGATGGTTACACAACAATGGGAATGAACTAAATGTCACTGTACACATAAAAATAGCTAAAATGGAACATTTTAAATTATGTGTAATTTACAAGTAACACATTTTAAAGTTACAGTATTACACTATTACTATATATGAATTATACCTCATAAAGTTGATTGGCAAGGATAAAAGGATATACAATTTGATAAATACTCAACGTTGGAAGTTCTAACAAAAGGCATTTTAAACACATTGACTGGGATTATCTATTGATACAATGTTTTTTAAAGAGTATTTCAGCAATTTTTCAGAAGTCACAAAGATATTTACTGCCTTCTACCCATTTGTTCTAGTTCTATGAATCTTTCCTAAAGGGAAAAAGAAAAAGCGGGCACGAAGATTTAATCTCAAAAATGTTCATCAAAATGTTGTTTACAACATTATAATACTATCCAAAAATAGTAAACAAAATGATCAGATATTCACAACATATAAAACGTTTACCTTAAGTATTATGTATTTTATTTTAAAATGTTGATAACATTTAAAATACATAATATATATGTTATGGGGGAAAACAAACATAAAAAACTATATCATGTGATTCTAATTTTTTATAAGCAAAACAAAACTAAGTATCTACTTCAATAATAATTATCTCCCAGACTAGGTTAAGGACCCTTTATCATATGCTATCAAGGTAATATAACCTGAGGTCAGAGAAAACCTCGCTGGAAGTGGCTTTGGATGGAGAAAGAGAATAAAAGAAGATTCCTACCAGAGAACTTGTCTACCTCAGTATCATTTTATTCAAATTAAAACTGTTTTACAATCAAACCTCAATTTTTAACAGTGGGGGAAAAAACAGTATGTGTTAATTTTAGTATCCAAGGGGATACTAGAACCATTCTCCTGGCTGATACAGAGGGATGACTGTTCTCGGAAATGATTTGGAATGTCTGTCTGAAAATGTCAGCAGGGAGCACCCCATTCAGGTATATAACACGTTTTAAATAAAAGTGTTTAAATACATATTTCATTGATTCATTTTTAATGAGCATACCATAAGCCTTCTCAAAGTATTAAATGCTCAACCATTACCTAAAAATCCTACTTTCTATTACCAGATTTTACTTTGCGAGAGTAACATTAGAAGACGTATAATAAGAATTACCCTTATTATTAAACATTTTCTAAACTCCTATTGTTTCACCCATATTTCACCAGCATAGAAGAATAATTATTATACCACTGCCACAATTCACAAAATCCTTTCACCTCCGTTTTTTCATGTGCCTGTCCTAACAATCATGAGATAAGCAAGCTTCATGATAATAACTACAACTTCTACAACCCCAACCCCACTGTCAATGAAATACCCACTAAGAATCAGGCACTATACGGCCAGGCACGGTGGCTCATGCCTGTAATCCCAGCACTTTGGGAGGCTGAGGTGGGCAGATCACGAGGTCAGGAGATCGAGACCACGGTGAAAAAAATTAGCCGGGCGGGCGCGGTGGCGGGCGCCTGTAGTCCCAGCTACTAAGGAGGCTGAGGCAGGAGAATGGCGTGAACCCGGGAGGCGGAGCTTGCAGTGAGCTGAGATCGCACCACTGCTCTCCAGCCTGGGTGACAGAGGGAGATGCCGACTCAGAAAAAAAAAAAAAGAAAGAAAGAAACAGGCACTATACCAGGTATCTCACATATTTACCACATTCAAAGTTGAATAATTACCAAAAATCTATGAAGTAGTTATCCCATCGCAATTTTACAGATGAGGAAACTGCGGCTCAGCAATTAAAGTAATTGGCCCAGAAAGCAGATCTTTGATCCACACCCAGGTCTGTCTGAATCCTAAACCTATGCCATTTCCTTGTCCCACCCACACTCCCCAGGAAACAGAGATTGAGAAAAAGATAATCATTTGGCCAAGTCTTATAGGCAACAGGAACCCAGAGCCTTCTAACACTTGATCTACGGTGCTTTCCACCTGGTATGTTGCTTCTATAAAAAGTAAGGACACTTCCTTCCATCGGGAGTTTATAAATCATAATTAATCTCATTAGATTATAAATAACATCATAGGGAAGCTATGTGCTACATAGGGACAGATAAGGGTGCCCAAGGGAAACTTTGAGGAAGTATAACTAAATTAATACACAGGGATCAGGGTTGAAGTATTTTATAACCAATACTCAAAACAGTAACAGTTAGCCTGGCGCAGTGGCTCACGTCTGTAATCCTAACACTTTGGGAGTCAGAGATGGGAGAATCACTTGAGCCCAGGAGTTGGAAACCAGCCTGGGCAACATAGTGAGAGACCTTGTCTCTACGAAAATAAAAAAACAACAACAGTTAATAAAGTTTCCAGGAGTAGCTTAGATAATCCCAGAATCGTATCTATATTAGGAGAAGGGCTATTTTTAAATATTCTAAAGTTTATAATTGGAATGCCCATAAAAATTGCCTATGAGTAGATTCATCATTACATCAGAAAAATTTATGATAATTACTTAGGACTCTGCTTTTGATAAATATGTATGCTGTAACTACTTAATAAAACCATGAGAAATAATTTTTAAAATGTAAATGTTACTTACATATCACAGTTTGCAGCTATCCACAAATGCTGGATTAGCAATTGGAACTAGAATAAAAAATGTAAATGTAAAAAAAGAAAAAATTAAAATATTTAAGTCATGAAACACAGAAAGTGACAGCAAAGTTAAAAACTCAGATCTTTATAAAAAGGAAATTTATACTGTACACCAAAAATGATATTTGCTAAATTACAAAGGCACTTGTATATGAATAAGATTAAAATAAAAACTAAGAACAGTACTTTTAGTTTCTCCTACCACTTTATATTCTCTAAATGACAGCCTTTACCTGATAGACACACGCCAACTATCAAAAAAAGCAATCTTAATACCATCCTGGAAGCAAGTGAACTTACATTTTTTTCAAGCCAATTCCCAAATGAGGGCCCACTACAGAAAACACCTCCGAACCACTGTAATTCCTTTCTGAGGATGACTCCAAACACTCTGCCAATCGATGCTAAACATGAGCCAAAAGAAACAAAAAAACTCTGACAAATTCCCATGAGCTTACCAATGGACCAAGATTGTCCAAAAAGTAATATTCCCAGAGGATAGGAAAAAAATATCTTAGAGGGTTGATGTCTGCCTTCAATGTCACAGCAGAAACCTTGCAGTTTACCAGATGACCCAGTAAAGGAACCAACACCCACAACCCGTTCCACATGGGCAGTTAATTCCAGTCACTGATGAGAAGGGAAAAGGTCTGTCTTATGATATCACATTTTTTTTTGTTTGTTTTTTGTTTTTATTTTTTGAGATGGGGTTTCGCTCTTTTTGCCCAGGCTGGGGTGCAATGGCATGATCACGGCTCACTGCGACTTCTGGCTCCTGGGTTCAAGTGATTCTCCTGTCTCAGCCTCCCAAGTAGCTACGATTACAGGAGTGCACCACCACGCCCTGCTAATTTTGTATTTTTAGTAGAGATGGGGTTTCGCCATGTTGGCCAGGCTGGTTTCAAACTGCTGACCTCAGGTGATCCACCTGCCTCGGCCTCCCAAAGTACTGAGATTACAGGCGTTCATTCCAGTCACTGATGAGAAGGTAAAAGGTCTGTCTTATGATATCACGCCCGGCCTGATTTCACATATTTTTTAAAAATCTTACAAGTTAACATAAAATGGAAACCTGAGTATTACAAACAACAACAACAACAAAAAGTTCAAAATCACCGTCTACTCTTATCTACTTTAAGACGTAAGGATTAAGCAGAGGATAATTTGCATAAACCTAAAATCGTGATAAATCAGTTTTTTCATGGTAGTTAAATCAAATTGCTATTTTAGCACTTGTTTGAGCCTCTATAAAAAACATAAATTTAAATGCATAAGTCATGTCACAGAGGCCTACCAGTGGGGAAAGGAGGAGCCTGGTGGCCACCTCCTGGTGACCAGCCACCACTCACAAACAGCAAAGGAGATTAAGCTTGGCTCAGGAGGTCCCCGAGCTCTTCTCACTGGAGTCGATCTGCGAGCACACTTGTTACAAAAAGTCATTCCAATCTTGGTCTTTCAGAAATTATAACTTATCCATTGCCAAGGAAAGAAAATAACAAAAGTATGATGATGAGAAAAACAACTGCTGGAAACATTACATGAGAAATAAACACAGAGTTACGACAGCTAAGATGAGGACAAAGAAAACATTACTCTGTCAACACCAAAAATACTCCAAAGATGACACTACTTCTATTTGTCCTTCTATATTCCTCATCTCTTTATCTATCCATGGAAACTTTTTAAACACTTCAATGGAAAACTATGCTTTCAAACCAAGCAGATGTCTAAAGCAGAATTGTCTCACAACCTAGATTATAACAAAATGCAAAGTTCAATACAACTGGAGTAAAAGACAAAAAAGCCTTTGTATAAATAAATCAACTCTCAGATATTGAGAAAAGCACAAACCACACAGTTATTAAAAAGTTCCAATGAAATTACTGTAAAAAAATAACGAGGATAACATGATAGCTAAAATCACCTGAAATTCCTACCTCCAAATCCCTATAAAAAAAGGGCAAAATCTAGGAAATGTGATACTCCCTAAAATTTTTTGCTAACATGTTTTTGCTGATCTCAATCTTTAGACAAAGAAATTGTAAATATAATTTCCTAAGTAACTCAAAGAAGAAAAAGGAAATAGTATTTCCCAATAATAATTCTCTAGGTTTGCATAAATAGACCTACTTGGCACTGAAAGCACTATTAATATTTTGCTTCACTTTGGTCTTTCAAAAACGTCCTTCTACACAGGTTTTTTTGGTTGTTTTTATCACTAATTAAGTTGACTGATATAAACCCTTAGCTGGTTTATTTAAACCTAAATATATTTTAAATTTACTTCAAATCATAGATTCTACTCTAGCCACAATGAATAATTTTCCCCAAATTGAGTTTAACAGCTTAAAATAAAATTTGTTAAAAAAAAAAAAGTTTAAGGTATGTAAAAATTTCTGACTTTCACCGTAAATAAGATTTTCATTAGCTCAACAGAAATGTAATAATTATCCCTTAAGTATCTCCACTCCCACACCATCTCCACAGTCATGAACCACCTAGTCCCGTTCTCAAATGTCCTGGTCCCGCCAATAGAATCCCAATCCTTCCTTGTTGTCCCCAACCCTGTGCACCTACACCTGCCATAAATGGTGGAAATTCAACCAGCTCTATGAACGGAAGGGAGGAGGCCCCCCACCCACTCTACAGGAAAACTTGCCCAGATCTACAGGAACCTCCCCACTCACAAGAGGACAGGGCAGCCCAGACTCAGCTGAGAAATGTCAACAGCTGGCACAAATGAATTACAGATTATTTACAATTCACATAACACTGACCCAAGAATATAACCAATTGTCAAGACAAAATAAATTTAGTTGTTCACATACAAATATTCCATTTGTGAATAAATTTCATATTCGTATCTGTATACAGACAGTCTACATGTTCGATAAGTCCTTTATGATCCTACCTGAAAATGCTGGTAGATGCAATATTTTTGCATCAAATTTAACCGATGGTGGTTGTTTCATTATCTGTGGTTAAAAAAAAAAAAAACTTTTGAGGCAATTTTAAAGATGGATATCTGTCTCCTTATATGTCCCTTATATCAGATAATAAATCAATGAGGACAAAAAAAGAATGTGTAAAATTTGTTACCAAAAACAAAAAGAACGATGCCTTTTCAGATTAAAACATACATATATAGATAATAATTTATTTTTTAAAATCATTTCAATTGATATCTGTAATAAAATAAAGCTTCAAAGAAAAAATTCACCCCATCCTGGCTTACTTTTTAGGTAATTTACGTCTAATTAGAAATTCAGTCTTTCAACAAATATCTATTGCTTACCTGCCAAGGTAAGGCTCTATGTCAAGTGCTAAGGGGGATACAAAGATATAAAAGACACAATCCTATTTTCAGCGAGCTGACTTTCTGGTTGGGAAGATGAGACAAACATTTGATAAACAAGAAAATATTTCACAATTCAAAAGAGGCAGGACATAACTACAGACAAAACCCTGGACAGAAAGAATTTTTTTTGTAAATAGTAGTTTAGAGAATACAGCAAGCACTTTACTTGATATAGTTGACACCGGGTTTACGGAAGAGGTAGAAGGTGGGTTGCGGTCTTGAAGGATGGCTAGAACTTTATGATTATATCAGAGAAGACACCATTCAAGGAAGCCATAATAGCATGAATTGGAAAGTGCATAATTTATTTCAGAAATGTGAAGAAACCATGTAGTTGGATCCATGAGCTTAGGACAGCCAGATACTGCATCTTGAGACTTTTAATTAAAAATTCAACCATCATTTCTATACCTAACTTCTGCAAAACTTCTATATGTAATATTTTTAAAACCTTTACTAATTAAGTAACCAGCATTACTGTACTTACTGTAGTATTCTTACTAAAATGCATATTCTCATTCTAATCTCATAATCCAAATTCATAATCTCATTCGAGTCATGAGAAACCCTTAGACAAACCTAAATTAAGGGACATTCTTCAAAACACCCAACCAGTTACTCTTCAAAGTGTCAAGGACTTGAGTCATACGTTTTATAACATGTATTACAAAAACATACAAAGGCCAGGTGCCGTGGCTCACGCCTGTAATCCCAGCACTTTGGGAGGCCTAGGCAGGTGGATCATGAGGTCAGGAGTTCAAGACCAGCCTGGCCAACATGGTAAAACCCCATCTCTACTAAAACTACAAAACTTAGCCAGGTGCAGTGGCAGGTGCCTGTAATCCTAGCTACTCATGAGGCTGAGGCAGGAGAATAGCTTGAACCCGGTCGGCAGAGGTTGCAGTGAGCTGAGATCGCGCCACTACACTCCAGCCTGGGTGACAAAAAACAAAACAAAACAAAATAAAAGACAAACTGTCAAGGTCATGAAAGACAAGCAAAGTCTGAGAAATTCTGACAAAACCGTGAAAAACTAGGACAGACTATATGAGACTAAGGAGGCATAACAACTAACTGTAATGTGGGATCCTGGAACAAAAAAAAAGAGGACATTAGAGGCAACCGGTAAAATTCAAATGCATTTGGTAGTTAGCAGCACTATTCTCATGTTTTATTTTTCCCTTTTCAGGAAGAATTCGAAAGGAGCAGTCAGGGTATTGCATGCCATCATTACACAGAGATATGAATCAAGTATCATGCAACTCCAACTACCACATTCTGCTGCCCTCCAAAAGGAGGCACAGGTAAGGATTATCCCGCCTGACTAACACTATACCAATGTTAATTCCCAGGTTTTGCTAACTATACTATAGACCTATAAGATGTGAACATTAAGAGCAGCTGGGCAAAAGCTATACAGGAGTTCTCAACTATTTTTTAATCTTTTCTCTAAAAGTAGTTTAGAATTAAAAGTTAAACACAAAAATTTCCACTGATGAAGGCTTCCCATAAACTATCAAATATGGTTATAAGAGGAAAAAAGGAAACACAGAATATTGTGTAAAGCAAGCTTGTCCAACCCGCAGCCCGTGGGCTGGATGCGGCCCAAGACGGCTTTGAATATGGCCCAACACAAATTCATAAACTCTCTTAAAACATTGTAAGAATTTTTTTGCAATTTTTTTTTATTGGTTTTTTAGTTCATCAGCTATTGTTAGTGTATTTTATGTGTGGCCCAAGACAATTCTTCTTCCAGTGTGGCCCAGGGAAGCCAAAAGACTGGACACCCCTGGGAAAGATATCACAAATTGTTCTAGAAAGCCCATTTTGAAAATGCGCCAATGCACATCAAACTTAGCATAATAAAGTTACACTGCCAGACATATGAACTCACAAAAAGAATTAGCTCCATTATGAAAAACAGCTAAATCATCTATATAAAATGCTGTCTATCTAGAAAATAAACATGAATCCAAAAACCCTTACATTGTTCTAAACCACACTAATGTTCCCAATGAGACAAGAAAAAAACAGTCATGAATTAATACAGAAAAAGATATTTAAAAAAGAAAAAGAAGGCCAGGTGTGGTGGCTCATGCCTGTAATCCCAGCACTTTGAGAGGCCGAGGTGGGTGGATCACAAGGTCAGGAGATCGAGACCATCCTGGCTTACATGGTGAAACCCTGTCTCTACTAAAAATACAAAAAATTAGCAGGGCGTGGTGGCGGGCACCTGTAGTCCCAGCTACTTGGGAGGCTGAGGCAGGAGAATGACATGAACCTGGGAGGCGGAGCTTGCAGTGAGCCAAAATCGCGTCATTGCACTCCAGCCTGTGTGACAGAGCAAGACTCTGTCTCAAAAAAATAAAAAATAAAAGTAAAACTAAAAAAAAGTAAAAGAAGCAGTAAAGTTAAAATAGAGAATAAGTAGTGGAATGTGAGTATGTTGGGGAGCTGGAAGTCAAGACAAAACAGAGGGACTTAGAAATGCATCTGTTTTTTAAAGTAAATACTCATTATCCCCCAGCAATAAAGTATTATATTCCAAAAGACAAGAAGCAAAAAAACTCACAGTGGTTTAGAAGTACATTGTGAACCATGACTCCTCAAGTTCCCATAGTGTCTCCCCACCATCTCCCCTGCAGTATTAACAACCTGTGACAGGGCAGGGCTTCCGTGTGATCTGCCTGCCCAGCCCAGCCTGGTGAGCAGTGCCCTCTGACTGCTTCTGCCTTCAAAACACATCAGAGACTAGAATACTTAGAGTGATTCACATTAGTGCAGATGGAGAAACGATGGGACTGAGAGCTAAGGTCTGAGGTCAAGAGGCTGGCAACCCCTCCGTGGCATGTGGAAGAAAGCAGTAGTGAGAAGCAGAGCTGACTCATTCAAAACAGAGGGGGGAAAACTTAGAACTCCAGTGAAGCGGAAGTGAAGGCAGAGGAAAGGGTTGCAGACAGAGCGGGAGCTGGAAATGCAGACATGCAGCACAAATGAAAGAGTAGCGGACAAGAGAAACAGGAAAGATTAGACAGTAAATAATATTCTGAATGAAAATCTTATGCAGATTTCAGATCTCAGTAAAGTCTACAACTCACTTGTCAGAGTGCTTTCTGCACCTTTGGATTGTCAATAATGGGGGTGACAACAAGATCTGAGTCGTGTAGATAAGCTCTCTCATCTGGGATTCCAGGTCCTGCTGACTCAGGTGTCCACTTGTAATCTGAAATGAGAACAAAAATTTGACTTTGTTTCTGTGACTAATATAGAGCTTTAAAACACTGAACTAATATGATGCTGAGGAAGACACCACTGTAAAATATCACCTATATCAATGTACTTCCACTGCTATTCAAGACACTTGCAGTCTCACTTGATTTTCACAAAAATCCTAAACTGTAGGTACCATAATTTCCATTTTACAGATAAAAATATAAAACTCTGAGAAAGTAACTGAATTGCTCATGTTACCATTAAAACTGGCTAGGACTACAAAAAAGATCTTTACAATTCAACGTTCTAAACTCTGATGAGGCAAACTGCTTTTTTGATTACCAGCATGGTTTTTTTTGGTTTTTTTTTTTTTTTAGGGATGGAGTCTCAGTCTGTCACATAGGCTGGAGGGCAGTGGTGCAACCCTGGCTCACTGCAACCTCTGCCTCCTGGGTTCAAGTGATTCTCCTGCCTCAGCCTCCCAAGTAGTGGAATTACGGGTGTGCACCACCATGCCCAGCTAATTTTTTTTTTTTTTTTTTTTTTTTTTTTGAGACAGAGTCTTGCTCTGTCACCAGGCTAGAGTGCAGTGGCGCGATCTCAGCTCACCACAACCTCTGTCTCCTGGGTTAAAGTCATTCTCCTGCCTCAGCCTCTCCAGTAGCTGGGACAAGGTTTCACCATGTTGGCCAGGCTGGTCTCAAACTCCTGGCCTCAGGTGATCCACCTGCCTCGGCCTCCCAAAGTGCTGGGATTATAGGTGTGAGCCACTGCACCCGACCCATGGCTTTATTTTTCATTCATAGAATGCTGATCAATTTATTTCTGCTTTACAGAATATTCAATGTGAAGTTGAAACTGTAACATACAAAAATTTTCAGACTTAAATACAGACCGGTTACCTAAGTGTTAAACCTCAATTATTTATTAAGCCTCATTAGAGATGATACATAATAAAATCAATCACCAGACATTCACCATCAGTTATTCCTTTGAGATGGTTCTTTGTGCTCTATTTAAACATAATTTGTATTCCTAGTGCTATGCCCCAGTATTTCCCATCAGAAAAAAAAAAAAGGATTTATGCTTAAGAACCTTAAAAGAAACAATGACTAGCAAACTAAATAAAATAGAAAAGTAAATCAGTGAAGTAAGGAAGAAGGAAAATAAATTATCCAAAACTAGTGAGGAAGGGTCATAGATAAAGGAACAGAGTTAGCTAAGAAAATTCCTGGAAACCCAAGGTGCCCCTTGCAACTCAGATGAAAGATATACGAAAACACACAAAGAGGCCGAGGCCGGGCACGGTGGCTCAAGCCTGTAATCCCAGCAATTTGGGAGGCCGAGGCGGGTGGATCACGAGGTCAGGAGTTCAAGACCAGCCTGACCAACATGGTGAAACACTGTCTCTACTAAAAATACAAAAATTAGCTGGGTGTGGTGGCATGTGCCTGTAATCCCAGCTACTCAGGAGGCTGAGGCAGGAGAATCACCTGAACCTGGGAGGCGGAGGTTGCAGTGAGTTGAGATTGTGCCACTGCACCAATTAAAACAATTGTATGCAAAAATTAGTTTCCTATAGGTAAATTGAGTGTAGGCACAAATGCCAAGTTATAACAAATATCCCACTCACAATAGCAAAAATATATAAAACAAAATGTTCAGGAATAAACTAAATGATCAATAATTGCAATGAGATCATGATCATTAAATGAAAATAATCGTTATAAAATTATACTCTCTTGCTTCAAAGTGAACACATTATGTATAAAACCAGAAGTAGTAATATCAAAATGTATGAGATGTATGAGGTTACAGTGAACTATGATGGTGCCACTGCACTCCAGCCTGAGCAACAGGCTCTAAAAAAAAAAAAAAAAGGTAATCAGTGTTTACTTGGGAATTACATTGTAAATAATTTTTCTATTGTCTTTGTCCTCTTTTATATTTTACAAGTTTTTTACAATTATATATGTTTTGTAATAGAATAAAAAGTATCATTTAAAAATTATAAAACATAAGGCCAACACAGTGGCTCACACCTGTAATCCCAGCTCTTTGGGAGGCCGAGGCGGGCAGATCACTTGAGTCCAGGAGTTTCAGACCAGCCTGGACAACATGGGGAAACCTCTACTAAAAATACAAAAAATTAGCCATGCATGGTGGCGCACACCTGTAGTCGCAGCTACTCAGGTGGCTGCGATGAGATGAGATAAGCACCTAAGCCCAAGAAGTTGAGGCTGCAATGAGCCATGATCGTGCCACTCCACTCCACCCTGGGTGACAGGAGTGAGGCTCTGTCTCAAAAATAAATAAATACCGAGATATATATGTAAAATAAACTACCTTAGGTATTCACATTATTGATTATATTTTCTCAATAGAATGATTATATATTCCTCTTTATAACCATCTGCCAGAAGAGCTTCAACATCTATCGCATTTCAGAATGAATTTTTTTTTTTTTTTTTTTTTGAGACGGAGTCTAACTCTGTCGCCCAGGCTGGAGTGCAGTGGTGCGATCTCAGCTCACCGCAACCTCCGCCTCCCAGGTTCACACCATTCTCCTGCCTCAGCCTCTCAAGTAGCTGGGACTACAGGTGCCCACCACCACACCCGGCTAATTTTTTGTATTTTTAGTACAGATGGGCTTTCACTGTGTTAGCCAAGATGGTCTTGATCTCCTGACCTTGTGATCTGCCCTCCTCAGCCTCCCACAGTGCTTGGATTACAGGTGTGAGCCACTGCGCCCGGCCCAGAATAAATTTTTAAATTTACATTGATTTTCTATTTCACATAACCAAAAAATTAGCACAGTCAGATTTTATTATAACCAGTTTATACTAAATTTCAAAGCAGAAATAAGCTTCACAAGGTCCAAATACAGTTCACATTACATCAAAACTACAGTTAAAAACTAAAAGCAATTATATTTGTCAACCAATAAGTAGCATAAAAATTACTTAGAATTAATTCAAAGTAGGTCTGCATTCAACACAACTACGATTGAAAGAAATTAAAGGAAGACCTAATTAAGTACAAATACATCCTGTGTTCGTGGAGGAAAACTTAATATTGTTAAAATGGCAGTACTTTCTAAGTTGATCTACATATTCAATGCGACTGTGATTAAAATCCCAGCTGGCTCCTTTGCAGAAACTGACAAGCTGATCTTAAAATTCATATGGAAATGCAAGTGACCCAGAACAGCCAAACCCACCTTAAAAAACTTTCTGGAGGATTCATACTTTCTGATTTCAAAGCTTACTAAACAGCTACAGTAATCAAGAGTGTGCTACTGGTATAAGGACAGATGAACAGAGAAAAGAATAGAATCCAGAAATAAACTTTCACATATACAGTCAATTGATCTTCAATAAGCGTTCCAAGACAATTCAATGGGGAAAGAATAAGCTTTTCAACAGATAGTTCTGAGATAACTGGATGTCTAGGTGCAAAACAATGAAGCTATACCCCCCTACTTCATGCCGCATGCAAAAATTAATTCAAATGGATAAAAGAGCTCAATATAAGAGATATTGATAAACTATAAAACTCATAGAAAAAAACATAGGCAGAAACCTTTGTGACCTTGGAGTAGCAACGTTTTTTTAGATATTACACCAAAAGCACAAGGAGCAAAAAAACACAAATGAAAAAAGATAAATTGGACTATATCAAAATTTAAAATCTTTCTGCTTCAAAGGACACCATCAAGAAAGAAAAAAGACAATCCAGAAAAAGGAAGAAAGTTGTTATAACTCCTATCTAGAATATGTAAAAAATTCTTACAGCTAAATAATAAAGAGATACATAACCCAATTAAAAATAAGTTAAATTTTGGAATAAGTATTTCCCCAAAAAAAACAGACAAATGGCCAATAAACACATGAAAAGATACTCAACATCATTTGCCATCAGGTAAATGCAAATCAAAACCACTAAGACATAGAAATTCACACCTACTAGCTGGGCGCAGTGGCTCACACATGTAATCCAAATACTTTGGGAGGCGGAGACAGGTGGATCATTTCAGGTCAGGAGTTCGAGACCAGCCTGGCCAACATGGTGAAACCCCGTCTCTACTAAAAATACAAAAATTAGCCAGCTGGTAGTGGTGCATGCCTATAATCCCAGCTACTCGGAAGGCTGAGGCAGAAGAATTGCTTGAGCCTGGGAGATGGAGGTTGCAGTGAGCCAAGATCATGCCACTGCACTCCAGACTGGGCGACAGAGTCAGACCCTGTCTCAATCAATCACTCAATCAATGGAATTTCACACCTGCTAGATGTGAAATAGGATGGCGATCATGAGAAAGACAGGCAATGCAAACCTATTCACAATAGCCAATAGGTGGATGCAACCCAAGTATTCATCAACAGAGGAAAAGATAAAAAGGCATATTAAATACATACAAGGGAATATTATTCAGCCTTAAAAACAAATGAAATTCTGGCACATGCTACAACATGGATGAACGTTAAAGACATTATGCTAAGTGAAATAAGCCAGGCACAAAAGGACAACTACTATATGAGACCACTTATGCCAGCAGTCCCCAAACTTTTTGGCATCAGGAGCCAGTTTTGCAGAAGACAATTTTTCCACAGACAAGGTTGGGGAAGATGATTTTGGGATGATTCAAGGACATTACATTTATTGTGCATTTTATTTCTATTATTATTACATTGTAACATATAATGAAATAATTGTACAACTCACTATAATATAGAATCAGGGCTGGGCACGGTGGCTCACGCCTGTAATCCCAGCACTTTGGGAGGCCAAGGTGGCCAGATCATGAGGTCAGGAGATCGAGACCATCCTGGCTAACACGGTGAAACCCCGTCTCTACTAAAAAATACAAAAAATTGTTGGGGCGTGGTGGCTGGCGCCTGTAGTCCCAGCTACTCAGGAGGCTGAGGCAGGAGAATGGCGTGAACCTGGGAGGCGGAGCTTGCAGTGAGCCCAGATTGCACCACTGCACTCCAGCCTGGGTAACAGAGCGAGACTCCCTCTCAAAATAAATAAATAAATAAATAAATAAAAAATAAAAAAACTACAAATGATAAGCAACATAGAATAGATATGTAAGGAAAGGCTTTAAAAAGGAAAATAAGATCAATATAAACTAAGAAAGAATTATTACAGAACAAAGAGATTCTAGGGAGAAGACAAAAGAGTATCAAAATCACTTCGTAAAGATACTTGTGAATATATTACATGTATAAAACAAAACAGAGGCCGGGCGCGGTGGCTGACGCCTGTAATCCCAGCACTTTGGGAGGCTGAGGCGGGTGGATCATGAGGTCAGGAGATCAAGACCATGCTGGCTAACATGGTGAAACCGCGTCTCTACTAAAAAATCCGTCTCTACTAAAAACACAAAAGTTAGACAGGCGTGGTGGCGGGCGCCTGTAATCTCAGCTACTCGGGAGGCTGACGCAGGAGAATCGCTTTAACCAGTGGACTGTCAAGAGAGGTAGGCTGCAGTAAGCCGAGATCGCGCCACTGCACTCCAGCCTGGGCGACAGAGTGAGTGAGACTCTGTCTCAACAAAAAGAAAAAAAGAAAGAAAACTTTTTTTTGAGAGAGAGAGAGAGAAGTCTCGCTCTTCTCCCCCAGGTTTGAGTGCAATGGCTCGATCTCAGCTCACTGTAACCTCCGCCTCCCGGGTTCAAACGATTCTCCTGCCTCTGCCTCCCAAATAGCTGGGATTAAGTCGCCTGCCAACACGACCGGCTAATTTTTCTATTTTTTAGTAGAGACGGGTTTCACCATGTTGGCCAGGCTGGTCTCCAACTCCTGACCTCAAGTGATCAGCCCGGTTGGCCTCCCAAAATGCTGGGATTACAGGCGTGAGCCACTACGCCCGGCCAAAAAACCGAAAATCTTAAAGGCCTTTCCCCTTCCCCGCCTGGGCTCCAACAACGCGGGAGCCGCCCTGCCCCGCCCTGTCGCGGTCCCTAGAGCAGGTGGGCTGACTGAGGGCGACCATGGGTCCCAAGAGGGCTCCCGCAGCCGCGGGCTCCCACCTCGAGGCGCAGCGACAGGGGCCGAGAGGGGCCAGCAGCCCCCAAGCCAGCCCCGCGCTAGGAGTTGGAGAGACGCGCCCTCCGCCTTCTCCCACCCAAGCCTCTGCCTTGCCGGGCGGGCCAGTTGCGGGAGAAAGGGGCGGGGAACCGCGGCCTCTCTGGGGCAGCTTCCCCTTTCTCCTGGGACTCTGGGCACCCGCTTTCCGCCCTCGCCCTGCCCCGCCAGGCCGCCACCCGGCGACTCACCTTAATGTTGCGGTGGGGCGTGAGCCGCGGCTGTGGCTCCTGGTTCTCCTGGAAGATAGAAGCCAGTAACTTCGGTTTGGCCTTGAACCCGGACATGGACATCTTCCCCTCACCTCCGGCGGGAGGGGCGCGGAAAAGGAGCCTGTCCCGAGCCGCTGTCATGGCCGCGACCACCAGGCGGGGCCCCCGGCCGAGCTCTCGCGGCTCCACCTCTCCCCGCCGCCGTGACCCTCGTGGGAGCGCGGCTGGAAAATGGCAAGGGGCACCGAGGACTTGGCGGGAGCTATGTGGCGGCCTGCGGGGCTGCTCCCTTTATAACCGACTCCACCGACAGGAGGCGCGGCTCCCGTCAAGCCGCAGTTTAAAAGGGCAACAGCACCACTGCCCCCGCTACCGCCTGGGAAAGGGCTGCCCCTACCCCGCCCCGGTCCTCGTCGCCCCTCACCTCTTACCCCTCACCCCTCACCCCTCAACCCGGCGCGCCCCGCGCGCACCCGGCGTGCCCGCGCTACCGGCTGCCCCCTCCTCTCTTGACCCAGCACCTTTCTGCCCGACCGATCTGGTCCCTTCCTCACACTCGCGACTGGGCGGCACAACCACCAACTCTGTGTGTGTGTGTGTGTGTGTGTGTGTGTGTGTGTGTGTGTGTGTGTGTGTCTATGTGTGTGTGTGTGTGTCCCTGTCCCAAGGGGGCGTGGCTCACGCCTGTAATCCCACCACTTTGGGAGGCTAAGGCGGGTGGATCAGGAGGTCAGGAGATAAGACTATCCTGGCTAACACGGTAAAACCCCGTCTCTACGGAAAAAATACAAAAAATTAGCAGGGCGTGGTGGCGGACGCCTGTAGTCCCAGCTACTTGGGAGGCTGAGGGAGGAGAATGGCGTGAAACCGGGAGGCAGAGCTTGCAGTGAGCTGAGAGCGCGCCACTGCACTCCAGCCTGGGCGACAGACCAAGACTCCATATAAAAAAAAAAAAAGAAAAAAAACCTCAAAGGATCACTAGTGGTCAGCAACTATGTGCAAATAAATAGGAAAACCTACCAAAAATGGATAAATTTCCAGACACATCTAACCTACCAAGATTGAACCATGATGAAACCCAAAACCTGAACAAACCAATAACAAATAATGGGATCAAAGTGGTAATAAAAAGTCTCCCAGCAAAGAAAAGCCTGGGACCTGATGATTCACTGCTGAATTCTAGCAAACATTTAAAGAAGAACTAATACCAACCTTACCCAAACGATTCCAAAAATAGAGAAGGAGGGAATACTTGCAAACTCATTCTACAGGGCTAGCATTACCCTGATAACAAAATCAAACACACAGACCAAAAAAGAAAACTACAGGCCAATATCACTGATGAATATTGATGCAAAAATCCTCAATAAAATATTAGCTAACTGAATTCCACAACACATTAAAGTTGGGGTGCAGTGTCCCAGGTTCACTCAACCCTTCCCGTTTTCCTCTCTGTGTGTGTCTACTTTGCCGTGTTCCCTGGTGGCGGCGGCGGTGGCAGTGTTGGTGCATGGGCCTCCCAGGACAAGGGGAAAGTGAGTATGCCCCTTTCTTGCCCCCTGCCAGGCGTCTGCAGCCTGGCACAAGCTCTGGCCAGGTCTCCAACAGGGGACCTGGAGATGTTTTTTTCCAGTTTCTGGATTGGTAACTTGAGGCAGATTCTGGGCACTAGAGTCAGAACTAAGAGGAGACTGAATCAGGGGAGTCTGGGGTCCTGAGAGGCAGATACCTGAAACCGTCTAGAGCGTGTGGGGAGCTCGGTGCATGTTCACGCCAGTTGTTTTTCTCTGTGCCTCAATGTTCCAGGTACCCTTGGAGGTGCTGAGATCCTAGGGATTCCTGGAGCCTGGCTGCATGGCCTGGCCACCCTGATGCCACTGTGTTCTCCATGACAGGACAGCAAGGCTGAGGAGAATGGCTCCGACAGCTTCATGCACTCCATGGACCCATAGCTGGAGCGGCAAATGGAAACCACCCAGAACCTTGTGGACTCCTACATGGCCATTGTCAACAAGACCGTGTGGGACCTCATGGTTGGTGTCATGCCCAAGACCATCATGCACGTCATGATCAACAACGTGCATGCACCGCCTCATAGGGGCAGGGGGCTCCTGTAGCACTGGGGATGCAGGTGGCCATGTTGGCCTGGGGGAGATGCTGACCAGCCCTATGGGACCAAGGTCCAGGGAGGGAGGCACAGTCCAGACCAGAGCTGTCTCATAGAAATATAACGTGGGACTGGGGACAGTGGCCCATGTCTGTAATCCCAGCACTTTGGGAGGCCAAGGCAAGAGGATAGCTTGAGCCCAGGAGTTCGAGACCAGCTTGGGCAACATAGTGAGACCTGATCTCTACACTAAAATTTTAAAAATAGCTGGGCTTGGTGGTGGCACGTACCTATAGTCCTAGCTACTCGACAGGCTGACATTGGAGGATCACTTTGAGCCCAAGAAGTTGAGGCTACAGTGAGTGGTGATCTCGCCCACTGTCCTCCAGCCTAGCGACAGAGCAAGATCCTATCTCCAAAAAACATTTTTAAGAAACTGAGTAGACCGGTGTCCTGGTGGCATGATAGGTCCTGGGTCCCCTCCCAGATGTGTGACCTTGGACAGGTGACTTTTCCTTTGGACCTCAGTGTCCCTATCTGAGTGAGAAAAGGGCGGTGGGGAGGCAGATCTTTGAGTCTAAGCGGTGTAGAAGCCGCGTCTGAAAAGCCATACTCAGGGCTCCAAGTCCAGCACACAGTCCCAGCAGGGCCCGGCAGGAGGCCAGGGCAGCAAAGGCATCAGGTCCCAACCTCCTTCCCTCTTTGCCCGCTCTCAGACCAAGGAGTTCATCTTCTCGGAGCTGCTGTCCAACCTGTACTCACGTGGGGACCAGAAAACGCTGATGGAAGAGTCGGCAGAGCAGGCACAGTGGCGCGACGAGATGCTGCGCATGTACCACGTGCTGAAGGAGGCACTCGGCATCATCGGCGACATCAACACGACCACCATCAGCACGCACATGGGGGCCCGTGGACAACTCCTGCCTGCAGGTGCAGAGCGTCCTTGCCGGATGCAGGTACCAAGGCTGGCTCCCACGGCCCCAAAGCCCCCCAGCCCCCATGGCTGAGCCTGGGGACTCTTGGAACAGGCTCCGTGCCCACGCTGGTAGACATGGGTGCTCCCTGGAGCCGTCACAGAGCTCATGGTTTATGGTGTAAGGGCTGAGAGCTTAGAGGGGGTGGTGTGTGGGGCTGTACTCTGAGGCGGCCAGAGTCCTAGGATAGTCCTCCTGTGCACACCGCACCTGTTGGGCAGTCTGAGTCATGCTGCCAGGGCAGGGCATCCAGCTCCCAGCCTGGGAGTGCTGAGAGCCAAATCCACTGCAGAGCAGGGGTGATAGTCAGAGTCCCACCTCCTCTATCTGTCGGCAATGCAGTGGTGAGATAGGATAAAACCTTGAGAGTCCCATACACACGGTCAACCCACAACACACCTCACAGGCCAGGCAGGAAACACAGGCCCCTTCCCTCCCTCCCAGGTACCATCATAGCTGCTAGCGTGTGACTGAAGGCAGGGTCCCTGGCCCCCGCTGAAGCACTATTGCTGGCCAGCAGGCTCACGCACCTTGGAGTGTTGCTCCTAGAGGTCACCTCTGCTATTCAGCCAAGGGGACCACAGTGCCTGCTGGCCCAGCTGACCTCCGCCCCACAAGCCCACCCACCTCCCCTGCCATAGACTCTCCCTCTTCTGCTTTTCCCAGCAGGAAGGGCCCAGCCTCACCTATCCGACCTGCAACCCCCAACAAGCTGAGGCTCCCCTCTTAGACTTATAAGTCTATAGCCAGTGGCATCCAGCTGCATGCCCTCCTTTCCTCCCCCAGGGACCCTTCAAGGGTTCCTGGGCTTTCTGACCCCCCAGAGGGGGCTCCGGCGATCACTCCACCCATCCATCCCTTTTAGCTTCATCATCCTGGTTCAAGCAGTGTTTCTTCTCTATCAGGCCTGGTGGCTGTTGTTTTGGGCTCCCCAAGGCGAGAGGCGGCCCTGGACAAGTGGGTTGGAAGACACGGTGACCAGAGAAGAGGGAAGCCCAAAGGGGCTGAGCATCAGTCTTAACAGTGGGTGCACTGGGTGCCGTGGAAGAGGCCAGCACGTGTGGGGTGGGGAGGGCTGCCACAGCCCCCAGGCACTACCTGTGAAACTCCGGCTCCTCCCTCTGTCTTCCTCCCCTTTCCCTTCCAGCCCCTCTTTTCCAGGAACCTTGCCACACCCGCACGTGCACCCTTTACTCCTTGGCCCTCCCACAGCTGCTGTGGCACACCTGTGCTCTGCACTTGCCTCACCAGCTCTCTGCTCGCTTTTTTTTTTTATTATTATTATTATGCTTTAAGTTTTAGGGTACATGTGACAATGTGCAGGTTAGTTACATATGTATACATGTGCCATGCTGGTGCGCTGCACCCACTAAATCGTCATCTAGCATTGGGTATATCTCCCAATGCTATCCCTCCCCCCTCCCCCCACCCCACAACAGTCCCCAGAGTGTGATGTTCCCCTTCCTGTGTCCATGTGTTCTCATTGTTCAATTCCCACCTATGAGTGAGAATATGCGGTGTTTGGTTTTTTGTTCTTGCGATAGTTAACTGAGAATGATGATTTCCAATTTCATCCATGTCCCTGCAAAGGACATGAACTCATCATTTTTTATGGCTGCATAGTATTCCATGGTGTATATGTGCCACATTTTCTTAATCCAGTCTATCATTGTTGGACATTTGGGTTGGTTCCAAGTCTTTGCTATTGTGAATAATGCCGCAATAAACATACGTGTGCATGTGTCTTTATAGCAGCATGATTTATAGTCCTTTGGGTACATACCCAGTAATGGGATGGCTGGGTCAAATGGTATTTCTAGTTCTAGATCCCTGAGGAATCGCCACACTGACTTCCACAATGGTTGAACTAGTTTACAGTCCCACCAACAGTGTAAAAGTGTTCCGATTTCTCCACATCCTCTCCAGCACCTGTTGTTTCCTGACTTTTAATGATTGCCATTCTAACTGGTGTGAGATGATATGCTCGCTTTTCTCTCTCCTGTCTTCTCTCTGCTTTCTCTCCAACTGCCAGCCAATCGGCTCAGGCAAGTCCATCCCATCCTGAGAGCCCCAGGCCCCCCTTTGAACTCTAAACAGATTCCTCCTCTTCTCAGAGACTTCCCTTTCCAAGCCTGCCTGGGCGGCTGTTCTGTGACTTGGCAGTGGCTCCCCCAGCCCCAAAGCCAGCCCCCCTTCATCTGTGACTTAGTCTATTGTTGCAGTGAGCTGACACATCCAGGTGTGACCGTTGCTGAAAACTTGTGCCCCCCTCTGTGGTATGCCCCTGCCCTGTTCTAGAAATATCTACAAATACCCATATACATATACACACACACACACACACACACACACACACATACACCTACATGTGGCCAACCGCCTCGCCTCTAGCGCTGGGAATCAGTCACCGTGCTGTCCTTTTGGAGTCTTGTGGCCAAACAAGAGAAAGCTAACCCCTGACATTGCCCCTCCAAAGTGCGCTACCTTCAGTGAGCCTCCCTGTCACGCCCAGCCTATGGAGAGACACACCCCGCCATCCCTCCCGCCCCCCCCCGCCTCCACCAAGCATGGGAGTGCTGTGCAGGCAGCTGAGTGGCCTGACAGTCTCTACCAGTCCTGCTGTCCCTTGGCTGAGAATCAAACCCCCTTCTGGATGGCGGGGAAGTGTGTCCTCTGCTGGCTGTGTTCTCTGTGGAGCTCAGGGGAGGGGAAAGGCCAAGCCATTTCTAGGGTGCTGTTGGGAGCAGTGAAAAGGCCATGCCCTTTCCAAGGGACACTTCCTGGAAAGCCCCTGGAGCTTAGCGGGCTCTTATCCTGTGAAGCCGGCTCTGGCCACCAGGGGGCAGGGCCATGAACTCAGCCCAGAGGGAGCCTGCAGGGCAGCCGGCACTCTGGAGGCACAGACAGAACAGGCCACCAGGTGCAGACAGGAGAGGGAGACAAGGGGATAGAACGGAAGATGCCGGGGCTGGGTGGAAGTCAGTGCCCTTAGGTGCTGGTACCTGTCTTCCCGGCCACCGCTAGATCAGGCTTCTGAGCCTGTTGGCTGTCAGGGCCAGACTGCGCCCCATAGACTACATGGCAGTCCCCTTGGAATCCCCCAGGCGCCACCAGGCAGCATACAGGTAACACGCCTGGAAGGTCCCCAACAGCCTAGCTGGACATGCTCAAGACACTCTGGGACTCCTTGTTTGGTGGCACAAACTCCAGGACCCAGTGAGGGAAACGGAAACACACCAGGCCGAGCAGTATGGCTAAATCCATTTATTCCAAAATAAAAAGCAAAATAAACAGGAGTCGCATCACCAGGGAGCCATGACCCCATCCCCACCTCCTTCCTCTGTCCTATGCTAGCAATAAATAAGTTTCCCAGCCACAAATAATTATTACAACCTCCTCCCCATGTGCCAGCTCCAACCTCAGCTAGGTATGACACAGGGGTGGCCCTACCCTCTGGAATATACAAAACCTTACACAGACACAATGTGTACACCGGGGAACGGGGGCCACCCCAGCAGCCCGTGCCCTCGCCTGGTCCACAGTTAGCCCCACTGTCCTGCCTCTCTGAATAAGAAGGGAGCCCCCCTGAGGGAAAAGTTGCTATGGTGAGAGTAAGGGGGGCATCAGGCCTCCTCCAAACAAACCAACTCCACCAGCCTCTGGCTCTTAAATAACAATCATCATCATCCAGAAATTTAGGGACTCAGCCCTGGTCAGGGTGGCAAAGGGTCTGTTTGTCTTTCCCCATTAGACAGAGGTCTTGTCCTGCTACCCTAATTGTAAAGGGCTGCCTGGGAAGGGGTGGTAGGGACATGGTGGCGGTGGAGACTCCGGCCCCACTTCTCCAGGCTTTGCTGACAGGGGCCTGCTTTTAATTTTTATTTTTATTCCATGACTTTTTAAAAAAGAATCCCGTAACTTCTTTTTCATAACTTTTTTTGTAACTTTTCATAATACTGTTTTCTACTTTGTTCCCACAAGTTTTTTTGCCACAACGTTTTTACATTTTTTATCCCATAACTTTTTCACCCCATAACTTTTTTAATCCCATAACTTTTAAAATCTTGTGTTCTTTAAAGAAACACTTGCATAGTTATATCACAACTTTGTAAAAATGAAACACATTATCTCATGCCAAGCATGCCCAGCATTTGCACAGTATCAATACCTTTAATACTATAGTTTTCAAGAAACGCAAAATAAAATTTTAAGACAAAAACAACACATTGAAACAACTTAAAAATTTATTACATTACAGTGGCATCACACCAGCAGTCAATAAGGCCACTCTAGGGAAAAATCTTTCAGTATTTCCACGACACATTCTCTTTACAATAATTCATAAACTGGTAAAATTCATTCTAAGAAAACTTGGCAAATAAAACTTTGGACTGGAATTGGCATTTCTTTCTCTGCTTTTCGTTCCCACCATTTCTTTCTTTTATACTACAGTATTCATATTTTAAAATGTTTTAAATTATTTCAGAACATTAAGATAGCAGTTACATTTTTTAATAGTTATATTATTTTAAAATGACTCTTTAAAATAAAGTTTTAGAGAAACTATATTATGGATAGGGCTGATTTACATTTTCAAATTTTCTAAAATCAGCTTTGGTTTTAGAGCTGATTTTTTTTTTCATTTCTGGAAAATTATCAGGTTTAATCAAATACTTTTAAAATGATTATTATACATTGCCATCTTTAAATAGGTATTTTGATTCTTCCTACAGAAATCAAAATGTATTCAGTGGAACTCACAGTTTAAAATTCTATGTTTCTGATGAACTCTAACATTCCAATGTTGCCTTCTAAGCAAACTGAAAGCTGCCTTATACTGAATGAGGAAGAGCACAAATACTCGGCTGAATGAGGTATCGCAAAAGACTGCATGCACTTTGGAGAAAGACTTGAGTTATTGTCATACAATTTCCATTCTTTTTAGCTTTTTCTTAAATATATGACAAATACCTACACAAAGAGTGGTATTTCAGTCAATATAGTAAATTTATTTTCCAGACTGACCTTCAGCTTAAATATGCCAGTGTGTGATTTAATCCATAGGCACCTCATGAACACATTATTGTCAGATTGGTTACAGATGCTAAACGCTATCCGAAGGTCATTCCTAGTCACTGATATTTATCAGGGTAAAAGTGAAGTGATTTCAACGATAAAAGTACCTTTGCAATAATTTATCAATGTATTAGATAAACCCAGTTTCAGAATGATAAAAGAAAAAACGTTAGACCAAATAATGTGGCTGATTAACAGTGGTCCGATTTCTAGCCCGAGGGTTTAAAATGCTCTTAAAGTAACTGTCTTTAAACTGAACTCAAAGAATGCAAAAGCGGCAAGTTCAGAAAATAAAAGGCGAGAACAGGACTTTAAGTGCATTTTAAACCCACGGGCTACAAATCGTACCACTGTTAATTAGCCGCATTATTTGGTCTAAGATTTTTTCTTTATCATTCTGAAACTGGGTTTATCTAATACATTGATACATTCATAAAATTTGGAAGAGTCAGTGGAAGTCACAAGGACCGAATATTTGCACTCTTTCAGTGAATGCCAGCAAATCTGTTATTCCATCGGTAAAATCGTATTGTTGCTCTCCTGTTAATGTCATATTTATAGAAGTATCATGAGGATGCCAAATGCTAAAAATGGAGATGATCTAGTAACTAGAAATCCCCACCGCAGGGAGCACACACACCTATCTCCCTGCATCCTAACAATGTGATGTGTTTTGGAACACAGACATTAGAACTTCATGAAGTTTGAACTGTTGAGTCTTTCCCAAGCATCATCAAGTTACGATTTAGGCAATACATAACTGAAATGCATTCATTCATCATGCATAGGCACAATCACATAAATATTGCACAAAATATGTCCCGAACAGAAACCCAGAGGTACAAAAACATATTTCACTTTGTAAAGAAGTTTGTGAGAAAATATAACTCTGTGGTTGTATAGACACGTTTCCTGATAATACATTGACATTCACGAACAACAGTAGATTGCACTGCAGTTTGTACACATTTTAAGTTTCATAAACTTCTCCTTGATTTTCAAAGATAGTATAATACCATCTACTAAAACTCCTTTTTGTTTCAACTATCTCACATATATTAGTTTATAAGAATGTTTCTATTTTTTTAAAGTGTTTTCCATTCAAAGAAAAAGAAGTAAATTCCTATGTCAGAGTAACCAAGGTGGTTGAAGAATAGGTATTAGCCAAAGAGGTCTAGATGGTAAAATCAATCTTCAAGCCTCAAAGAATCTCCGTGAACAGAGAGGAATGCCAGGAGTCACACAGCTTTCCTTCACTCTAATTCATTCTTGACTAGAGCCTATATGCCTGTTCCAGGGACATTTGAACTCGTAAAGGATTTCTTATGATCTTCACTAAATACATTAAGAAGAATGCCAACCAGTGCCCTTTTGTGTACTGGGGCATGTAGTCATGTGATTAAAACAGGTAACATGAACTCTGACTTTAAAATGTATTGTAGATACAAATGCTCTAAGCTAGGAAAGGTTTTCCACATCTACAGTCAACGATGGGAACCTTTCATTCCTCAGAAATAAGCCCTTTTTAGGTCATCGAAAAAGAGTGCAACTGCTGCAGCTCATGATGCAATATCTTCATGAGCCCAGAGCACATACAAATCCTAAGGGCACCACCATAATACACCGCTAATTCCTGGCACCGGAAGAGATGAAACACACTCTATCTTGCACATACCTGCCAGAGGAGGCCACTTTCCTCTTCTGTGAGATTTAAAAAGCTCCCCCAAAAGGTTATCACTCCCATCACCAATACACAGAAAATGGAGGAAAGGCTGTTTCCAATTCTTGGCCTTTAAACAACTCTAAATGTCAGTACTCATAGTGGCGTATTACAAAGTAATAAACAGTGCACACTTGGGGGCAAACTACATATTGAGCTAAGGAAGAGCTCACTGTGATTAAGATTACATCAAACAACAGCAGAACATAGGCAAATTTTGTCTGAATGCTGTAGTGAATATACATGCTGCAATAACATTAAAAAAGCATGGCAGCCTATTCCAAACCAAAGAGAACAGTTTTGGGCAAAGAGTGGGTCTTTGTGTGTTTGAACTCCCACCACGTAAGGGCAAACTCGATATGCACGCTAATGACCTACAATTATGAAATTAAAAAAGAAAAATGCTAAAGGATGCCAGAGTGAACATCAGTGAGAGCCACAGACACCCACTCTCTTTTAACTTTTTACAAATAAACTTAAACTATAAATTAGAAACACAAATAATCATGAGTGAGTCTAACATTCAAAGGAAGTAAATGAATTGTGTAGGAGATTAACCCCATAACTTGGTTTCTTATTTAAAAATTTCTTGAGCAGCTGTTTGATGATGGTGATGTTTATCTCCTTCTTCTTGGCAGCCAAGCCCAACAAAATAATGGCACACAGCAGTTGCTGCCCAAGCCTGGGTGCTCCTGGTGGTCCTGCACGATCGGCTGTGCAGTAGGCTTGTCAAGGAGAGGATCCTCCCTGGCCTCTCCTTGGGCAGAGGAGGTGAGGGTCACCTCACGAAGATCTTTGGAGAGAGGGAGGCGGGGATCTGAGCACAGTGGGAGCCCCCCTCTTCCTGCCTACCCACCCCACCTGAGGGCTCTACACACCACCATGCTTGTCTGCAGCCCCAAGCTCCTGGGGGGCTGGGGCTCCTGGACCGGGCTCATCAGCAGAGTTGTGGGCAGCGGCCAGGAATTTTCTGTGCCCATTGTTGTAGTTGCTGTAAGCCGCAATACCATCTGCTGCAGCTCCAGCAGCTTCACCTGGAGGGAGGGGTGCTCAGCTGCCATGCCGCTGCCTGCGCCCACCCTCACACCCACCCCCACCCCCACCCCCACAGAGATGTTGCACACCCTACCTTCATCTCCTCCCTGAGCTCCAGCCTGATGGTGTCCTCCTCCCAGTGCTGCATCTTTGGCACGGCCCCCTGGTTCTGATAAAAGGTGATGGATTTTCCTGCGGGAGGACAGGGCTCAGATTCTGGGGCCCCTCTGATGGCCCTGTAGCTCCCCCTGCCGTGCCCTGGCCTCCCACTCACTGATGGCATCTCTCTTGCCAGTATTGAATGAAGCGAAGTTCTTGTTTTTTCACCAGCTCACTCAGGTCTGCCTTCTCCTTCAGGTGGTCCATAAAGCTGCTCTGGAGCCAAAATATTGCAGTCACATCTCGGCAGCGACCTGCCCTCAGGTGGCATTTTCAAGTCATGGAGAAGGTGGAGGTGAGTCCTGGCATGGGCCAGCTTCTCCGTGACTTCCTGCAGGGCCCAGTGGGTCTCCCCACTCACAGACTCGCCCCCAGGCCCTGGGGCTCCAGGGCCTCTGGCTGCCTCTGGCTCCTTCTGGGCCGAGGCCACCGGGTGAGCCAGGCGCTGGCAGCACACCCTCTGCTCTTTCACCTGCTCTTGTAACTGTGCCTGCTTCTCCTGGGCACTAGCTCCAGCGGACTTGAAAAATGCCACCTGAGGGCAAGATGTGAGCATTCTTCTAGGGGCATACACAGAAGAAATGGGGCAGAGAGGTGGAGCGCAGCCCCTTCCCTTGGGGCCTCAGAGAGTGCACATGTTGGCCACAGGTGAAATGGTGTCTGACCACTGGCTCTCGGAAGGGGTGAGGGTCCAGAGAAATCAGAAGGCAGGGAAACGAAGAGCATAAAGGGGTCTTGGAGGGACCACAGAGAAAGGTGGCAAAATGGGTGCAGGGGGAGTCAGGCTCACCATGGCCTCCCTGCTCTCCAGGTCCTCTGGGACACTCGGCATGGGCTGAGGTGCCTCCTCCCCCTCACTGTCCAGATGTTCTCCTCCGTGTCCTGTGGGGGGTGGCCAGAGGGGTCTTCAGACAACCCAACAAGGGAGGTACTGTGGGCCCACCTCTACCTCCACCCTCACTGTGTAACCCTGAGCCAGCCCCTCCCCAGAGAGGAATGAGCTGTTGTTCTTTATTTTTACTTTTAAGAATCAAGATCTTGCTATTCCGCCCAGGCACACTCCCACTACTGGTCGATGTGGGAGTTCTGACCTGCTCCCTTTCTGACCTTGGCCAGTTCAGCCACCCTTAGGCAACTTGGTGACTGCCCGCTCACAGGAGGTCACCACACTGATGCCGAACTTAGTGCAGGCACCCGGTCGGCATAATGACCAGCTGCTCTAAAGGTCTCTTCCAACTCCTCAATCCTATGCTGCTAGCAGTCCCCCCTTCCTCCTGGGGCTCTCTCCTCTTCCTCTGAGCGGTCTCCCGTACCTTCCCCAGGGAGAGCCATGAGGTTCAGCTGGGCCGTTAGCTGCTGGTTCTGCTGGCTGGCCGCTTCCAGGTGCTCCTAAGGGGCCAGGAAAGAGTGAGAAGGGATGGAGTTTGCCAGGTCGTCCCCCTCACAGCCCCATCCTCGGCAGCTCCCTCCCCTGGGTCTCCTGCAACTTTTGGCAGGCCATCTCGGCCACTGCTTTGCCCCAAGCTTTCTACTGCTGCAGCTGGTTCATTAGCTGGGTCTGTTGCAGTCACTGCCTGTACAGCGCCTCCTTCTCACAGGTCAGCTGCTGATAGGCGGCCACCTGCTGCTGATAGGTGGCCACGTACTGCTGCAGGTGACCCAGGTAATGGTCTGGCTGCTGCTGCAGACTCTGAACCTCTTGGCTCTTCAGCTACACCTGCAGGAAGACCCTGGGTGTGAGGGCACGTGGTGGCTGGTTTCCAGATTCTGGGCCCATTAATAGGGTAGCGAGGGCACTGTGGGGCTCTGTCAGCTACCCAGGCCCCTGTCCCCTTACTCCAGGCCTAAGTGACTGCCTCCCTTTCCTAGAACCCCATGCCTCCTTCCCCAGCCTCAAATCTCATACCCTCTTCTCATTTAATCCTCAGCACCTCTGTAAGGAAAATGCTAACTTCCCTTTGAAGTTAAAGAAACAGAGACTTAGAGATGCAAAGTACTTGAATGGTGACCAGTGGAACCGAGGCTGGAATCCAGTTTCAATCTAAGGAGTCTTTTTGTTTTGTTTTCAGACAAGAGTGTCACTCTGTGGCCCAGGCTGGAGTGCAGTGGTGCAATCTCAGCTCACTGCAACCTCCACCTCCTGGGTTGAAGCAATTCTCGTGCCTCAGCCTCCCGAGTAGGTGGAATTACAGGCATGCGCCACAATGCCCTGCTAATTTTTTTTTTTTTAATTTTAGTAGAGATGAGGTTTTACCACATTGGCCAGGTTGATCTCAAACTCCCGACCTCAAGTGATTCTTCTGCCTCAGCCTCCCAAAGTGCTGGGATTATAGGCATGAGCCACTGCACCTGGTATAAGGAGCCTGTTATAGCACTGTCTCTTCCCCTGTGATTGGGGGCTCCATGCCTCTAGCTGGGATGATGATGTCCAGACCTGAGAGGAGCCCAGGGCTACCCACCTTTAAAAGTCAGAGGCAGGAAGCGAGAAACAGTCGCAGGACTGCCCTGCGGGGTGCTGTGGTCACCAGCCCCCAGGCTGGAAGCTGCCTCTGACCTGGCACCTCCCCTCCCAAGAGGCTGCTGCCCGCCTCCCAGCCCTTCTTGGATGGGGTGGAGGTTTCCGTCTCCTTCACCTCGCCAAGCTTCTCCTGTAGCTCCTTTACTTGCTGCTCCAACTGCAGTGTGCTCTTGTTCTCATTGTTCTGGACAGAGAGAAACAATCAGCAGCCACCCACTGCAGCTGGAGACCCCAGAACTTGGTGTCTGCCTCCCATGGCACTGGGAAGGCTGGAGGCAGGTTAGAAAAATCACCCCCTCTCTCCCACAGCCACCTGGCTCACAGGTGCCTTTAGAAGTAACCTTTCACGCGAGGGCTACACTGCCCCATTTTAGAGGTGGGGAAACAAAGGCCCGGAGGGCTAGGGAGGAGGGCAGGCTCCCCAGTTGGGGCAACGCACCAGCTCCTCGAAGACGCTCTGTGGCTTGGCCAGCTGCCGAAGCTTCTCGTGCTGCTCCTGAAGCCTCTCCTCCTGCTTCCGAAGCCTCTCTTCCTGTTCCCGAATCCTCTCTTCTTGTCGCCGGTTCAGGAGACTTATGTGCTGATTGTTTTTGACCTGGGACTGGAGCTCTCCTGCCACTCTCTCTAGTTCCTTCCTCAGGTGCTGCAGCTCCACCTCAGAGGGCACTGCTGGGGGCTCCGGGGGCAAGGGTTCAGCTGAGAAAGGAAGCAGATAATAAGGGCCTCTGGATTCTCGGAAAAGAAAAACCCTCCTCTTGGCGCACAGCTCCTCTCAGGCTCCTCAAACTTGGCCTCACTGCTAATGATTCCTCGCACCCAGATGGTAGCCAGTCTTCCAAAGGACTTTCAGAGAAAGAGCACTGTGGGTGGCTGGCAACGGGCCCTCTTTGCTGATGGGGACACTGAGACACTGAGACTCATTGAGATGACAAGACTCGCCGTCTCCTGGCACAGATCTCTTTCCCTCTGCCTCAAAGCCCTTCCATCCACCCACCTCCCTGGGGCACTCTAAGCCACCCTCACAGCCCTCTGATGCCAGTCCTGCTCCCAGGTCATGCCAGCCCCATCTTACCCATCTGGTTTTTGAGTTTGGACAAGCTCCTCTCCAGCTCCTCTACCCGACGCATATCTTGCTGCTTCTCTTTCTTTAATGTGCAAATCTGCCCAAAGCACAAGGGGAAAGGGCCTTGGAGAGAGGGGCTGGAGGCTGGACAGGCTGCCCTCTCCCTCTCTGCCCCCACCTCCACAAAGCCCAGACCCATGACCACCTCTGGCTCTACTATTCCCATTTTACAGATGCCCAGAAAGATCCAGTGCCCTATCTAATGTGGGGGGGCTGAAGGGTCAGATCTCACCTCCTGCAACATTTTACTCATCCTCTGATGCCACCGGGCCCTCTCTCCTTCTATATGTTCAGCACACTCATCTCTTTCTAATTGGAGTTGTTGAAATGACTCCTTCAACTGCAAGAATGGGCACAGAAGTTAGGAAGGGCTGTCACTGGTCCTCACCTGCTCCTGGCCACCTGGGGTCATCGTCCTTCCACATCCCTCCCTCGGAAAACCTCACCTGTGTCAGCTGCGCTTTCAGCAGTGCCTGGTCCTGTAGGGACTGCTCTAACTCCCACTCTGTATGTGCTTTGCTGCAGCTGGACAACTGGATGGTGAAGAGTTAGAAGTTTCAATCTGGAGAGCCTGGGCATTTCCACACAGTGCCCCTTAACAGGGCTAGGGCTAGGCCCAATATACAACTCGGTCAGTAAAGATCAAGGCATTTCCCAGCCCGTGGTCTGGTTTTTAAAAGAACACAGTAAAGTTGGAACGGACAGGGAATGAGACTGAGTTTATAGCTGGCTAACAGAGGCCCAGAGAGATCAGATAATATTGCTATTGTTATTATTGTCATTATTACCACTGTTTGAACCTTTGTGGAATGCTTCACCAGGTACCGTGCTAACAATCCCATTTAATCCTCGCAACCACCATAGGAGACAGTTACTATGATTCCCTCTATTGTGGAGATGAAAAAACATGGAGTATTTGAGGTTAAGTGCTTGCCTAAGTTCACTTAGGCAGAGCTGGGATATAAACACCCAGGTCTATCCAATTCTCTAAGCCCATTTTTCTTGCTGGGGATGGGGGCACAGATAGGAAGGGGAAAATTAATCTTTTGTTCACTTTTTGACAGGATGATACATTCACATAGTCCAAAACTCAGAAGGTACAGAAGGGAAGTATCTCCCAGCCATCTTGTTCTCTCTCCTGAATTTTTTATGAACCCTTGCAGACATGTTTTATGTATATTATCACAGTATGTACACACACACACACACACACACACACACATGCACGCGTTTCCTCTTTCTACAGAAATGGTAACATACTAAAGGTACTCTTCTGTACCTTCACAGTACAAGTACCCAATACCCCACCTAGGACTTGCCCAAGACCACAGCCAGGTAAGGGCGGGGCAGGCACTTGGCCTCCAAGCTCTGCCTCCAGTGCTCACTCCCCACAGTACCCCCCAACTCACCCACAGCAGCTGACTCGGCCCCAGGCTGCCACTAAAAACCATACAAAAAAGTAGCAAGAAATGGCCATGCTGCCTTCTGGGCAGGACACGCCATCCTGCAGAAGGGACCTTTAGGCTCACTCCTCCATCTGCAAAACCAGGCTCCCAGGGGATGGGGCAGGTGGCTGGACTCACCTGGTTTGCCTTCTTCTTCTCTGTGGCGATGACAGCAGACAGAGCCCTCTCTAACTCTCCTTTACACTGCAATGAATGTTGCAGGCGGACAGCCAGGTCCTTGGACTCTTCTGTAATGAGAGAGTTGAGATGGGGCCCAAAGGACTCCCCCTGAAGACCTGTCAAAGTGCCAGGTTGAAGGATGACAGGGTGCCCAGATTCCCACCTTCAAAGTATCTGAGAGAACGTTCCATGTGGTACAGGTCCGTATTTAGTTCCTCTTTCTGTATGATCAATGTCTGGATTTGAACCTTTGGGAGAAAAGCCAAGCAAGTGCTGAAAGAGAAGGAAAGAAACATTCTCCGGAGGACAGGAGGAAACTGCACACCCTCCACTCACCTCTAGCTCCCTTTCGGCTTTCTGTCTCTCGTTGTTTGCTTTCTTTTCCTGTAGGAAGAGGAAGACAGAGCTCTTACCAGGGGGAGGCAGAGATGGCACAGCAAGAGACATGCCCCCAGAATGCCACCAATGCCCCAGGACAGGCCCACCCATGGGACCAGGTTATCAGGGGCCCTGTGGGGATGGGGTGGAATCTGAGGGGTGAGCCTTCTTCCCCAGGCTGGGAGTGGGTGAGACGAGACTGGGGCCTGTATGTCTGAGTGCCCCCCAAACCCAGCAGTCATGTTGCGAGGAAACGAAATCACGTTACTTCTTCCAGCTGATGTTCCACTTGTTTCTTCTGTTGTTTCTGTGGGGAGAGTCAAATAAGGTGATGGAGGGTGGCCCCCTCAACTCTATTCCCCAGATCAGGAAGCGGTAGGCAGGGGCCAGGAATGGATTTTAAAGGCAAAGTTCTCAGACATAATGGGAACACGAACCGGTAAACTCTCCTCAAGCTCCCAAGGACAGAGGATTTGGGTCTTTGTTGGCTTTTGCCCACAGCCACAGAACTCAGTCTGAATCTGGAATCTCTTGAGAGGACAGCAACATAAACCTCTAGAGATGGAGTTTCAGAAAGGCCCCTCCTTCTGGCAGCTTGTGATTTAGAAAAGTGGGTTCATTCAATAAACACTTACTGAGCACGTATGGGCCAGGTACGGTTCTTCACAGCAGATATAGGATGGAAAAGGACAGACAGGAGCCCTTAGCCCTGAGGTTTCCGTTCTAGGGGGCCTTTAAATCTCAGACTCGAGAGCTAACAGAGACCTTTGATACTCACTACCTCCTCTGGAAACACGAGCCCAAAAAGGAGAGGTGGCTTGTCCAGAATCAAAGAGCAAATTAGGGACTGAGTCATGGCAGAAATACGGGGACCTTGACAACCAGTCAGGCTAGCACTTCCCCAAGAGGCAACAACCCCAGGGCGTGTGTAGCAAGGACTCGAGCAGGGGTGTCTGGAGAGGAGAGAGTCGGCAAAGAGGGCAGCAAAAGAAGAGCCATGCTGCATGCTCTGGGGTCCCTCCAGGTGAGGCCTGGGCACCCAAGCTCCCTATTTGTCCCGGGCACCAGGGACCCCCAGCCCCTTTCTTCAGGGCCCCAAGGGGAAACTGGAGCCCAGGATTGGCAGCGTGGAATCAGGGGACCCCACCGGACTCTTACCAAAGATTTGATGGTGTTCTTCAGTCGACTGATTTTTACGGACGTTGAATCCAGGACTACTGCTCGTTCTTGGCACGGGCTCTGAGGTGCATGCAGAGAGGAGGAGGTGGAGCAGGAGTGGGGAGAGAGGTAGAGAGAACGATCGTTAGGGCTGGGGTGTGTGGGCTGTCTCAGCTGGCAGAGGGGCACCCAGTCCCACCTGGAGGAGGAGGTTGGAGGGTTGACCCGAAGGGTCACTGCACCTCCGCCCAGAGCCTCTTACCTCCAGATCTTTCAGGGTAGCAGATGATGTAGGGCCTTCCCTGTGGAAACCTGTTGCTGACTACAAGAGATGAGAGTGCACATGGAGATGTTCTGTCCCCCACAGTGTCTGAGCCCTCTGACTTCCTTTCTTCCCCATCAACTGCAACATTTTCTTTTCTGCCTATCTTGGACCTTTTGTCCCATAACTCCTTTGTGCCAACTTCTCTCATGGTTCTTATCTCCCCACCATCCCATCCTGGGGCCCCTTCAGTGACTCCTGATGGCAAGTGGCTGTTCTCTTTGTCCTGGTTTCCCCTTGAGACTGGGGATGAGGAAAATCAAACCATATCCTGGGTGTCCTGAGTGTTTACAGCAGGCCATGTACTAGGGATTAACATAAAAACAACAATAACAAATCTCATTTAAACTTCACAAATGGAAGTGAAACAATAACACCTCTATTATACAGATGTGAAAAGAGAGGCCCAATGAGGTCTAGCAACTTGCCCTAAATCATATCCCTAGCAGAGCAGATGGAGAGGCAGGATTCAAACCCAGAATTCCTTTTTTTTTTTTTTGAGACAGAGTCTTGCTCTTTCACCAGGCTGGAGTGCGGTGGCATAATCTTGGCCACTGCAAGCTCCACCTCCCAGGTTCACACCATTCTCTTGCCTCAGCCTTCTGAGTAGCTGGGACTACAGGCACACGCCACCACGCGTGGCTAATGTTTTTGTATTTTTAGTAGAGACAGGGTTTCACCGTGTTAACCAGGATGGTCTCGATCTCCTGACCTCATGATCCGCCTGTCTTGGCCTCCCAATGTGCTAGGATTACAGGCGTGGGCCACCACACCCGGCTAAAGCCAGAATTCTTAACCAGTACCCAGCAGTCCATCCACAATCTTAAGAATTACCCTCTATTGCCCCTTGGGCCCCCTGTCCCCAGAAGCCTGGTCAGCCAAGACTCACATCCCCAGGTGGCTGGCAACCACCGGAAGTGGCTGTCTCAGGGATACTGCCATTTGTTTTCCTGTTTCTGTTCACTCCTGCTGGAACTCTAGGTCTGTTTTTCTGCCAATATTCTTTTAACTGTTGGAAAGAAGAGCAGTAATATTCATGAGAACCGTCAGCCCCTACAGCCACAACCTCCTTTACAGTTTTTACAAAATACACTTACACACCATCTGATTTAATGACACCAACAACTGTACAAGGTGTTGTCACACTCATTTAGTGACTGAGAAGGATTGATATCATGGCTAGAAAAAAAAAAGAAAAAGGCAATACTGGAACTTTGAGACTCAGTCTTCTGACTCCAAGCTCTGAGGTTTTGCCAAGAATCAGCAGCTGCCAGGGACCAAAACCAGAGGCAGAGGTAGAAAAGTAAACATTAAGTAGGCAGGAACTGTATGCCATGTGGTTTAGTCATACATCCTCACACGTCTGTTAGTGTGAAGAAGTGCACCAGTACCTCTCAAACTTTTATATCAATGTGTCCTCATGGCAGAAGGCAGCCTTTCTCTTAAATCAGAATTTATCAGAAAGAGGACAACCCAAGCCTCATTTCAGAGAGAGGTCTGGTATACTCTTAGAAACCTATGTGACTGTCCTCCCTAAGTACATTCATGTTTTTTCTCTTGATCTCAAGAGAATCAAGGGAAACTGATGCTTCAGAAAGATGTCCCACATTTATCCTGTGGCACTCAAAGTACCCAAGGTTGAGATAATATGAGGAAGATTCAAGGTGTCAAGTTCAGTTTCCCAAGATCTATTCCACAGAAGATGAGCAAATCTCACTTCAGAGACCACTGACTGAAGGAGAGTCTGGTCCCAGAACCATGGAGAATTAGAATATGAGGTGGAGAACTCAGAAAAAAATGTTAAAATCTCTCTGGAAAGTAGAAGCCTGGGAGAAAACCAAATCAAACCCATTCTCTCATTGCCACCCAGAGATACTGTCAATGTTTTGAGTTCATGGGGGAAGTGTAGGCTTTTCCCACCGTCAACATCTGTAAGGGAGTGAGGCAGCCTGGAACCTCTTGCTCCTAGGTCCCATAGTCTCCATTCCCCTTCCAGCTGGAAATTTGTGCTGTGACCAGAGGAACCAGAAACGGGGTGAGAACGCTTAGGGGACTGGGTCGTAAGGTCAAAGGCCAGTCTTGCAGTAACGGCAGTTACTAGGTGGACTGTGACATCACAACATTCCACTCCTCCTGGTCGGGGGGAGGGACCATGTCAGCACCATGTCCAAGTCGCTGCTCCACGATGGGGGAGGGAAGCACAGGGTTGGGACCCAGCTCCTTGGAGACGCCAGCACAAAGAACCCAGGGAGGTCGACCTTGAGGCAGCAGGAGGGGAGGGCACAGTCTGCAGCAGGGAGTCCCAGGAGTCACCAGCCCAAAGTCACCCAAGGATGACTGGCGAGGGTGGGGCCTGGCTCCTTGGAGATGAGAGCCCAAAGAGCCCACGGAGATCAAGCTTGGGGCGGCAGGAGATGAGGGCCCAGTAATGGAGCGGGAAGCCCCAGGAGTCACCCACCCAAAGTCACCCTGGGGTGATTGGCGAGGGCAAGGACTGGGCTGCTTGCTGAAGGGGTGGGGCTGACTGACAAAACTTTGGTGGGGGTAGCCCAAGGCACCGGGGTTGGGGGGACCAGTCCAGTGTGCCTCAGGAGTCATATAGACTCTGGCAGGGGTCTTGTCATCAGAGGGGATCTGTGGCTGGGTTGAGGGGCTATGACCTAGTGCGTTTTTACCTTTTTCTTGGCTGCAGCCAATTTGTTGTGTTGAGTTTCTTCTGCCATTGCAGGGTGGGGAGGGAGGAAGGGTTGGGGCCACAGCAGCAAAATCCCAATAAGAACCGATCAAGGCCTCCAGTCACCTACCAGGCAGCTGTGTGACTGAGCCAGAGGAGGCGTAACCAGGGCCCCAGTAGAATGCGGAATAGGGGCGTGGCCTTAATGCTCCAAGCCCATTGGTCAATGAGAAAGATGAAAGGGAAAGGGGGCGTGGCCAGACAGCAGCGTGTCCAGAGGGCCCTGTGGCTCACAAGGAAAGCTGCCCGTGGCAACCGCTCTCCCCACCCACTCTAAGAGAGGGGAGAGGCCTCCCACTCTGGAAGAGAAGAGGGGCTGGCTTTTGCTTTAAAAGCTTTAAAACTTTAAAAAATATATGTGTGTATACTTTATATATATGTGTGTCCATATGTGTGTATCTATGTTTTTCTCCATAGCTGTCTTCATTATCCAGCTTCTATGCAAGGTCTATGATTTTGGCCTATATTTTTCATCTTTGATTACAGTACAAAAATTACCAGTATTACCTTAACTGAGATACAGATCCTATAAAAATGGAAAATGCATAGCATGCTTGATGATTAATGAAGCAGACTATATTATCCAACATTCTAATAAGATAAAATAATCACAATGATTTCTCTTTTTTGGAAAAATGTTTCTCTTATTCTCCTACGTTTTCGTTAAGATTTTTTTTCTTAAACAAGAAACATGTCTAATATCTGTAAAAGCACAAAGCTTTTGGGCTGGGTGCAGTGGCTCATGCCTGTAATTCCAGGACTTTGACAGCCCAAGGTGGGTGGATCATGAGGTCAGGAGATCGAGACCATCCTGGCTAACACGGTGAAACCCCATCTCTACTAAAAATACAAAAAAGGCCGGATGTGGTGGCAGGCAGCTGTAGTCTCAGCTACTTGGGAGGCTGAGGCAGGAGAATGACATGAACCCCCGAGGTGGAGCTTGCAGTGAGCCAAGATCATGCCACTGCACTCCAGCCTGGGCTACAGAGCAAGACTCCATCTCAATTAATTAATTAATTAATTAATTAATTAAAATAAAAAATTAATAGTAAGAGCAATGTGAACAAAAGATGCAATAAAATAATTTAGAAAATACAAACTATTAAAAAATAGATTTTAAAACTTGTGCAACGAAGTCAAACAGCAGCCAACGAAAATGTATACCCTTACACGTTTGTTTAAAAAGCAATTTAAATTACATTGATCCACTAAACTAGGAAAAGCAAAACAAACAAAAAGGGGGAAATAATTAAGACCTAAGGAAAAAGAAAAACCACTAGATTTAAAAAATAAAACTAAAGGAGGATTCTTTCAAAAGACTGAGATAATAAAACAGTCAAGCCTCTGATAAGTAATCAAGATAAAGAAAACTTTGAAGAGAAAAGGGCATATAGCCACATGTGAATATGATGCAAAAAGTGAAAACTTTACACATCTTTACAACACCTTAGAAGTATGGATGACATGTTCATTTTTTTTTTTTTTTTTTTTTTGAGACGGAGTCTCGCTCTGTCACCCACGCTGGAGTGCAGTGGCGTGATCTTGGCTCACTGCAAGCTCCGCCTCCTGGGTTCACAACATTCTCCTGCCTCAACCTCCCGAGTAGCTGGGACTACAAGCGCCCGCCACCACGCCTGGCTAATTTTTTGTATTTTGGCTTAGTAGAGACAGGGTTTCACCATGTTAGCCAGGATGGTCTCTATCTCCTGACCTCGTGATCCACCTGCCTCGGCCTCCCAAAGTGCTGGGATTACAGACATGAGCCATCGCACCCATCCAAAGTGTTCATTTTTTTTTAAGAACCTACAGTTACGAAAAGTAACTGAAGAAGTGGGAAATCTGGAGACCAATATGCAGAAGAAGGAAAAAGACAAAGACTCATCCTCCAAATTGGATATTTAAACCAGAATTTGTCATCCTCAGCAATATTGATATATTGGGCCAGATAATTCTTTGTGGAGGGTTCTCTTGGTGTGTTGTCGGGCATTTAGTAACATTCCCTCTACCCACAGAATGCCAATGAGACCTCCCGACCATGACCAGTTGTGACCACAAAAATGTCTCCAGATATTTCCAAACGTCCCATAGGAGGCAAAATACTCCTGCAGTTGAAAATTACTGTGTAAACCAGATCTACATCCTAGATCTTAGAAAAAAGATGTAAAGCTTCCCAACTCAGCCCTGCATACCCTTGATACTGAAATAACAGCCTTAAAGGAAACAAACAAAACTATAATCTTATTTAATACAGAAGTAAAAATGCAAAAATAAAATATTACCATAGCCATTCTAACAGTGTTTATTATAGGAATGCAAAGATAATTCAAAATTAGGAAAATTTCATCAGGCAATTCACAAATTATATTTCTACATATAATTGAAGGCACAATCATGAAAAACAAAGTAGCTCTATATGCATTAAGTCCATGATCTATTCAGTGAAAAACACAAGTTGCACATGTCTT